>NC_000002.12:60493382-60796412 GCF_000001405.40 Homo sapiens
GCCCTCATTTTGTCATCCTCCAGGCTGCCCCCCTCCCACCCCATTCCCTGGAGAGTTCAACTCCAAACCCTATATCCCAGCTATCTGTTTGGCTCAGCTACCAAATGTCATCCTATTCCGAATAGAAACCTCTCCACTACACTAAGGAAATGATGGGAAGAGACCCCAAAACATTCTTAAAATGGGCATTCATTTGAATCAGGCCAAATAAATTGGACTCTGGGTCAGAGATAACTTAAGTGTGGTGTTCGGAGTCCTAAGAGCCCCCACTAGCTCAGAAATGGACTTAGTTGACCTCCCCCATTAGCAGCATGGAGAGTCAAGGAGATGACTTCTACCTTGCCAAAGGCCTTGGGAAGAAAGACAGCATCAAGGTCTCACACAACACTCCAGGGAGGCAGCTGCTGCCCAGTGCTGTGGACAGCAAAGCTTCAGTGCAGGAAATTAAGATTCCCCCTGCCTCCCCCTCCCCCATCCTCATCAGCTTGGCCATGGCAGGGCTGGGGGATCAGAGGTGAACAGGAAGCAGAAGGACCCCTGGGGGAGACAGGGCCTCCAGTGGGACCAGAGCTGAGTGGCCTCAGGCAGTGGCGGAAGCTGATTAAAGGAAGGTACGGGGAGTGGAGGGGAAGTGGACAAAAGACAGGACAGCCATCTTAGACAACAATGCAAGGGGGAGAAACTGAAGAAAACAGAACAGAGACCACTACTGGCAATAAACAGAGAGAAAGTGAAGCCCCATGGGTGAGGCACACCTACATTACTTAAGAAACCTGAGCACATTCTTACGCCTAGGGCAATAAATACATCCTTGAGCTACACAGGCTAAGCAAGAGTGAGAGAGGGTGATGCTGACAGGCCACATGGGAGAGTGGGAAGACGTGGGCTGGGAGCTGGGAGTTTGGCTTCTCATCTGTGCATGGCCTCTAAACTGGGCAGTGACCATGGCCTGGTCACCTCCCCACTCTGGACCTGGGTTGCCCCTCTGTAAACAAGGAGGTTGTAATAAATTATCTCCAATACCCTAATGTCTTATAAATCTTATGCAATTTTTGCCAAGATGGGAGTATGGGGAGAGAAGAGTGGAAACGGCCCAGAGCTCAGTGAGATGAGATATCAAAGGGGACGAAAAGTGTTCATTCCATCTCCCTAATCTCCAATTGGCAAAGCCAGACTTGGGGCAATACAGACTGGTTCTGTGATGACAAATAACTCCTAGCTCATTCCTAATGATTTATCACCAAATGTTCTTTCTTCAGCTGGAATTTAAAATATGGACTCATCCGTAAAATAGGAATAATAATAGTATATGCTTCATAGGGTTTGTATGAAAATAAAATGAGTGCGTATTTGTAAAGTTCCTAGAGCAGAGTAAGTGCTCCGAGCTTGTGAACTAAAATGCTGCCTCCTGGTATTTATTAGTTACACCTCAGCAGAAACAAAGTTATCAGGCCCTTTCCCCAATTCCTAGTTTGGGTCAGAAGAAAAGGGAAAAGGGAGAGGAAAAAGGAAAAGAATATGACGTCAGGGGGAGGCAAGTCAGTTGGGAACACAGATCCTAACACAGTAGCTGGTACCTGATAGGTGCCTATATGTGATGGATGGGTGGACAGCCCGACAGATGAAAAATGGACAATTATGAGGAGGGGAGAGTGCAGACAGGGGAAGCTTCACCTCCTTTACAATTTTGGGAGTCCACACGGCATGGCATACAAATTATTTCATTCCCATTGAGAAATAAAATCCAATTCTCCATCACCAAGAGAGCCTTCCGAAAGAGGCCCCCCTGGGCAAACGGCCACCGATGGAGAGGTCTGCCAGTCCTCTTCTACCCCACCCACGCCCCCACCCTAATCAGAGGCCAAACCCTTCCTGGAGCCTGTGATAAAAGCAACTGTTAGCTTGCACTAGACTAGCTTCAAAGTTGTATTGACCCTGGTGTGTTATGTCTAAGAGTAGATGCCATATCTCTTTTCTGGCCTATGTTATTACCTGTATGGACTTTGCACTGGAATCAGCTATCTGCTCTTACTTATGCACACCTGGGGCATAGAGCCAGCCCTGTATCGCTTTTCAGCCATCTCACTACAGATAACTCCCAAGTCCTGTCTAGCTGCCTTCCTTATCACAGGAATAGCACCCAAGGTCCATCAGTACCTCAGAGTAGAACCCCCTATAAACTAGTCTGGTTTGCCCATGGGGCACAGTCAGGCTGTTTTCCAGGGTGGGGTGCAGACATTCTCTGCCTGTTGTGATGCTTACATATAACGTCATAACAGACACACGTATGTGTTGTGATCCCTGTGGTTTGAGAGTTTGGAGCTTCCCTAAAAGTCAAAATATTCTCAATGGGCCCTCAATCAGCACATACACACAAAAGGTACCTGGAAAACTGTAATTCTTTTCCTGCTCAAAGACAGGCAATTCAATACCCCTTCCCCCAACCAAAAACCCTTGCCACCATGGGAGCCTGGGGCAGAGAAGGCACAGTGAAGTCAAACTGTAATTCCAGGCTCTAAATGGTGCTGTCATTTTTCTGAGAGTCTCTAAATTACAAGGGTGTTTTCACTATTCTTAGCTATTTTTTAAAACACCTAAGAAACATACTGCAGCTCTGGAAAAGAGAACAAACAAACCAAAGAGAAGGGATCCAGAGGTCACCCTCATATGTGAAAAGTCAATTGATAATGAAGGCTTTAGGATAACCGGAGGGGAGATGATTGAAAGCAATGCACCTGTGCAGGAAATGGATTACGGAAACAGGGAATTGTTCATGAAATCCCAGAAAACCAGAACCGGGAAAGTTCTGGAAGTCGGAAAAACAAATCATGACTTAAGCAATGGAAGTCCAATACACGTTTACAGAATGCCTTGTCCCACGAGGCAACACAGGCTACCACAGATGGGGGACAGGGTGGGAGTGGACCATCCCAGTGGTGTTACTGAGGGGCAAAGGGATAGCCCTATGAGGCAAGTGTCCAGGGCAGAACTGGAGCTTTGTGAAACCATTTCCCAGGCAGAGACAGAGCACTAGGCTGGTGCTGCCAGTCTGACAATAAGTCTGCCATTGTCCTCTGGTCAGCTCTGGACACACAGCAAAAGTGAGTTCAGAGTAGCCTGAAGCAGGAAAGAGGGAAGAGAGGAGGATAACACCTATCTTCCACTTTGCTGCAGGTTCAAGGCAAGGATTTGAGACAGTTACCCCTTCTGGAAGAGCCTGGTGAGTACATCTCTCCTGCCTTGTACAACCCTCTCTCCTCACCGACTTTCTCTCCCAGCAGCCAGCAGGGGCCTGGGCCATTTATGGAATGCAAGCCCTGACCACACAGACTTACTTACATGCCAGGACAGCCACCAGGTAGCCTTTCCCACTCTAGGTTCCACTGTGAGTGCTCTCTCTCTCTCTCTCTCTCACTATGCTCCCAAGAGGAGTCTTACATCAACCCCTTCCTCAAATCTCCCTCACTGGATGTCACAGTCATAGGCCTGAAAAGCAGCATGCAAACTGAATTTTTGTAAAGCAGGACCCATTTCCCCATGGACAGTCATAAGAGATGAGTGAACACAATGTAGCACTTAATTTCTGTCTTCACGATTACTTCACGATAAATCTGGATTCCAAAGGGACTATAAGCTCTCACATGGAAGGAAGCAAGATCTCTACTCCTCCCCCAGTGTTGAGTGGACAGGGAGTACACCGCAGACACCTGTTGGCCAACCAATTCTAATTCCCTTTAGCTAGCATCCCCTAAGCTAGAGCTAGAGCTAGAGCTATTTCCTTGCAGCCTTCCTTTTCTCTAGCAAAGTCCTTCCATGCAGTAGCTAATGACCTGTAAACACTTAATGAGCTAGAGAAACATTCCATTGAAAGGAATACCACTGTGCATCCTTTTGTAAAGAGGGGGGAAAATCTTTTGTAAAACGAAGCATCGCCTTTAACTGCTCTGTTTGATCAAGTCAGATTTTTCAGAATATGAATAGCTAGTATTCAAGCATATATGAACTGTCTTTAAGTTAATCAATCCCTAGAAACTAGCCCTCAGGTTAGCAGGCCAAGGATATATGAGAGTGCTTTGAAGTCTAGACTTAAACTGCCGCTCCTGAATTGAATTAGAACATTCCAGGTAGACAGATTCATGGCCCCTAACATCAGGAATCAGCTAGAAACTCAATCGGCTCTTACCAGTCACTACCTACGTCAGTGCCATATCCTATAATGGTGATGATAATGACCATTATGATGATGATAATAATAATAATAGCTTCCACTGGATGGCACTTTGCACCTTCCAGAGCAATTTAACATCCTTTACTTTTTTTGGAAGGCCTTCAGGTCCAGCCTCCTACTCTTCTCTTTCTCTGAACTATCACCTTACTATAGGCACATATTTCCCCCAAAGGACTCAGTGGCCTCTTTTGTCTCATTTCTCCCTTTGCTGATGATCCAGTAGAGAAATGATCAAAAGGATCCTGCACATTGTCCTAAATGAAACCAAGCTTCCTCTGCAGGATGGAAGTGAGCCAGGTGATAGAAGGGGGAGCCTGGACCCACCGCTTCATTGGCCGAGGATGACCCCATAAAGGTCAGGGTGTTGCAGAGATTGCTATGCACAAAATCCAAGAGGCCCATGGAGGTGGGGAGATGAGGGACCCACCTGGCAGACCCTCAAGAGCAGGGGTCTTCTCTTTGGGGGAGGACATCACTCTTAGCAGGGCTGGGGTGAGTCAAAAGTCTGGGAGAATGGAGGTGTGGAGGGGATAACTGGGTCAGACCCCAAGCAGGAAGGGCCTCTATGTAGACGGGTGTGTGGCTCCTTAAGGTGACCCAGCAGCCCTGGGCACAGAAGTGGTGCGTGGAGATAATGCCAACAGTGATAACCAGCAGGGCCTGTCAGAAGAGGCCCTGGACACTGAAGGCTGGGCACAGCCTTGGGGACCGCTCACAGGACATGCAGCAGTGTGTGCCGACAACTCCCTACCGCGACCCCTATCAGTGCCGACCAAGCACACAAGATGCACACCCAGGCTGGGCTGGACAGAGGGGTCCCACAAGATCACAGGGTGTGCCCTGAGAAGGTGGGGAGCTCACAGCCTCCAAGCATTGCATCATCCTGGTACCAGGAAGGCAATGGGCTGCCCCATACCCACTTCCCTTCCTAGAATTGGCCTGGGACATTCATTATTTAGCCACCTCTGGCACCTGCATTTGTTTTTCAAATTTTAATAGCAAATAGGCTTAGTGTGCTGGGCAGAGCTGAGCAGAGGTGATCTGACCCCTCTACCTACTCACATAAGATCAGTAAAGAGAAGGAAGCAGGCAGATGAGGTGACAAGGGGAGAAACCAGTGAGGTCATCTATAGGTCCAAGTTCGTACAGACCCAGCCAGACTGCCAGTTCTCTGAGGAGCTAGAGACTTGTGGCTTAAGGAAGCCTCTCTGATGGATGTACTAATATGTATGTACCTTATACATACATTTGAATTACCTGTAAATCTTGATCAAACTCAGATGACTGTCCAACTCATCCAGAAACTACGTTTGTCTAATAGAACAGGAAGCAGGTGGTGGTGGTGGGTGGTGGGGGGGCATTGATGAGAGGCAGGGCCAGTGTTTCTTCTTCATTTTCCATTCCACTGATTCTGTCCCCACACAGGCATCCAAAGGGAAGAATGCTACAGCTACAGTCCATTTCTCGCTGGCTTTTCTGGGAGATCACCCTACAATGTGTTCCCCAGTATTCAGGTTTCTGGGCTGCCATTATCTTCTCTGGTCTCGGGGCCCAAGCCAAAGAGCTGGAGAACAGTATCTGGCCACAGAACCTAAGGCCTGGTAGAGCAAGACAGCCATGTGCAAGGCGAGTGGATAGCGCCCTTCCGTCACTCCCACAGAGCTGCAGGGGTGTGACGCCCCTGCCCAGCCATACCCTTCTGGGCCACAGTGCTGGAGGCTGAAGTCAAAGCCCATCGTGCCTTATTCCTTCAGGAGCAATACTCCTGGGAAAGGTTGCACATTCTGTAACTCCTCTAAGTGATATTTCTTCCCAGGGGCAAAAAAGGAAATTAGCCCCATTTTATAGATAAAGAGCCTGAGGCCCAATAGGCTGATTGACTTGTCCGGGGCCACCTAGCCAGCAGGTGAAAAGACTCATGTGTAGCTGACTTTAGAGTCCAAGCTCCTTCAACGTCCCACTTTCTCAAGACAGTGTTTGCCACGGGCCAGGGCTAGCAAAAAGACCCCTCCAACCCCTCATACCTCCCCACCAACCCCATGCAGGTGTCAGTGAGGCCCAGGAACATGAAGCTCCCCGGACCAAAGGGGTGGACAGCACTGAAGGAAACCGCTCAACCTTGAGTGGAGAGGCTGCTGTGAAACAGCTCTGGGCAGCACCTGGGCCACAGCATGTGGAAGGAGACATGTTCCTAAGCTGCCTGGTACTCTGCCATCTGTCTTCTCTTCCTCCTAATCCATAAGCACCAGACCTCAAGCCCCATGTGCAGCTCCGGAAGCTGCTAGACCTCAAGCAGGACTAAGATTCGGAGAGAGCAGCCACCGACCTGGCTCCTCCCAGGCAGGCCAGCCCAGGTGAGCCCCTCCAGCCAGGCACTCACCCCACTGCCAGGCTGTTTACTCTTAGCTGGTGTTTGTCTCCTGTCTGCTCTACTGTAGCTCCCTCCCTCCTCTCCTCCTTTCGGTCCTCTGCCCAGGCCTGCCTGAGGCTGCCTGCCAGTGAGATTGCATGTCAGGGCTTTGCCCTGGGCACTGAGGGCTAGGGTGCCCAGAGGCCTGCGGCTGTGCCCTGGATGGAAAACCAGCAGCCTGCAAAGCTGTGGGGGCAGCACAGGACCTGTGTGTGAGAGCGGTGGTCTTGAGAGTGAAAGTGGACAAGTCAAGCCCAGGCGGGGAGGGGACAGGGGGCAGGTAGGGATAGGGCAGGTGAGGTTCCCGGGGCCAGTTCCCCCATTATGCACTGCCTCTGCTTCCCCGCCACCATTAACCGTGCCTCTGTGGGCTGACAGATGTGCCTTCAGAGAAGGGCAGGGAGCAGCTGGGGGCCTGGCCAGAGCAATCATCCCAGCAGGAACTTACATCAGAGCAGGCAGCCTACCCAAGAGCCAGGGAAGGAAGGAGAGCCCCTGAGAAAAAATGGCAGAAGAATGGAAGGGACTACGTGTATTGATGGAATAAACCAGACACCCCACACTTCCCAACTCCTCAGGACAGGGTTCAGAGCTAGGCTGGTGGCTGCTACACAGAGACAGCACCCTCCACCAGTTAAGGTATAAGACAAGGTATAAGGCTGATGGGCTGTAGGCATCAAACCTGGAACTCACAGTCGGGGCACCTCACTTCAAGCCTTGGTGGATAGGTAAGATGAACACTCAGGCTCCCAAGTTAGACAGATGAGCTGGATCCTTCATCTACCACCAATTTCCTGGCTGTGTGTCTGGGAGCAGCTCTTTAACCTCTCCAAGCCTCAGTTTCTTCACTGGTAAAATGTGTATGATGACATTGTATGGCCAACCTGGGGTTGCTGATGGAACTAGTTAAAAGAGTGTCTGTGAAGCAAGCCTAGCTGGGTGGGCTTGCAAGCATTTCTGGGTCGCTGCATCCTCCTCTGTAAAATGGGAGAACCCTGAACTGCTCAGCCGACCTCATGGTTGACTCACTCAGCAACAGAGGTCTCCACAGGAGCCCTGCCCACATGAGACATCTTTGGCACATCTTCTGAAACAAGACCTGTTTCTGGAAAGTTGTTGGTAAACATCCAATTTTGCACTTATTTATATTATTGTTTCAGAAACACTACCTTCATTCTGCTTTGATTCAATGGCAGCCAATTTAATTCATTTGGTCCAAACCTGTAGTGCTACTTGCCAGAACAAAATGGAATGAGCCTCATTCCCTGCCCTCAAGGAGCTCACAGTCCAGTGGCTCTGTCTTTAATATCTATAAGAGCACAGGTAAGTGTCACAGGAAGCCATGGTCCTTTGGGGGAAATGAAGAACACTCTTGTAATATGATTAATCACTTCCAAATACTTTACCTGGTTTGTAAGTTCTCTTTCGGGTGCTTCCCTGAGTGGCAAGAGGGAAAGGCCTTTTGCAAGTACTGACACCGCTTTCTTTTTTTTTTTTTTTTTTTTTGAGACAGAGTTTCGCTCTTGTTGCCCAGGCTGGGGTGCAATGGTGTGATCTCGGCTCACCACCTCTGCCTCCTGGGTTCAAGCAATTCTCCTCCCTCAGCCTCCTGAGTAGCTGGGATTACAGGCATGTGCGACCATGCCTGGCTAAGTTTATATTTTTAATAGAGATGAGGTTTCTCCATGTTGGTCAGGCTGGTCTCAAACTCTTGACCTCAGGTGATCTACCCACCTCGGCCTCCCAAAGTGCTGGAATTACAGACGTGAGCCACTGCGCCCAGCCTTACACTGCTTTCTTAATTACAGCAGTGTGCTCATCTCACATAAAAATTTAAGACGGGAAAACAGGAAGATGCATTCTGAGAAGTTATATCAGCCCCTCTGCCTCTCTACATTCCAAAACAGCCTTTTATTCTAATTATTTTACTAGTGAATTATGGAATAAAGTAGTATTATGTTTCTTTCTACACAACTTGTGTTGCACTAGGTGAAATCTCAGGCTAACAGAGCTTCAGGGAGGAAAGGCCAGACCAAAAATATGCCTCACTCCACAGAGAAGCTGTACCACCAGAAGTCCTGGAAAACTGAGAGGTTTGCATGTTGTAACAATGCAACTCAAGACTATCAGAATGATATGAATATTTGTATAGATACTTATCAAAGCAACAATCAGAGATCAGGTCCCTCCAAATGAGCTTACAGTTTATGATCCTGCTTTGTAAAAGCTGGTGAAACAAAATGATGGATAGCAGATTTGCTGAGCTCCAAAGTCAGGGAGTAGGTAAACAGTGTGAACGTGTCAGCTCCCTCCTGGCTCTCCTCTACATTCTGTGAGCAAACGGAAAAATAAACCATCGGAAAAAGTCTCAGCCTAATAAAACTGCACAGACAGAATAACTTCTTCATCAGATTCAGAAGAGTAGCAGGGGGTTTCTCGCTAGCACAGATTTGAGCTCTGCCATCACACACTTTGTACATACAATTCTGGGATCTCAGGTATTGCTCCTAAAGAAAGAGCCAGCTTCCTTCTCTTATCTTCCTCCAACATCCAAAAGCAGTGTTCACACCCAATCCCATGCTTTCTAATATTAAAATATGAATTTAAGAAATACCAGTGAAAAGAGATTTTTTAAACCAGAAACTCTTTGTGTTGTAATGTTCTTGATATGTTAATAAAACTGTTTTCAATCATCATCAGAGAAAAACAAATTTACCTCTGATCATGGTAGCACAGTAGAGCAGAAAGAGCACTCAATTGGTGATCAAAAGAAATAAATTCTAGTCCTGTCACCCAGAAACTATGTGACCAGGGGAGGTACTTAATCTCTAAGAGAATCAAGTCTCGAGTGGGTAAAATGAGCTGGGGAAGGAGTGAACCAGTGAGAAAGAACACTGGTCTGTCTGGGGCTCCCAGAAGACACAGCCAGACTTCTTTCTTGCTCTTGTCCAAACACCTCCTTGTCTTTTAAGGCCTGGGCTGTCTAGGGGGATGGCTACTGGCTTGGAGCAAAACCAACGTGTCTGTCATCTTAATACACACGGAATGTGTTGAAATGAAGGTGTCTGTGTGGAAGGGACAGACCCAGATCCACTCTGCATTTGTCCTGGCAATGGGAGCAGGAATGAGTCCACCTTCTCTAAACCTGGTCACTCCTAGTCCCAAGATGGAGAAGCCACATCACCCTTGATCATGTTAGCCCCATTCTGCAGCCTCAGGAGGCTCTGACCAGGTGGAAAGCCAGAATGGGGTCCAACCAGGAGACCCAAGACAGAAAAGGCAGGTGGCTGCAAGGAGCCTCACTTCTCCAGGCATTGTGACTTTTTATTAAAAACCCTTACCCATGCCACCCACCGCAGCCTGGACAGGCATTCCAGGAGCCAGACATGTCCCTGGAAGACAGTAGGCTATTGCTTCCTCTGAGCACTGCAACAATTTTCTCTGGACCCTCTCCTCCACCTATTCACAGATGGGGCATAACCCTCCCTCCTATCCATTAGATTGCCCAAATCTGGGAAAATAATGTGTGGCGCTCAGGTCTGAGTGCAGACCAAGCTCCCAATACCAGTGGCTCTTTCAGGCTTACAAAGCCTTGGTGGTTTCCACACCCAGCAGTTCCTACCCAGGACTGAGAAGCCCTCAGCAAACACCCAGATGGCCCTTGTTCACCCTCCTGGAAACCTATAGCTGCCAGGGAAATGTGACATTTTGTGAGGACTAATTTAACCCGCCTAGAAGATTTAGGAGCCAAGATGCAACCCTAAAGCCCACTGCAAGGGACAATATTCTGGATCTTTTGTCAGAGCTTTATTATTTTAATAAAATTTTTATATTAAACAGCAATTCACATTCATCTAAACCTCCTGAAAATTGGTTATTGGCTGCTTCGTTGATTCTAGAAAAAAAAGAAAGCAAGAAATGCAGGAAAGGAACGAGGGGGCAGAGAGGGAATGAAAGACACTGAGTATTAAGGCCCAACCCAGCCAAAACCCCATCTGCTAGAAGCCTGCTGGAAGCCTACATGGCTTCGAGCGGCACATTCTGAGAACTCTGAAGAGTACCACTCAGCCGACACTGCCCCCATGACATAGGGCCCTGGTCTCCTCTTTGACTCACACTTGCCTGGCAGGACTCCCCAAACAGAACAGAGATGCTCAGCCGGGCACAAGAGAGCAGGCCCCAGGGCTCATGCTGCACTGTGGTTTCCCCAGCAATTCCAGAACTGCTGCCTACCGGCACGCATGCAGGATCAATGATGAAGATGCAGTACCTTCTGGGTCTGCCTGGGTCCACCCTTCCTTTCTTAGTCACTGCAAGATTTCACCCAGCCCAGCCACCCACTGAAAAGGCAGAGGAGGCCACCTATCTGAATGCTAGGATATGACACACTTGAACCTTCCTCCTGGCCAGCCTGCTCTCCCAAAGAAGGAATAACAGAACAAAAAAGTCAACCTCTGACTACTTCTGGTTTGTAAATTTATACCAATGTTCTTCTTGAAGTGGGAGCTCAGCATCGGGACACCCAGAAAAAATAATCTCCAAGGCAAAAAGCAAATAGCAGAATGAGTCTGCTGAAACAGCCAACTCTGTCTCTGTCTCCCCCAAGCCCTCCTAGTCAGAACGTTCTCTCAGCATTTCAGCAGGTACTGCTCACCTGGAAATACAGCTGATGTATTTACTGAGAAGCTTCTTCAAGCTTTCTACTGGTGCTTAGGGACAATGCCAATCAAGTCTTGAAATTATATAGAGAGGTGGAATATCAGGTACATATCTGTCCCTGAAAATGCTTAAAAGATCAAACTGATTCCTATCACATGCCTCCCCTACCAGTGAGCGCCCACCACTAGCTTCCTTGCTCCAAACTATTAAAACAGAGCGTCCCCCCAAAAAAACAGCCTTCTGCAAGCCACAACTTCCCTACCCTGTGTGCAGGCTGTGGAAGCGTGGGGTGGACCCAGAAGTATAAGGAGTTCTGGATCAGAATCCCTAGTCTACCCCTGCGGCTGCATGAGACCAGACCTGCCATTTAACCTCTCTAAGCTTCAACTACCCTTTCTCCTGCCTCTTCACAGGGTTACTCATGAGGTGAGTCTCAATTTGACAATACTCCTCAAAGGGCTTACTCAAAAAAAAAATGTGATTTTATCCGTATCCTCATTACTAACAGCACAATGGACATTCGAAAGGGATGGGCCCAATTTTTCATAAGCCAAAAAAGCTAGAGGATCGGAGAGAAAAGAAGGGACGGATACTCAGAAACGGCTTCAAGGGTGTCCTTTGGCACCCCATTCTTCCAGATTGTTCCAAATGCCTGCTGCAGTAATAACAGCCCCAAAAGAACACACCACTTTGTCAGGACTTGTAGGTGAAATGTGTTGGAGCAGCTGTCAGCTTGGGGAAAATCACTCATCAGGTAGTCAGCCGAGTGAGGCTGCCTTCAGCTGGACAAACACTGCATCCACACAGGGAACAAGCGGGTGCTTTCCTGTCCTTCCCTTAGGGGCCAAACCAGCCCTCTTTTACCTTCTTGTCCAACCCAGTGGGCCTCTCTCCCTCAAATGCATACCTCCTTCTCTTTCCTCCAGCTCCCTAAGCTGTTGTTCAGGGCACAGACAGCTCTTCAGGCTGCCAGAGCAAGAGAGTTAGGAAATAACGACCCCTCCACATGCATTCCCACCTCCCGGAAGCAGGGGACACAGCTGGCCACTCTGTGACGGAGGGTGGGTAACCTCTCTACCTGGGTCTATCATTTTAGAATAAATCATTCGTGGCTGACTCTTAAATGGGAAGGGCCAATTACAGATATCTCTGAGAACAACTCTACCTGAGGGAGGGGGAAATCCCTCCCAAAACAACGGTGGGCAGAAAAATCTGCATCCCGTAAATACCCAGAAGCAATAGCAGCCCCACCTGGTTCGTCTGCCAGATGCTGTGGAGATGGCATGGTGGCATTTGGTAAATAACCCAAATAGGGCTTTGCAGGGTATGGGACACCACACTAGGCTTTGCAGCCCGGGTGAAACCAGATGGTGCGAGAAGATAGTGAATCACTCATAGGCAAGGGATGTTAGCACACCTAAAAATCCCCTTTCCCAGCCATCCTTTGACACCCACCATAGAAATCACAGAGAGGTCAGAAAGAACACCTGGGCCCAAAATAGCCTGTCCTGTTAGCCAAATGCCAGCACTCCCACTTTCTCTGAGGGCATGGAGGGGAGGCAGCAGCTAGGGCTCTGGCCTCCTCATTTAATTCTCTCTGCATCAGAGGAAGAGTCACCTTCACAGGCCAGCTGTGGTCTGACTTGCCACATCTAATGCCACCAGGCCCTGCCAGCGGCCCCCATTCTGGTCTGTCAAACCCCTGGAAAACTTCAGACAGTGTTCCTCAGATCCAGGACAGAGCTGGCTCAGGACGCCACATGGGTCAACCCGAGCGCACCAGTCCTCAGACCCTCCAAGGTGACAAAGACCTCACTAGACTGTATCTCATTTTTCCAGCCTCAGTGAGCCGGCCCCAGCTGGCATGCTGAGTCCAGGAAAGCCCTGGCTATACAAAACACAGCACCCACGTGCCTTTGTGCATGGCTGCTTAGAGGGCTAATGATAAAGGCAGCTCACTAAGAAAACGACCGTGCCCAGCAGTCTCCTAAATGGCGAAGGCAGCATTTACCACTGATGACAGCCCCCCGCATGTTTCCTCCTAAACGCCTGATATATATCCATTTTTCTGTCAGCAACCTCAAATAATGTCTATAATGCTGAGATTTATACATGGGTACTTATAAATGTGATTTCATTATAGCCTCTGCAAAACTACCTTTCCGCCTAAACATTCAATTAATGTAATTAAATTGCTACCTGATGGCATTATCTAATTTAACTTGGGATCCAAACTATTGAAAAGCATGTGCCTTTTAACACCCTGACTGGTAAGGCATGTGATGAACAGAGCTATAAACATGTTGGCGTAACTGAGCTGTTTAAAAATAAATTAGCAAACTATAAAAATAAACAGTAACGTACATATGTACTCAATTATGAACTAACTCTAATTTTTGTTCTGAAATACTGTCTTTGACCTTAGTCATAAACAAGCACTATTAAAAAAACATAATATCCCAACAGACAGAGGGCCAAGGATTAAATGCTCTTCTAGCTCTGCAGAATGCAAAGCAAGACAAGGAAGAAAGGAAGGAAGGAAGGAAGGAAGGAAGGGAGGGAGGGAGGGGAGGGGAGGGGAGGGGAGGGGAGGGGAGGGGAGGGGAGGGGAGGGGAGGGGAGGGGAGGGGAGGGGAGGGGAAGGGAAGGGAAGGGAAGGGAAGGGAAGGGAAGGGAAGGGAAGGGAAGGGAAGGGAAGGGAGGGAGGGAAGGAGGGCCCTTGCCTTTCTTGAAAAGCTAGAAAACTGTGTCCAAAACCTACAAAGACTATTGTGCTCTTGTTGACTTGAAGCTGCTTCCGTTCAAGCCAGAAAAGTTAAAACCTTGTGAAGTGCTTTTACATTTTCAGATGTTTTGGAGTCTCTCAAGAAATGAGGACAGGCAAGGGGAAGAACTGTTTCCACATGCAGCTGTTTCAACAGCTCACTGCATAACAGAGTCTCTTACACAGGGCTGCCTCCGCACCTGAGCTGAGCTTGCTGTCCTAAGTCGGCTACTGCTTCTAAGTCCCCAGCTTTTCTAAGACATATGGCAGAAATGTGGAAATTGTCTTCCAAACAGCACAAGACAGAAAGCGGGTGGGGTGGGGGGCGACGGGTGCGGGGAGAAGGGAAGAAGTAAAAACAAGCTGTTGAAACTGTATACAGGACACGTCTTCACAGTAATCCAATGCTCCTGTAACAAAGGACAGCATACTATGGGATAATTACTATGGATTATTATTACAGTTTCTAAAGCAAAAGAACAAAAAAAAATTCACAAAAGACATATTACACACGCAGATTTCTAAAGCTTTAAAATCATATGGTCTTCGGTGTTGGTTCCTATGGGGTTACGGATAATGCCCTAACTGAGCACGACAGATGCAAACACAAAAAAGAAATCACAATAAACCTGAAATTCTCTCATGTCATGGTGCTTACTGCCCTTTCTTTCACAAACAAAAGTAGTTGAGCAACAGCTAAGTAGTTATTCATCTCAAAGAACCAACCTAAAATTCTGACAGGCCCAGCACTGTCTACCCCCACCCCCAAACAACAACAACAACAACAAATTACACAAATAAAAACTAGGAGGAAGCTCAAACTCATCCACACTTGGTTCAGGACACAGGGAAGGCCTGATGTGAAAGAGGAGACAGAGAAGCTTCCTGGGTGTGCAGAATTACACCCCAGGCCACACTCCCTGCAGGGGCCACAGGAGCAAGCACTGCAGCCGGGTCCCTGAGTCTGACTTTTACCCAAACAGGGGGTTGCCAGTTGCTGCGAGACAAATATCCCTAGCACATTACCTAGTTGGCAAAGGAATGCAACTGGGAGGTTCTGGAATAGCACAGTGTGGAACTGCACTGGACTTTTCCTGTTCTGAAGAGGACTTTGCTTTCCTCCGGGATGTAAAGCATTTGGCAGGCAAAGGACAAAACTTACCTCAGGTACTATGGCAAACTGGCCAAAGAGAAGCGTTGCTAGGAGAATGGACACGGCAGGAAACAGCCTCAGCTTGGCCCAGGAAGAAGCTGGCGCTCAGCTACAGGGGCCGTGGGAATAGCTGGAGGCCTGTGCATTTCCCTGAGGGTCTCCTTGGCGACAGGGCTGGACCTTTGCACTGGCAGCCTGGACTCTTCTCTGAGCTCCCCCTTGGGTTACCTATGATTCCAGAAGAGTTTGTTCTACATGTGGCAAAGCCAGCACCATAGAGGGGACAGAGGGAAACCTAAGGCCTACCTTGAGGGATGTTAAACTTACGCCCTACCCACTGCTACTTAAGGTGTCTTTTGAATCCTGAGGACCAAGGAGCTCTCCTATGACAAGGAACCTGTCACTGGTTCTTCTGTGATTGCTAAAGCCTAGAGGACCTCCTCCAAAGAAAAGTGGCTCAGACAGAAACACTGACTCTTATTTCTCATCAGACTCCGAAATCACAGGCTTCTGGTCTAAAGATTCAAGCTGAGAAACAAGAAAGCAATTTGTTTGATTCAGGCCCTTGCAAATTACCCCCCAATAATTTACTTGGTCTCAGCTTTGGCTGGCTTGGATGTTATGAGGATTCCAAGAATTTTTTTACTTTTCCATTAGAGGGCTCTGCACTCTCCTTTCAAGGAAAAAGGCTCTATGTGCCAGCCCACTTCTTTCCAGAAATGGGGAAAGGGAGGAGGAGAACCTGTGGAAAAGAGGACAACGGATTTCCGGAAGAAATTCCAAGCCAGGGGCTAACCGTGGACCTGAGCACAGCAGAGCCACACGGACGTCTCAGAAAACGGTTCTGTGGAAGCACAAGACACGTGGCAGTGAGAGTCCTGAGAAGTCCAGGAAAAGATGCAGCTTCCAACCCATTCCTAAATATCACCAATTAACAGCAGCTCGATGGTCTACCTGAGACCTGAGAAAACAAACGAAGGGAAAGAAATGCAAGAAACAAAGCGCATCTTTCTGGATCAAAAGATCAAGTTGTCTTTGGTAGCTAAAGAACAACAGAGAAGGAAAAAGAACAAAAAGATTAGGAGGAGGAGAAAAACACCTGGCCCTCCCCAAAGAACTCGACTTAAATCATCTCAGCTATAGGCAGTCAACTGGGGCTCTCCGAACAGCCACAATCGGGGGGCTACTCTCTTTCCCCTCACGATCTTCCTGAACAGGGCAGTAGTCTAGCATCCACTGAAGTCCTGAAGTGGTGAAGGAGCCCCAGACACACCCATCCTCTGAGCACCTCCACAGCCTTTCTGGCCCATCCCAATAAACAGCAATTCTATTCTCCCAGTCACCGAGCCACACATTTTGGGGTCCATCTTGACTCCTCCCTTCCTTTCATACAACCCATCCCACCAGTCAGCAAATCCTGCCGGTTTTCCCTTCGAAGTATGTCCAGAATCCAGCCCCTTCTCACGTCCCCACCACCCTGGTCCACGCCACCATCACTTGCCTAAAATTTGCCTTCTGACTGCTTCTGCCTCACTTTCCCATGCTTGAGTCTCAAAATGCGGCCCAAGAGACTCTCTGGAAGCGCAAGTCATATGACATCACTCCTCCAGTGGCTTCCATCTCCCTTGGAGTCAGAGCCAAAAATCCCTGCTCTACGTCCTTCAAGGAGCCAGCTGGTCTCCTCTCCTCCTCCTCCTGCACTCTTTCCACTCTGACCTCAGGGCCCCTTGCTCCTCCTCCAGTAGCCAGGCGTATTACACACAAGGTCTCTGCTCTCTACACACTCTTCCTGGAACCATCTTCTCAAAATTCTCATGGCCAACTTCCTCACCTCTTTGGAGCCTTTGCTTCTCATTGGGCCTTCCCTAATTATCCTATTTAAAAGCCTGGTCACCATGCACCCCTTACCCCTCTTCCCCACCTTATTTTCGTGCAGGCAGTTTGATCTTCTCTTGCCATACTATATAATTCACATATTTATTGGTGCATCTTCTGTCTCTCCCCAGCTAGAAAGGGGGTGCCACAAGAGCAGGGAGTTTTTAAGGCTTTCTATGCCCAACACCAAGAACCGTTCCCAGCATGTGGCAGGTGTTCAAAATATTTGTTGAAAAATGAATGAGTGAACCTTCACAATTCCAAACTGCCAGGAGGCCACTCAATGCCATATCTATAAAACTGTCAGGCAGCCCAACCTGGGGGCACTTTAGCTTTGGATCTTGGGTTTGAGCCAGATTCCATTTTCCCCACAGGCCCTGAGACCCACAGGGAAGAGCTTTTGCATTATAATGTAAATGGAGGGGTTGAGCTGGTTTGGGGGAACCCTTGACAGGAGCCAGTTAAAACCAAACGAAAGTCTTTCCTAAGGCTTAGGTGGAGCCTCTAGAAAGAGGGGCTGAGAGCCTGGGGAAGAGCCAACCACCAGCAGTTCCTCAGAGTTCTTCCCACTGGGGCTGTGCAGCCAACTGCGTTTCCAGGCACACTGAGATGCCCATACTCATATCCAATACTGTGCAGGGGCACTGGCCAGGCACAAATCCCAGCTGCCTCCACGGCATTACTCTCCCTCCATTCTTGCTTTCAGATTCTCCCTCCTCCTGGCAGGGGCACTGGGGAGGGCAGGAGAGAAGGAGGCCATGGCAAAGGGACAAATCCCTTCTACCTGAGAGCCCGGGATGCAGCCAGAAAAGCTAAAATACCCTTTCCCACCCTAGCATACAATTTGACAGGTGAATAAGTGCTCCCCAGTAGGCAATAACAAGGAGAAGTCTGAATTAAAAGAACTCGCCAATTTGGGAAGTAATGTCATTCTATGTGACTCCACTCTTTTCCGTTACCAATAAAACACTTAAAGATGCTATTCATGCAGACATAAAGTGCTAATGGCCACTTGTTACCATGTTTCATAATGCTAATATTTCCCTCTGATTTCTGACAGTTCTTTTTTTTTCCTTCTTCTTTTTTGGGGCTATTTTAAGTTAACAGAGCGCTAATCTGATTCAAAACTGAAGACTCAAAGAGCTACACTCTACATAACTGCACTATTAATGACAACCATTGCTTTACATGTTGCACCATTTCATGAAAACAATCATCACTCAGTCAACGTATTTTCCAAGCCACAGAAAATAAGTTGAAATAAGTTGAAAATGCAGTAGGCAAAGAAGCAGCTAGTCATGTAAGACACTAAGGGGCAGGGGAGTCATTAATTCTTCTCCAAGCTTTCAACACTCTGTTTCTATGAAGGCAAGGGTTGGAGGGAGCTTTTTTCTTTCAAATAAATCAGTAAAATGATGAGGTGCTTCCTCTGCTACGCCCAGTGGCCCAGGCACTCTCACTAAGGTATCCTCCCAGCAATGTAGGTGTTCAAAGGCAAAAGAAAGGGAACCAGCTCATGGCGTAATACTTGCTCGGCCAAAGACATAGTAACGCTTCCCAGGAAATACAAGTGTCACAGTCACTCCAAAATGAATATGTGTGCAGCCACCTGGGCTTGCAACTTAATTCAAACAACTTGGAAGGCTAAGGAGCACTGGAGCTGGGGAGCTGCAGATGAACCCCTGTGCTCACCACCCCTGGAGAGCAGTCAGAGAGGAAGCCTGCTTTCCTCAGATGTTTTAAAGGAAGCCACCTAGAGCCCCACCTGTCACTGTGGAACTGCTCATGGTGGCTGCCCGATGCGCTGATGTGGAACTCAGAATCATTCATTTGGGCTTGTGGCTGAGCTGTGCTAGGTAACTGGGTGGCCTGGGCAAGTCACTTCACCTCCCTTGGCCTGTGTCCTTGAGCTTTCCTGGCTGCACATCTTGCTCTCAGGTATAAAGGATCTGTCTCCTTCTACCTGCCCCTGTGCCACACACACTCGCCTCTCAAATGAGAAAGGCAGCTTTGAGAGAGGATGCTTGCCTTCCCGGCTCCCCTCCCAACCCAGAACCTATCACAATGCTCTGCAGAGAGTACATGCTCAACAAATCCAATGCTAAATTGTAAAAAGTGAGACTAGATGGTATCTGCCTCTCCTCTCAGCTCTAAATTATTTGGTCTAAAGAAAACTGAAGCCCCCAGCAACTCCATTTTGCATATCTAATTGGAGATGGTTTCAATAATATAATTATCAAGGCATCCCTACGTTACTTGAAGTTGGTTCATAATCTGGCGACGTTCACAGCCTTATGAAGACAGTTTATTCTCTTTTAGTGTCTCAAGTATGAGTCACCTCTGATGACGGATAGGAGAACAAGCAGGTTTTACTACAATACACACCTAAAGTAAATGAATAAACCCAACCACTTTGCCCACCCACATGGCATCCATTTGGAGGAGACACAGAGAAAGGAGTTTCACCTCTTAGACGTCTCAGAGATTAACATTTTCTCAAAAATGAACACACAGAGCAACAGCTGACGAGTCACAGTGGACCACACCACCACCTCTGGTTACCCCCTGAGAAAGGCAGAGAAAGGACCCCCAGAACAGTCACCATTTGAGGAGAGGTTCAGGGATCATGAGGACTCACCACCCCACTGAAATCCATGGATAGTCTAGCCTGTGAGGGGTTGGGGGTGGCAAATTACTTTATCTTTCTCATCTTTGAGCGGCTCTTCCCCAGAGTCAGGATGACTCTCACTAGGTTTCAGGTACATCCCCATCATGCCCCGGACTCCAGTCTCTGCAGCTGACACGGCTCCAAGATGCTAAATATGAGACAAGGAGGGGACAAGGAATTTAGTCCCAGGAGTGGCACTAGAAGGAGTCCCTGCTCCCTCAGGAGCCATCTGCCGGGTGCTTCTGGAGATGCTGCCTCCACGCCCCACTTGAGGCTGTCCACAGCAGAAACCAGCGCCCAGATCCCCTCAAGCCAGCCACCCCATGGGAACCCCTTTGGCAGGTGTGGGTGTTGGGTTAGCCTCTAGCCAGAACTCCTGCTGCTTCTCTCTTTGTGGAGCAAATCTTCATGTCCTGTCTGGATCTTCCCAGTCCTGCCCTCTCTCTTCTGAATCTTCCCACCCTTCCAAGGGCCTGCTGCCTAATCCATCTCCCCACTCACACGCTAAAGTAAATGAATAAACCCAACAGCACGGACTCATCCCTGATCAGGACTGAAAAAAGAAAAAGAAATAGCCTCCCATCACACCACTCTCTGGGAAAATAGAACTGAGTCCTAGCTCTAGCACTGGGCACAGCTGGGTCAGCACCTACGAAGGGTCCTATGCAGTGAACACCTTGCAGTCTGAAGGGCAGACTCTCTCTTCTCAACAAGCCAGAGATTCTCTGCCTTCCAGACAGGCACCTCCATGAAGAGAAGCTGTTCCTGGCTTGTGGTGAGCAAAACTCCCTGGATTGAGTCGAGACCTGGATTCTAGTTCCACTACTTTGAATTCTCTAGGTTCACAGTCCTAAATCCTCAGAGAAGGACAGACTTGAGGGCAGACAGCCACAGGTGGCCTGGCATGGGCTGAGGCAGCACACAAGGACTCTGAGCCACACCAGCCATCTCCTTGTGGACTTTCCTGAGAGCACGTGCAGCTAGCAGTGCTCCAAGCACTCTCTGAGAGGCTTCCAGGCTGGAGCTCTGAGAGGCTTCCAGGCTGGGCTACCTCCAGCCATGTGGTGGAAACTGGTAGCAAAGGAAGCCCAGAAGGGCCACAACTGAACTAGAAGGCTAAGGAACACCCCGGCCACTGGTGGGATCGCAGTGCTGAGCCATGAGCCCTACCAGGCAACCCATTTCTGGGCAGTCCCAAGACTTGGAGAACAAGCCATCTGAAAATAGAATTAAATAGCCAGGTGCGGTGGCTCACACCTGTAATCTCAGCATTTTGGGAGGCCGAGGCGTGTGGGTCACCTGAGGTCAGGAGTTCAAGACCAGCCTAGCCAACATGGTGAAACCCCATCTCTACTTAAAAAAAAAAAAAAAAAAAAAAATCAGCCAGGTGTGATGGCATGCACCTATAATCCCAGCTACTTGGGAGGCTGAGGCAGGAGAATCACTTGAACCTGGGAGGCGGAGGCTGCAATGAGCCGAGATCGTAGCACTGCACTCCAGCCTGGGCGACAGAGCGAGACTCCATCTCAAAAAAAAAAAAAAATTAAATTGGGTGGGGGAGTTTCTTAGGAAAAAAATCAGAGTTGTGCAAATAAATCTAGTTGGTCTGACTGTCTTTACAACACAATGAAAGGGTAAGGCACCATAAGAGGCTGTGAATTCCATTGATAAGAGAGGATTTCCCTACTCAAATATCAAAGGTCTTGCATACACATACACTAAAACAGAAAAAAGAAAAAAAAAAAAAGAAAAGAGAGACAGAGAGAGAGAGAGAATCACCTTTTAAACTCATCCAAGAGCCAGTCAAAGCCACCCAAAGGAAAGCAGGCCCCAGTCCCTTCCGAACTCAGCCGTTCTCCCTCTGGTGAGACAGGCTCTAGCTTGTTTCCAGAATGCCACTACCAGCTTCCCACACCTCCAGGGGACCCCCTAACTCCAAAGTGTTGCCCAGACCTAAGGATCCTCCCCCACGTGCTCCTTCCCCAACACTGGCTTCCAGGTGAGCGAGACAGAATCTGCAAGCAGAGTTCACTGCTTGACCATGGGGTGAAAGCCACAAAGACACCACCAGCTATCCCAACCCCAGCACTTTCACTTTTTCACTTTCTCCCCAGGGAGGAAGGGGGAAATAAACTTGCCCAGCCTCACACCTTCCCTGGACAGGGAGCTGGGGATCCATTCAAAGCCCGGTCTTTCTCTGTTCAATCAAGCAGCGTGAGCAAAGTACAGATTAAATACTACATATGAACCAGCATTATGTTAGGCACCAAGAAGGCACAAAAAATAAAACATGACTCCTGCCCTCCAAAAGGTTATAATTTGAGGAGGAGAAAATACACCCACGAGCCAATGTGAATACCACTGATCCCCTTTTAACTAATCCCAGAGTGACACCTCCTCCAAAGAAAGCCAAGTTGCTGACAGAGTCAGGCCTTCCTAGTTACCTAGAAAAATGGCCTGGGGAGGTCCAGCCCACTAGAAGGAGATACAGAAACAAGCCCTCCATAAATATCTGTGGGACCCAGCTACCTCTCTGAAACACAGCCCAGTGCTTTCAGGCAGGGAGAAAGTGGTGGTGGGTGGCGGACAGAGATGTGAGTGGACTGACACAGACATGGGGGCTTCCAAATGACTCTTGATCACCCAACTTTCCAGCTTCCCCATTTCTGCCCCTGACTTGAGCTCCCAGGCCACTCAACCCACTGTGAGGTCTTACTGTGGGGATTACCGAGTCACCACCAGGCTGCGCTGAACAGGAAGTGAACAAGTCAATTCGAGAAAGATCCAATAAGGGAATATTCTCTGGGCACCGCTGGGCCAACACCCACGGAGGGGTCCTGGAATACAAATACCCTGGAGTCTGAAGGGCGGTGGCCCCTCTTCTCACCACTTCAATTATGTCTTCATTGAACTGGGTTATGAAAAAGGGAAGCAGGGATTGAAAATCTAGCCTTGTGGCCATAAGCCTGTGATGACTCATGCCAGCTTTGGGTGCTCTAAGATGCTTTCCCATGTCTGTAATGCTTTTCATATCATCCTACACACTCACTGTCACCTCTCCTCACCCCAGCACACAGAAAAGATGTGCTTATTATGTGCACTTAGGTTTTGTTGTACTATTAAACACAATGACCCACTCCTATTATTAAAACACAGGTTTTGCTGGAAACTCAAAAAAGACTTGGCTCTGCTGGCTCACAGGGAATCTGGGCTCCGCTCTTCCAAAACCTTTGTTCTCCAGATGTCAGTGCAAAGTTATGAACAGCTCTCCCCCTGAGCTAACTTACCGAGCAGTAAGTGAGGCAAGAAAGGCCACTCACTATATTTCTCAGCCTCCATGAAGTCGTCACTGGGAGAGGAGCCAAGAGGGAGGGGGCACCTTAGGAGACAAGATCGTAACTCACCGTCATCCGGGGAAGTGGAGAGGAAGTCAGGGAACTCGTGTCAGGAGTGGAGAGCTAAGCTCAATATGGACAAGGACAGAGAGGGGCACCTGGGATGGGAGAAATGTGGCATCAGGACAACTGGGAGTGAAAGTTTAACTGCCCTCAAAGATGGCTGACAAAGATCTAGCATTCCTAGTGGACACCAAGCTGAGCATGAGTCATCAATGAAGCACTGGTTTTTAAAAAAGCAAGCAGGACATAAGAGTGCAGACATAAGACTAAAGAATGTGGAAAACACTAAGATATCTTGCCATTGGACTCTGTAGTTATCAGACTAATGTTTGAGTAAAAGAGCTGGAAAACCAGCAGATTCTAAAGAGAGGCATAGAAACAATAAATGGGTTACAAGATAATAGATCCATGAGTTCAGGTTCAGGAAAGAGATTATTTAGGAAGAAGAAGTGGCGGAGAATGGAATGAAGAATGTAAAATATGAAGCATTTCAGCCCAAAGCTGGTGATGAGATACTTTGTCGTCTCTGGAATGAAGAGGAAATGGGTTTAAAATGAAGCATAAGGGATCGAAGGTAGACAAAAGGAAGGATTTCCTGCGATTGAGAGGTGTCTTTAAAAATAGAACTAGGGTGGTGAGGAAGAGGTTGGGCTGGCCAATTCTGGAGGGCCATCTGCCCCTGAGAGGGTACACGTTCCTTCACCACCCCAACTCCATCTACTCCATTATCTCCAGTTATCTGAATAAAAAAGCCAAGCTATTCCCTGGGCACACCATGTAAACCCCAGAAGGGCCACACTTTGGGAGCCCTAGCAGGAAAGGTGGTAGGAAGACCAGCCCCGAAAAAGGGCAGAGAAAACAGGGAAAGGAACAAGGCAAGAAGAAAGGGCAAAGGACCATTCTCTGCAACAGCACAGGTGATTGGGTGGTGGTTTTGTTGCTTGGGTTTTACCATGGGCTCCCCAGGTTAGCACTGCCACAAAAGCACCAGGCTCTTCAACAAAGCTCCAGTTAAGAAAAGCATTCCAGCCATCACCGATAAAAGCGTGGGTGCAAGTTCCTCTGCAAAGCACATGCGGGCCACCTCTGGCTCCTGCTGGCCATGGAGAGGCCATGTGCGATTGGTACAGTCAGCCAGGAATGAAAGTGGGAAGCCCCAGGCTCTGGGCCAAGTCTACCACTGCCTAGCAAGTAGACTCTGGCACTCACTCCCCTCTTAGCCTCAACCTTTCTCATCTGTAAAATGACAGGGTTAATGATATGACTTCACAAGTCTATGTCTACATAGAAGATGCTCAATAAGTATTCACTTTGGCTTTCCACGAAGGAAACTATCTATGCTCAAAGAGCTGTGCTTTCTTCTATGATTCCTCAGAAACTCTTGTCGACTAGAGGAACAAGAACCTTACTCTAAAACCCAATTTTAGGGGAGGAGAGAAAATTTTTAAAAGACTTTAAATTAATTACTTGAAGGCCAGAGGCATTTGCTTATGCCTATAATCTCAGAAATTTGGAAGGCCACAGAGGGAAGATTGCTTGAAGCTAGGAGTTCAAGACCAGCCTGGGCAACATAGCAAAACCCTGTCTCTACAAAAAGCTTAATAAATAAAATAAAATAATTGCTGAGATTTAGCTATCTTTTCAAAGAAAATATAAAATTTGGCCCAGTTTTTTATCTATCAAACCTAGACCTAAAATCATCTTGTCTCATTCCCTCTGTCAACATCTGCTGAGCTCTCATAATACATAAAACATCATAGATAAAGGAGTCACAGGATTAGACCTACCGTTCCATACCAGTGTGTTACAGCCTGTCATGAAGCAGACTCAGAGAATTTGGCTACTACTTAGTACTAACATTTAATTTAGTTTTAAAATGTCTGCGATAGAGCAGATTCAGGATTATGCCTGTAAGATGACATTCCAACTCACCTGCATTTAAATATGAATAAAGAGTGAGCAGAAGGGACCAGGTAAAAATGGCACATGGGAGGGCATCGCACATGTGAATTTTAGCTTCCCACACGCAAAGGCATGGGGGGACAAGGCAGGAAGCATTGCTCTAGATCTGAGAATCACCACACACCAGAGAGGGCATGGGAGGTGACACACAAACCCAGCAGAGAACGTTGAGAAAGAGTTTTAAGAGCCTACTCATCATCAGAGTTCACTTAAAAGTCCATCCAGAATCAGAACGTGGGATGGGGTGCCCCAAGGCATTCCTGGGGGCCGGGCGTGGATTTTAAGGACTCATCAATTACTGTTCAAGTTCAGGTCAAGCTGGATGGACACCATCCACATGGTGTTGCTCGATGGGCAAAGATCAAGAGGCAGTCGTTCACCACCAGCCGTATTTCCTGGGGCTGCTTGTTACTGACATTCTGTCATTCAAGGTGGGTCCTGAAGCCACAGTAAGCACCAAATCTGCTCCCTACAATCCACAGCAAAAGGAGAGTTCCTTCTTTTAAAGAGCGATGGCACACATCTCTCAACTCTTGAGAGAAAATGGACAGAAGTGGGATTTTTCAATCCTGATACCAGCAGGAAACAGGGAGTCTCTGGTAGGTACTACCAAACCAAGAAGCTTCTTTTCTCCCAAGTACACCAGGAACCCCTTTCAAATACAGGCGCTACAAAAAAAGAAATAGGTGTGAAAGCGGGGCAAGAAAGGGAACCTGAGGACTATGCATGCTCTGTCTATGGGTATCAACACCTTTAAGGCATTTTGCGGTCTTTTTGATTCTATAACCTCCATATTGAGAGACATAAAACACAGAACATTACACCTGTCAGGTGCTGGGCCCTGAACTATCTCCAGGCAGCTGAAAGTCAGTACATCAGCTTTTTAATGATGTGAAAGTTAAAGATTAAAAACATGTTGGAACGCTTACTTTATGCAGTGCCAAAAATGTGTCTATAACCTGTAAGGAGAGATGGGTGTGGAACATCGTAGGAAAAAGGTGACTGCACTCATGCTGCAGAGAAAAAATAAGGTCCTCACTTGCCTGCCTGCCTGCCTGCCTGCCTGCCTGCCTGCCTGCCTGCCTTCTTTCCTTACAAGAGAAATCGCTCCTGAAATCTGACGTGCTTTGCAACAGCAGTAAGTTGACCACTGGAGAAAGTGAGGCTGGAACCACTGGAATCTTGTAGATTTCTGAGGCCAGTTCTGTTCTGACACATGCAGCTGGGAGCCACTGGTTTAGGAATTCACGTGGGCATGGGACTGTGCTTATTCAGAAAGGGCTCCCAGTCACATCCTGTATTCTCCTAAATTACTCCAATGACAAAGAAAACTCAGTGAAGACAAAGAGATCGTTTTCATAGGCATTGTCATTTGCCAATCCATAACTCAGGAATTCATGGCTATGCTTGGATAATTCTCTCTAGACTTGGAGTGTTAAAAGTTTGCACCTAGTTATTCTCCCCTCTCTCTGGCAGGAGAATCATGTCACTGGCAAGCAATTATTGTATCCTCTTCAAATAATTCGGCCTAAATTTTCATTTATGCCTGTGTATTTATGCACAAATGTGTGTATGATATAGTATTATGGCTTCTTTTTCTGAAAATTGAAAAATTCAGAAAGCCAAAGATAATAGAATATACCTTGCGTGGCAAGGTATATTGATTAGGTAGGAATCAAAAATAATTGCAAAATTATTTATGCAGGAGTATTAAAATTTTCCTCAAAAGTTCCCAGGCAAATGGGTTCCTCTTTAATTTTCACCCTTACAATAAACTCTTCTGCAGGTTTTGTTTATTTTGAGGAAACATTTCACTTTTTTTTTCAAGACATGAGGTGTGAATGATGCAAAACAGTATTTGGATATGTAAACTGAATTATTTGCATAATGCATTACTAATCAGTGAGTATAAATTCTGGAGTCTGAGGACCTGAAATCAAGTGCCACCAAATTTTTTAAAATCTAGATTATAAAAGTAAAGAGCATCACCCTTCGGTGGGATAATGTACACATTTGTGTACACATTCGCATTCCGTTTATAAGAAGGAGAAATTATCCTCACAGAGTTTTCTGAGGAAAATTAAATAAGTGGCCTTTGATGTAAACTGTTTTGCTCTGACTCAACACTATGAGGCATAAGGTCCTAAATTCATAGGCACAACCACAGAAGCACCAAGGAGAGTGAAGATATTTGCATCAAAAAGAGCAGACAGTCCCCCACCCCCACCCCATGTTGGTCGCCTACGGAATCTACAGGAATCTGAAGGGGCAGCCAGACATTCTGCCTATACCACCCATCAGATCAGCCACCAACCGAACCAAAAACCACCCATGCCCTTCTCCAGTGGGTTCCCACCGGTGTTTTCGTGCAAGCTTAGCCCCTTCTTTGCAGAAAAAAAGATATTGATGTGCCAACAGTAGAAAGAAGAAAAAATTATTCCAGCTCTGTACACAACCTTTGTCAACCCAGCATGATAAAACCAAGTCTGGGAAACTATTTGTCTAAACACTTTTTGGAAAGGGATGAAATGGAGAGGAAAGGAAAAGGAAGTGTAGCCTAGTGGTCAGCACACACACACACACACACACACACACACACACTCACACACACACACACACACACACTCACACAAATCCTTGAGGGTGCCAGGTTACATTTCTACAACAGCTGCCTTCCATTGTCTACTGCCAGTGAAGCCAAACCAGCCTAAAATTTAATTTAATCTGCTGTAAACCCAAGTATCAGGCACTTAGATGGCAGCTAAAAGCGCCACTCTCAGATAACTGAGTGACACTTGCTAATAATAGCCTCTGTGTGAAGCGAGAGAGAGCGGACATTTTGTAAAACCAGAGGGACCCGGGCCTGGGCCTGGGCCTGGGTCTGGGAATGGTGTGATGTGGTTAGGCCAGTCTCAGCTTCCAGGCAGCAGATACGGCAGAGACGAGGCCCACCATGGCTCCCCTGTGACGGGCTGCACGAAGCCCACCAGTGACCTAGCTTTCAAGTCACACAGCGACAGTCCTGGCTTTTGCTATCTAGAAGAACAAAATTCCCCTTTCCAGCTCTGCAATTGCCACTCTGCTCCCTTTCATCTTCCATCTTGTGCCCCAGTCCTCCCTTAAAGGGAAGGCTGCTTAACCCTTGACGTGTTCTTTGTCCCCTTCTTTCTGAGAGTGTGGTCAATCTCCTCTCAGGCAAATCATCTTTCTCTAATAGCCAGGGCTCAAATGGCCAAAGAAAGGTCCCAAAGCCTTGTCTTCATAACACTACCAGCCACGTGAGCACGTCCCAGCTGCTTCTTCCTGACCCTCACCACGAGGCACAGAGGCACCTGTGCTGAAACTCAAGCAAACGCCACATCTGACTCTGCCTCATGCACTGAAAAAGACAAGGGATCTCTGTTCTTCCAGGAGAATGGGGGACAGTGCACAGTACAGACCCTTAAATGACCCCTTCACAATGAACTTCCCAGATACAAGACTTGAGCTCACAGGTACTTTCTTGCCCATAGGACACTTGTCCCCTTGCTACCTCTGAGCCAAACCCTTGGTGAAGAAACAACACCGACTAAACAAGGCCATACTGCTCTCCACCAGTCAGGCAATACCTTTATTTTCTGGAAAAATCTCAAATACTACAAAAGTAGAGAGAATGTTATAAATCAGTCCCCAAGTCCACATCTTCCAGCTCCAACCACCACAGCTCACAGTCATTCTTGTCTTCTGTAACCCTATCGCCTCCCTAGCCCATTTTATTATTTAAGTTGATCCCAGACGTCATATCATTTCATCAGTAAACACCTCTGTATGTATTTTTTAAACATAGGAACTCGTTTTTTTTCTTTTAAATACAACTGCAAAACCATTATCACACCTAAAAATAATAAAGTCACAAATAAAGTCCCGTATTACCAAATAGGGGAGTTATTTTAAACTCAGAAATACTTCTTTCCATCTGGGTCATGTTTTGGAGGATCCCTTCCAGTGAGGTTCAAGACTGAAGCTGCCAAGAAAAGCTTCAGAGAATCACACTCTCTAAAAAGGGCCTTGTGTAAAGCCACCTTGCATGTCAGCCCAAGCTCCTGCCCCTTGCAGTCCTTTGCCCTGTTCAGGGCTGAATGCACCCTCTGAGAGTCTCTGTGACAGTCCTCCCACATCGACTGCCCCACAGGCCCTGAGTCTCCCTCACTCCCCACCATGTGGCCCATCACCACATCCGACAAGCAGGTGCACTCCCAGTGTTCAGAACTGGAATTCATTTGTCTTGGAAGAAAGTGTTCTCCTGGACGGTTCTGCACAGAATTCATTCACAGAGCATGTCTTGGATATACAGCTGACTAGATATGTCAGTTATGTTCCAAATGGGTTTTCACAGGTCAAGGTTCTGCAGGCAAGAGCAAATACTATTTTTAGACAGGATAAGGTCAAAATGCTTTTAGAGACAGTGAGGTCTACAATAAAACCTATTGATCAGCCTCTGGAACTAGTGCTCCAGAGAGACACAGAGATTGAAACAAAAATTGCCTGGCCGTTTTCTCTGTAGACTCTGTGGGTAAAAGCTTGTTGGACTTAATATCTTTCAGGATATAAAATAAGTAAGAAGTAACTGTGTACAGATTACTGAAGTCCATTTAACCAGATGCAGAGGCAGGTCACAGAAAATACACTCATGGCAGAACCGTAAAGAAGGGAGATTTCAAGGCAACACGTGTTGCAACCTAGAGAAAGAATAAACACCAGTCTTCTCAACTCAGGGGAGGCACAAAGGACAGCCTGCCATCCAGGATTCCTGCTTGGGACTGTTGCTCCTAAATTTGCCACTATGATCCTCAATCCAGCGCTATGTGAACAACAGACTTTCAGATAAATAGTATGGAGATAATTTGCTTAAGTCAGATTTTGATGAAAAGTGGTTTCTACATGGATAGCTTTCAAAAACTTCTATATTGATTTGATGGAATCATGGTGAATTCTAAAGACTTTCCTATTCTCTCTCTCTCCCTTTCTACACACACACAGGCACACAACTATATATATATTCATACATGCATATACGTATGTATATATGTAGTATGTACATATGTATGTGTGTATATAGATGCATATGTATATATGCTTTATCTTATGATGACAGTGTTGATGTGTTTGGGGATTTTTTTTTTTTTCAAAAAGAGTTAATAAGCCTTTTATAGGTGTACCACACAAGACTCCAGTAAGCAAAATCATTCATTGCCAGGCAAAACTTGAGAAATACATTTAGAAATCATACGAGCACACAGGAGCTCAATCAAGTAAATGAATCACCAAGGCACAGAAAGTCACTGGAAAATTACTTAACTAGCCCAAACGTTCAAGAATTGACCAAGGTTTAAGCAGTAAACCCTAAATAATTTATTTAAGCCAAATAGGAGCTTTAAGCACAGACATTAATGTAATGGACTATCCCATCTTAAACTTCAGCCAGAGATCTAAAACTTTGAAGTCAATTATGTTCCCATAAATACCTCTCCATTATCAGGGGTGCTTTATTGTTTGAGAGACTCCGGACCACAGGAACTAGTGTGAAAACTGGAGGGTATCTTCATTTATCATCCGCTCCCATTTCGCAAACAAAATATGCCATGGTAAATATAATCTATATATCACATTGTGACACAGCTGACCGCATTAGTGAGCCAAGACTGTCCTAGCGGCAGCTTCCTATCATGCATTAACAATACAACGGCTGATACATTTGCACAACACAATAAGAGGTGGGGGAGAAGAGAGAACATTGGGCTATGAAATCCTAAACTTCATGTCTGAATACATAATTTTGTCACCTATCTCTGGCATGAATGTTATCATGCTTTTATTTCAGGTAATAATGGAAGGGGAAAGTAGAGCCTCTGGGGGGCTGCCATTCATTCGGCCTGTTATTTGCTTTTGGGTTGGGTTAGGGCTAAACTTTATGTTCCTTGTTTTTGTTTTTGTTTTTTTTTCTTTTTTCTTGTTTTTTAAGATTTTATTTTGTTACCAGAGATAGAAGAGCATGCAAAATCAGAAACAGCTGATTACCAGTGCCCTTACAGAGCATGCCTATTAAAAATCCCCAAAACATTATAAATTAAAGAGGCAGTAATTTAAATAAATTACCTTTTTATTGAAGCTATAGATCTCAAGAGTGCCTGTGTCCTACAAGGAACACATATTTCACAACTGATTCATTTGCCCCTTACTCTGAGCACATGGGATAATAAAAGAAAGTTTTAGATCATCATTATCCAAAGGATAACTTTGAATGCCCTTTTTCAGCATGCTTCTGAAAACATTTCATATCTCATTCAATGCCACATATAAATGGTATTTGCTGGACAGTGTGGAAAACAGAAACATCCGTGCTAAAAGCCAATGGTAAACACCAAGTTTAAAAAATGGATTGCAAAGATCGCATGTCCCAGAACAGGCCATATGCTTTTACCTACATGATGAATAAAAAAAGAACATTTTCCCTCAATTTATGCTGTCTTCAACACTAACAGAGGGAGAGTTCTTCTAAACATGTTGCATCGGATGCCTTTAACAAGCAAAAATTCCTAACTCCAGGGACTCAGCATATGTAGGCTATGTCCATACAGAGAAACCAGCTTTTGGGAGGAGGAAGGAGGAAAATATCACTGAATTCAGTCAGTTAATTGAATTTAAAATACCTGGTTGTTTGAATTCAACTATTTCTTTTTCAAAAACGTACTTCTATTTTGATGTAGTTACATTTGCCCAAAAAAGCAAACTTGGAGAAAATACACATTACATTCTTTGGAGTTTTTCAAAAAAAACAGCTTGCAACAATTAAAAGATGGAGAAATCTTATAAGGCTGGAAACTTCTGTGAATTATCACCATTCCATTATACTGCACTTCAATTTTGCTTCCAGCAATTTGAAAGATGCCTTTAAGCTTTCTGTTGGGGAATCACGAATCCAAGCCTTAATCTCCACCATAGCTTCCATCTTTGAGGCAAATCAAGAAAATAATATTCTGCTGTCTTTGCAGGTGAGCCCCATTCAGCAACTAGATTCCAAAAAATAGCAGGGAGAAAACTGGTCAGTGGTGTTCATACTATGCTAGAACATCATGGGGACTTAGAGACCCACCCAGTCCAAACTATCTATTTTACCTACTTTACAAGACAAGGAAACAAATGCTAACAGGTGAAGGGAGCCCAAAATCTCACAGCATGATACAATAAGGGTCAGAACCCAGGTGTCCTGGTTTTCAGATCAGTGTCTCTCTGTTAACACTAAAAGTCAAAGTTTGGTTCTGGAAAATCTGTAATGCCCAAAAGACCTTAAATGCCCTCCCCCCAAACCAGTCTTGGTAATTTCTCCATGGCTTTCACAGAAGGGTAAATGTCTACTTGGAAGGCCTTTACTAATTTTTATGTTATCTTCTTCCTTCATTCGTGTTTGGTAATCAAAAATAGTTTATCATAATGCTCTCAATTGGAAGGTCTTCATACTACAGGCAGATACTGTTATTTTCTGGTAGAGGATGGCAGCAGGGCTGGGAAAAAAGAATGTGGTTTTTTTCTAACCACAGTAGGTTTTTTCTATAACAATGATTTCACTTTCTAGATATAAAACAGGCATGGTTTCTCTCACCCTGAACTTCTGCAAAATCTAGATTTGATCAAATTCAGAAACTGGTGATTTGATCAAATTCAGAATCCCATATTTTGGGATGATGTGTTCTAGCAGAAAGCTATTGGTTGGCTATATTTTGCTCTTTCTTCCCCAAAAGATTTTTAAATAGTTTTCATCTTTAAAAGGATTTCAACTTCAGATTGTGCCCACGCCAAAGTCTCTATACATCTAATCAATAAATAAATAAGACAAACAAAGCAGCATATGTTTATCCTTTACCATTTGGGAAGTGTACATTAATTACTGCAGATTGTCTCCTATGCATCTCCCCCCACCCCCTCTGCATCGCAGACAGCAGTGCTCAAAAGGGTCCGCAAAATAAAAATGTGTCGGGTAATTAAATGGGTATTTATAATTAGAACTTAATAATTTGCATCAGGGACAAATGAGCTCTGATTTTAATCTGCAGCGCATTTAGATTAGCCCAAAGATAGTGTAATTTGATGGTTTATAGGCCTCCTCTCGGATTATGAAACAATACCAAGCCTTCAAGTGCAGTGTGTCTATGTCAGGAGGGTGTTAAAGAAGAAGATGCAATGAAAATGTTTGACAACGTGAAAGCAGCCATAAATTACATGACAACTGTGTAAAAGTCATGATGAAACAAATAAAGGGCTGACCTATAATGCGTCTGATTCATTGTGACACACACAACTCCCTGCGCTAATCTCTGCCCAGCCAACGCATTCTTAAGCGGGGAACTACTTAGCACCAGGAACGTTGTAAATTATCACTAGTCAACAGCATTGATTTTTAGTCGACATTTCAATCAGGTTGAAGTAGAAATACTACCCGGCTCATCCAACAGCCTCTTAACCAGTCCACTGCCCCTCTGAGGTCTCCCCGGTTATGGCTTTGCTAAATTTCCATTGCTCTCACCATTCGATATTTATTGTAGCTTTGCCACATCCAGGCACTTGGCCTGAAGGGTCACCGGCCTGCCTCTTGGGACATCAAATTTGTGCTTACCTAACGAAGGCAGAAACAGAAAAAGAAAAAGAAACAAAAGGCCATCATCAGAGATGTGGCCTGATTTTCACTGATTTTCAAGGGAAGAGAAGGAAAACTAGGGGGTGCGAGCGAGGGAAATAAGAAGGGTTCTAAAGCCATGATACGCCTTTTATCATTTCAGCTTTATCATTTCAGTCTAGGAGACCCAGCAAATAAAACTAAGAGCTTCTCTTCCAGGGTGACAAGGGAGAACCACTACACTCTTGACCCAAGGGTATGTAGAGACAATGAAGAGGGCCAAGAGAAGGGGTGAGGGGGAAGGGCTTGCATGACCTCCATTGAGGACGTCCATGCCCCGGGACAGAGTGCGAAGTAAAAGTGAAGCTTTGGAGCTCTTGACCCACATGGATTCTCAGCAGCCACCTCCATCCCACCTCAAACTCAGAAGACAACCTGGATGTGACCGACAACTTCTTTGTGATGGATCTGAACAGCCTCCCTTGGTTCTAGCAGAAGGACTTACCAAGTGAGCAGAGCTCCCATCCGATACTCGCCAGTGCTGAGGCCAACTCTTCCACTCCTCCCACGGGGCCTCCGCATGAAGTAGGCGCTTCTCAACTACCAAATGATTCTGAAATTCTCTCAGTGGAGGTCTATGTTAGCCTGGCCAATTTGAAAGGATGGAGAATACAGGAAAACAGTAACATTTGGTTTTGGAATACATTGTGTAATCCATCTGCAACGAACCTCAGGTCTTGCTTCAGCAAATATTAATAGCGTCAGGGCAGCCTGTGGAGTGACTGGGAGAGGCCACCACGCAGCTGAAAACTTGCCTCTGGGGAAGCCACATGCGGATCATATGGAGCTGTTGACTGCAGTTTCCATTCAAAACTTCCCTCAAGTTTCCAGCATGCCTTCCGGACTTGCCTTACCACAGCCTTGTTCAGCCAGAAATGAAAACCTCCTCGAAGCAGATTATGACCCCCCAGAACCCATCGTCCTAAGAAACACCACTGCCACGCACACTCACTCACACTCAGTCTCTCCCTCCCTGTATAATTCTGATTCTCCCCAGCCTTTGAAGGTACGATCCGAGAAGTAAATGCCACAGAGACAACACACAGAACTGCTGCAGGCCAAGCCTCACCACTTCTTAAAAGTCCGAGCTTAGTTTCTCATTCAGCCCACTGCAGTCTCCTGACCAAGCCACACACAAACAGTAAAACCTCCTCCCTCTGTTTCTCAGGACCCTCACTTGATTTCAGGCTCATTCTGGACAGATGGGGAAATGACTACTTGCAAAGCAGGATTCCTTACATTGCAACTTTTCCCAACAGCTCCGTGCTCCTTCAATATGCCCAGAACTGGAGGGGAACATTCTTCTCTTTCCCAGAAGATTGAAAAACTTGACCACAGAACCCATGGGAGGGACAACTGTCCAGCACCAGAGCTTCCTGCCCAGTTGTTGCCTGGCACCGCTGAAGAAAGCTGCAAACGTACTGAAGAGGTAGCAGAGGGTGGCGGCCGCAGGCCAAAGGATTGAACAACTGTGGACCCTCAGGGAAGTCATTTAACCCTTGATGAACCCCAATTTCCTCCTCTACCAAATGAGGCTAATGGGAGTGTTTCCTTTCCGAGGTTGTTGTGGGATGGAATATCAATGTGTCAGACACATGGTAATAATGACAACAGCAATTCTGGAGGTGCAGCCCCCGGAGCGAGTAATGTCTGTGCTTTCCCTCATTTACTTCTCACATGGACTCTATGAGGTAAGGGACCTTGAGTTATCTCCATTTCACAGAGAGGTGAAATGATTCCCTCAGACTCTCCCAACCAGCTAGCAGTAACATAGAAATCTGAACCCAGAGTAACTGTGTCACACACCCAGGCAGGCACAAGCCTCTCGTAAGGCAACACACGTCTATGGGGAGAGGGGACTCCCACCCACGAGGGAGCTGCCACCAGAAACATAATGAGACCCTGAGCTCTTTAGACCCCCACCTGCCCTGCTCTTCTCTCATCCCAACCTGCTCACCCCATAATGGGGGAACTACTTTGAGACCCCAGGAGCACACAGTTCCAAGCCATGAGTCATAACCGTAATAGTAATGAGCTTTTGTGACATGTTTTACCATGTGCCCAGCACTGAGCCCAGCGCCCCCACATGCTCTCATAGGATGCTCAAAGGCCCTATGAGGCAAGCCCCGTGATTCTCCCCACTTTACAGATTGAGGAAGCGGAGGCTTAGGGAATGAAATCTGCCCAAGGTTGCACAACTAGAAATGGTATTACTTCTTTACCCTCAGCCTAAACCATTTTATTTCGTGTAATCAAAGAGAAGAAGAAAAGAAAGAAGATACATCATATGTCAAGGGCATATTTCCCCTCTTTCTGTCCCTCCTCCCTTTCTTACCAGCTCAGGTTACAAAGACATCTAGGTGGGAGAGAAGACTGCCTCTAAGGGCTTGGCTGAGTTGGCGGGCGGGAGCGGGGGCAGGTATCCATGGGATAAACCCAGAGGCCCCCAAATTTTCCCAGTTTTTATTTGCTACTAGAAAAGGAGAAGGAAATCCTGCCTCCCTTATGAGGCCTAGCCAGGGGAAGTAAATGTGATTTTATCACATTTTATATAGATGTGCACAATGGTGCCTTTTCAAGTCTATGATGGGAAAAATATTTTTTATTGTGTGAATATCATTTCAGACAGGTCCCCAAACCACTTGAAAGCCCTGGTGTCCCCTAGGTGGGATTCTATGAACCCAGCTTTAGCCCCAGCAGCTCCTCTGGTGGGAACTAGAACATGCCTCCTGCCAGTTAGTAACAGGGAAATTCAATTACTTCGCCACTTGTGGCAGGAGGGCAAAGACTGCACATTAAAAGAGCTAAAAATGTCAGGAAGTTATTGGGATGATGACTCCTGCTTGCCAACATTCATATATGAATGCATAATGTCACAATAAACTAAAAAACACAGGAAGAGGCCAAGAAGATAAGAAAATCGAGAACAAAACAAGCCCAAACACATGGGTTTGCCATCGGTCCTGGGTCCTGCCCAGGAAAGGCTGCGCCTCTAACAAGAGCACCTTTTCCCCACCCCTGGCCTTTCTTGAGCCTTCCTTGAGCCTTCCTTGCATATTATCGTTCTCAGCCACCGACAGCTTAATTCACAGGCCCTTCCAACAAGTTAAACTTCAGCCATTTAAAAAAAAAAAAAAAAAAGAGTTTCCACTGATTTCTTACCTGCACACGCAGGCACGCCGGCCACGCCCCACCCCACTGCACCACGAGCTCTCACACCTGGTCGCCTGAACACAACCAAACCCTTCCCATCTGGCCCTCGGGTTACTGGCGTTATCACAACTTTTTTTCCCAACGGCAAGCCAGGAAAGATGATAGAACCCGCATATGTAGCCAAAAGACTGGCCTCAACTGGTTCAGAGGAGGGAAAAAATTGAGCTGTGCGTCTCTTTTTTTTTTTATTTTTTATTTTTTTGCCTTTAGCCAAAAGACCAGGGAGCATTTGATGTACAGTCAGCAGGTATTTAAAAAAGAAAGAAAGAAAAAGGAAAAAAAAAACACTGAAAAGGCTTGGCTGCACTGGGGCCCTGACACGCTCTCATCTAAAGCCTGGCCCTCGGCCAAGTTCATCTGTTAATGGACAACCACAACCAGGGCCTGCACCTCCCCCACCTCCCACTACCCCTCCTGAGTCTTCTCTGTTCTCCTACCTCTTTCGAGCTCCTAAAAACTAGACATCGATTATGTCTGCGCTTTTCCCTTTCTATTCAAGATAAACAAAGTGCTTCAAGTTCAGGGCGCACCCTGGGACCCCTGACAAAACAATCTATCATTCTGTCTGCTAAACCAGTCTGGCTACACCATGGCCAGGGAGAGTAACGCTCCCAATGTACAATTTTCCCTTTGTGCTCCTTCCCTCTTGCCACTAACCTCTTTTCTTTACCACCTTCTCCGGAGCAGATGGACTTGACCACTTTGCTTAAGCCCCTCCTGGCAACCTCAGAAATTAGAGAAAAAAAAAAAAAGAGCTCCTGGCTACCCTACTCCGGTCCAGGTTTTTCTCCTCCCTCTGTGTTGCCCGACGGTCCTGCACACACAGACACAAATCCCGTTGGACCCACAGAATCTTTTCGACCCTCTCACACTAACACTAAACCAGAAAATAAATTAAATACTGGGACTGCCCCCTCCTTTGCGTTCTGCAAGAATATTTTAAGTGAGTTTTGTTTTAAATCATATCCATTAATTTACCCTGACTTGCAATTAAATGCAAGCACACTTTTTACAACCAGTACGGAATGCATTAATTATAACTACAAATGGTCAAATGAGAGCAAGGTCCCTCCAAAAAATATTAATAAAATACATAATAAATAATATTAATGAAACAAAAATAGATTCATAAGCCTTGGCCAGGGCTTTTATTATTTCATGCAAGGGGAAAGTCCAGCCAATGAAACTTGCTCCATACACTTTGGCAGGACTCAGACCAACCACTACCATTAAACTCAAGAGCGTGTTTTGGCAGTGCCCTGGCATTGGGGGGCCCTGTGCAGACACCACCAGGAGACGCTGACCCCAGTACCCAAGGCAGGGTCCATAACGTCTTATTCAGCCTTTCCATGTGGTCGGGAAGTTACCCACAGGCTGCTTCCCTCTTCCTAACCACCCTCTCTGCCGGCCGCAGCTGTTCTGTCAGTGTCCACCCTGCCCCTCAAAGGACAAATGAAATCCCCCAGACCCAGTGGGAAATAAGCCCACCTAAATGAAGAACTCAAGACTAGGGCACCATGAGCATCTGGGTTAAGGCTCGGAATCCTGCACCAGCGTTGGAAGCTGCCTTTGTTCCTGCCACACCGCCGGGCCCCTGCTAACCTGTCTCCACAACACTCAGCCTCACGCCTCACCCCAGCACTCCCTGCCTCTGCCCCTCCCCCCAAATCCAACACACCCACCGCACAATCGAATCTAATTAAGATCAGGAAGAAATTTGCATTTTCTTTTCACTGTACCCCCAGTAATCACAGAAGTTCTTCAAATTTTGAGAATTTTGTTCCTCTGCTAATTATTTCCCTCATTTTGCATTTCAAGGCACAAAGACAGTCTATCTCACTGGTGGTCTATTAATAGTTTGAAGTTTTGAGCGTCAGAAGGTGGTTGTTGCTTTTTGGTTTTTGGGTTTTTTTTTTTTTCCTTTTAAAACTATTCTGTCATTTCCAGTTTTTTAAAAAGGTTTTGTTTTGTTTTGCTTTGTTTTTTGTTTTTTTGTTTTTCTTTTTTTGGTGGTGGTGGCGTTAATGTTTCTTCAGAAAGACAGCTTCTGGGCCACTCTGGGTATTATGATTTGGTTTCCCCCTTACAATAGTTACTCTCTGCCTGGTTTACTGATTTACAGAACCTTGGTATGTGAATGGCGAAAAAGAAAAAAAAGGAAAGAAAAAAAGAAAATTCCTTGGCATAAGGATATGTTTGCTGATCAAATTTCAGATCATGTGTTGTTCATTATTATGACTTTACTTGAAAAACAGTTTGCCACAGTGAGATGGATTCACTTATATGCTTTCTACCCCTCCACTCCCTTTAAGTACTTCGAAAAACAGTACAATTTTTTTAAAGGTAGATTTAAAGCATTAACTGGTTTGGATTAAAACAATGTTTCACCATCTGTAAATTCCCTGAAAATACATTTTCAAAAGACTTATGCAAAGCCACATGATTTTGAAGGAGCTAATGAGATTGTCCCACCACCAAAATTTAATGGTGACTTAAGAAATTCTAATACTTTTTATTTACTTCCTGTAGAATTATTTGTGTACTTGACATTTATACAGTTTCTCCATTATATAACAATCTACCCTGGGTACACTAGATTATGCCAATCTATTAGAATGAAATTTGTACTCCATATAAGCAGAAGTTTCCAGTCACTTTTGACTTACCATTATGTTTCAATGTAAAGTGTTATTATAGCAGAGTATAAAGCACAGCTCCTCCATGCTCACGTTTTTAACTCTAATACTGTAATCTTTCTTGCTGCTTCTAGGGCTGTGTCAGTGTTTACATTCCTGGAAGTTAAATAAACCGACATGGCAAAACTCCTGGATAGACTGAATAATAAGGCTTGTGATGACTAAATTGTTTACTTTTTACCTTGTTAGGATCCCTTTCTTGTAAAGTTTGGGGGAGAGAGAGAGGAGAGAAAGAGAGAAGGAATGAAGGGGGTGATGCAAGATAGAAGGAGAGAGATTTATACACTGGCTTCCATATGTCACAAAGACCTTCCTATCCACAGCCAACGCGACTGAAGCAGCATGCATAAGTTAGTGTTGCTTGTTTTGTTTTCTTAAATACCGGGTCAGCTGAATACCCCTTTCTCCACTGCCCACTCAGCCCCACATAAAGTATGAAGATTTTTTTTGACCATTTTCAAATAGCAAATTATCCATTAGATTTCATCATATCTTAGTAAAGCAATTACATCAAGAAAATGATAGTGCGTGTGGAATCAATTATGCATGCAGTTGGCCGGAGACCAAAGGCTGTGAAGTCGGAGAGGGCAGAATCGCTCGACACACACAAATAAAAAGCCCCTGGATCTCACAGATGGACCCCATCAGTTCATCTTACTGCCTAAAAAGTTCATGCACTTAATAATTTATTTGTGTTCTGGATACTGTTTCCCAGCTGAATATTAACAACTTTAAACTGAAGCATGCTTTTAGCATGGTATGGATGGAAGTCACGGTAGGGCAGTGCTAGGTCCCTCGGAGGTTAAAATTATAGTTATGTTTCTTACACACTGTTCATTTTCCATCACAATTTATTTTCTTTCATTAAACATTCGTTTTAATCAGAATATCAGTTACACTGTTCTGATTCTGCTTGTTAACCAGTGATAAACTCATAAACCAAAGATGAACATCAATAATACAGCACAGGTTATTCAACAGCAAAGGCAAACACCAAAATCACAGGCTCTCAAAAATCGGAAACCGTTAGTTAGCACCTTGTTTTCACCACCAGGGCACTCGTGTACCTTGAGGGAGACACTGGGAGCCCAGGGAGCCTGGAGACCAGGATATACTTTGGTGATGAGGGGAGGACACATTGTAGCTCAGAGCAGCAGCTGAATGAGAAAACTTACTTGATCTAAAAGATAAAAGAGTCAGCCAAACCCAGGCCCAAGTCCTTTAGGTGCCAGCCATCTATCTAAAGAAGAAACCTAAAGCATTGTTAGAAAGGTTTGTAGTTCTGTAGCCTTCCCTCCTCCAAAGGAGGAACCTGATGTCTTAATACACTATAATAGCCAAGGCTTCCTGCCATCAAACTGCTAACAATAAAACTGCCCTGCAATGTTCGTGGGGAACAGAAACAGGCAATACATATTTCTCTATGTATCTGGAAGTGCCTCAATCATATACTTAAATTTTACAGTCTTCTCCCCAAATGAGAACGATTTCCAGCCAACACGTTCACAAACTGTACTTAACGTTAAAAGAAAACGGATAAAACATATGTAATTACTCAAGGTTAGACTTCTAATTCCTCAATTCACTAAAGGAAACTTGGCAAGAAGATGCATCATTTTGCTCCTTTCTACTGGGGCATCTGAGGAGGAGAGCCACTGAGGCAGCTAATACACAAAACATGATCAAAAGTGATTAACAACAGCTTCATATGCAAATTACATTAATGAAGGAGTGCAAAGTCATCATGTAAATTAAATATGTCAAATCTCTTGGTGAACTTTTAATCTTGAGAAGAAAAAACACTGCTTTAATTTTTTTACATCATCAATTTTGCAAGATTGAAAATCTAAGAATCTTGGTGCTATAAACAATTTTCACCTTTTTTTTCTCCTTCAGCAGGCTGACAGGCCAGCCTGATGTGCACCGAATGTACATGTTAATAGGCCAATCAAAAATGCAAAACAATTCGCAATTACTGGAAGGACCTAATGGTCATTAGAATTTACAACTAGGTAATGAACTGAAGTCTGCCCACACCATGCATATTCATAAAGCAATTTAGCCTTTGAAGATTAAAGAAGTGCTTAAAATTCAAATGAGCTTTAGCAAATTATCAGTAAGATTCATCCAAAAAGCAAAGGGTTTTTCTTCCTATGATTTCCTCATTTTTTTAATGCAAAATTGTAATATCTTCCAGACTGAGCTTAAACTAAACATAGAGCTTCTAGTCAAGCCAAAGGGGCTAAGATACAAACAGAGGCTGCAAACATCGTCACGGACTTTGTTCATAAAACTAAGCCCTTAAGAGCCAAACCTATCTCTAAACATGGTAATTTATCAAAAACAGCCCAGAGTCGCTCATAGGCAATACTGCATAGTCCTCCAACAGAACAGATTAACACGAGTCCCTCCACCCTTCCAAAAAGCCTTTTCCCCCTCAAGTTGTCTCTCCTGTGTAAACATCCACTGTGGTATAAAAACAGCTTTTTCATTGGCTTGGAGTGGCATTAATTTTAGAAGTTTCTGCTTCCAAAGGGAAACCAGCAAGAAAGGAGAAGCACAGGAGGGAGAGGAGCAAGGTCTGGTTTACTTCTGAGGAGTGCAAATCCTGTTGCTTGAGATTTGCCTTTCTGATTTCCTCCATTCGGCACCAGCCGCATTTAATCCATGGTGAACGGGTCATGCAGACATCAGCTGACATTCAGAAAGTTGTGGTGTCCACCCACCACCACCATCCCACCCCAGTTATTAGAGAGTATCGTGGGAACCTGGATTTGCAGGCTTTCCAATTACTAGTCTGGAGAAGAATCCTTTGCTTGAATGCTAACTCACACCTTGCTAACCTCCTGACATTTAAAAAATTCTAGTGACAGAATTCCCAATGAACTCCTCCTCTTCCTCCCAACCCCAACCTCTCCAACCCAGGTGAAAGCAAGAAAGTATATGTTAAGTCCTATCTCAGCTGGTGTGCAAGTCAGACTGAGAATAACAGCTTCGAAAGGCCACGTGTCCCAGCTTACCGCTCCACTGCTAGACCCAAAAGCTCTCTGCTGTGGGGATTTCATTTGAACTGCTATCGAAGAATATTCCAAGAACCTCTCTCCGCACCCTTCTCCCCCTCTCTCCCCCAGCCTCAGACTTTCTCCTAGAGTTGATCTTACCGGAAATGTGGATGTTATCAAGGAAATCGGAAAGAGAAGGGAGAAAAATCTCAGGTACTACCCCCTGATTTCTTAACTCTCTTATCCTTGGGCCCTGCTCAGAAATGTGCCACATTTTAACATTTATTAGAAAGGATAGGATGCAGAGCTGCATGGAACCCACATCCACAACCATCTGTATGAGCCACAGGTCCACAGTCCTGACCAATTCCGTTTGACACTAATGTTACTCTACATGAGTAGAGTTCAATGAGGGTTGATATGGGATGTGACAGGGCAAATCAGAATTAGATTAAAAACAAAAGTTTAGAAACCAATGCTACACTACAGAGCAAATGGGACTTGAAGGCCAAATTTCCCCTAACTGCCTTCAAGTGATTTTCCCTATTAGAGCGTTTGCCTGCCACCCCCCTGCTGGCAACACCGCAATCACATCAGAAAGTAAAGTGGAATGCATATAGGAAGCCTTGAGATATTCCTCTTTAAATACAATACCTATATACTTAATATATAGCAATTAACTTCTGGTCAGCAGTGTGCAGGCAGCAGGCTGCCCCAAGCAGATAGGAGGGGAGGGGGACCCAGAGCTGGGACAAGCACAAAAGACAGGTCCAACAACAATGCCTGCTGTCAGCAGCTGAATTATTTTTATACAGGAATTTTTATCTCTATTGTACAAACAAGTACGTGTCTGTGCTGACTTGTTAAGCAATCCACTTGTATGTAGAATAAGATTTTTTTTCTTTCTTGCTACCAGTCACACAGCTCCAAGATCAGAAGAAATACATAGTCTTTGAAGCTGCTCAAATGTTTTAGTTAAAAGGACAGCAGTTGTTTTCAAAGATCCAAGAGTATCTTTATCAGAATTAAATTTTTCCTTATTGATTTTTTTCTCCTTAACATAACAAAAACATAACATGAGAAGGTTACGATTTATTATTAAAATTTTTTTCAGCCTTTAAATCATTCTTCAGTAGCCAATGTTCAGTTTTAAATGTAAAGGAATAATTTTTTTAAAATATTAGGGTGTGATGGAGAGAAACTCACGAGATTTAAGATTTAACATTGGTTAATGCATTGTTTTAACTGGAAACTGAAAGGATCGGGGCAGGGGAGTTAAAATGGGGAGTAAATGGTTCACTGAGGGGTTCCCCCCTAAATGTAAATAAATCATAAAATCATGGTATACCTTGAGTTGGTGAAGGAGAATACTTCAGGTTTGGTTCTCTTAGTTTTTTGAGGTTTGTTTTTGTTTGAGGAGGTGCAGGGATTGGCCAAATATTAAAACTCTATATTTAAAATGTACAGGAACAGACTTGGCACATAGTGCTTTGTGCTCCAACATAAGAATCCAAGCTACACTTTATTTCCCTAAAAATTAACAGATGTGATTTCCTTGCAGCCTTTTTATGCATCATTACATATTAAGAAAATGAACAACTGATGAATATAAATTTAAATGCCCTGATGCTTAGCAAAAAGCTTCCTTGTGTTTTTTAGAAAGTTCAAAAAGCAAATAGAAAGGCGAGGTAGGTATACAACAGCACTGGTTTTCTTTTTGAAGGCACCCTTGCAGGTTTCACAATAATTCCATTCTTTATTTTAATGGGAGTTTTTAATCAGTGGATTCGCCTCTATCTAAAACTAAAATCAAATTGTAGGTGCAATTGTTCATTGGCAATGCTAACAACAGTGAGAATACAAACAAAAACTCATTGTGAGTGACCAAAGGTCCCCAGGTATCCCCTTCATCAACATACCTGCTCCAGGTTCCCACTGGGAATTCTCTGGCAGAGACTGATTCAGTTCTGAATAACATGCTGCCAGCCCTATCTGGAAAAGGGTGTGCAAGGCGCCTTCTCGCCTCTTTTACAGGAAGTTTAAACCTGATCATCTCACCTTTAGGTATATATAATTTGTTGTTTAGCACTCTGAGAACTTGGTATTTTATCTATCTAAAGAGATCAAAAAGGGCAAAAGATGGAGCGAGCTGAGGCCCAGCCTAGCTCTGGTGCATACGTCAATCGTGCACTGCGCGTTGCCTTAGAGGAGCAACCTGTGCAGGTAAATCTTCCAGCAGCATTGCATCAGATCCACTCACATCAGTCTCCAGGGTGAACCAAGAGATGACACTTCAGTTCCCTGTCTGCAAACTTCTAATTCGCCAGTTCTTAGCAGCTTATTTTTCCAAGTGTTTTGTTTCAGGAAACGTGTATTTTTCTTTATACGTTTTGTGGATCTACCACAACTGCTTCTGACAGCTGTTGATTCTGTTAAAGGAACACATTATAAAAATCTTCTTTAAAACCTCAAGCAATGTGGACTCAAAAATATAATGGTGAAATATTTTAATGGAATTCCAGTTGAAAGTTGTTTTTTAAAAAAAGTACAAATGAAGGTACAGAAGTCCTTTAGATCAGTACTAGATTTAAACTGAATGTCTCTCTCTCTCTCTCTCTCTGTGTGTGTGTGTGTGTGTGTGTGTGTGTGTGTGTGTGTGTGTGTAATGGGGAAAGAGGGGTGTTGCAAATCACCACAAATATTTACACTGTACTCCCTTTGTTCAAATCACATACTTTTAACGGGAAAAGCTGGAACTGTGGCTATTTAAAATTTTAAATATTCAAACGCCTGTAATTAACCATATGAAACAAATTATGTTGCATTTCTCCATACCAGCACATGCAAAAAAATTCTGGTGGTGAATTGGGAGGTGGCAGAGTTGGGGAGACAACTCCAAGAGAAGAAAAGGATGATGTTTTCATTTCGCTATAGATCAAAGGAGAACAAGAATGGAAACTGTGGCATATCGAGCATTTTTCCATTGCTGTCTTTCACACTGGGCTATCTAAGTTTATACAATTCCCCAGACTAGCTGCATATTAAGCTTGCTGTGTACAGCTTTATTATGGTGTGGTGGTGGAAGAAGCATTAATATTCCAGCTCCGCATCTGACAGGGCATTTACATGCGCCCATCTGAGCGGCACCTGAGAGCTCCTCCAAGGTGCAGTAACTGTGCGCCTATTGTAAAGGCAAATGAAGCTCACCTATTCCCTGCTGGGATCAGAAGTGACCTCACCACCCCCCATGCCTCAAATCCTTCCCTTGCCAACCTAACTCAATGCCATTGCAGAATGACGAATGAGCTCAGAAATAGACCCCAAGTTACTAACCCTGCTAAGAACAGCAAAAGCCTTTGCTGAAATGTTTTAAAAATGCATAGGGAGTGCAGCTGGCCAGTAAAAAGCAGGGAGACAAATTCCAATGAACCCAATATGGAATAAGTTACATTTTAAAACTGATTAGAAATACAGTCTGATGTTTACTGGCTTCAAATTGAGTTTGGCATCAAGTATACTGGCTTTAATAATGCTGGCACTTTTAAAATTATTATTATTTTAAATCTGCCTTTGGTCTCTAGGAGCACATGTAGAGAGCTAAAGAATTCTTATTTGTCAGGTTACATTTCCTGGAAATTAAGTTTGTGACAGAAAATGACTCCAGTAGCAATAATATGGTTCGTGCTCAAATTAATTAGGTCATGTTGTAAAAACTACGTGGCAAATTACAAAGGTAAATTTACTGATATTGGCCAGTGCTCTATACCCTGGTCGTAAAGGGGAGAAGCTGTTTAAGGATGCCCATTTACCTAGGTAGGAGAAAAGAACCAAGGAGGGAGGGAGACAACAGTCAATTTCCTATTTGTATTACAAATAAAAATAGTAGTCATTATCCATTAAATTATATAGTCTGAACATATTTTATGAACTTCATTAATGTCATCCAAATTGATACATAACATAAAAACCTGCTTGATTTGAAATAATGTTAAAAGTGGGCTCTAAGTTAGAATCTTTTTTTTTAATCCTTGAAATAACAACACTGCTGACATAGCCATGACCCAAATGAAATCTGAACAAGCAGAAAGGTACTAAAGATGCTTGGTGATTAAATCTCATGCTAAAAAAGTGGCAAGGTGCCAGGCTGGGTCCAGCTTGATGCTAAGTGCTTTTTATTGCACAAAGCTGGTACTACTGTATGTAAAAACAGACTTGGGCTTGGGGTAAATTTTGTCAAATGACTTCTTTGTGCAATAAAGGGTGTGAACAGACCAACCAAAGTAGATTAAATTAACATCCAGTGACGCAATCTTGGTGCATCTCCCTAGCTGTGCTTTCTACTTCGGTTAAATTTAATATTTCCCCCCAAAGGAAAGCCAAAATTTGTTTCCTTTCTTACTGACCAGCACGCAAAGCCACCATTCACCTATTCTCCTTTATTAAACATTTTCATTGAGAAATCACAAAAATCTAAAAAATGTTTCCCTAGGATTTGCATGTTTTTTATGTACCCCAATTTAGTACTCCCACATTAGCCAAACTACATGGAAGCTGCAGTGTGAAATTAATGATTTTCCAGGACTCTAAAAGATGCCATTAATAAGCATCCAACTCGCCTCCTCCCTGAGCTGAAGGTTGCCTGTCCTGACCCTGCCTGCACGTTTCTACACCCAGTTGCATTTTCCAGCCCATGTGCAGCTCCACAATTATATGCCACATTCACTAAGAGAAAGGTGTGCAAAACATATTTCAGATCCTTTATAGTAAAGGCACAACTTGCAACACAACAAGGAATGGGGTGATTTAAGAAATTACAGCACTGGTTTTGTGTGTGTGTGTGTGTGTGTGTGTGTGTGTGTGTGTGTGTGTGTGGTTATTTTGTTTTTTTGTTTTTTTAAGCTTTCACAGAATAAACACAGAGAACGGGAGGGAAACTTTGTCCCCCTCTGCTCCTGTTCTTGAAGTGAATACATATTTGTGTTTCCAATAAAAGGCCATTTTTACATTAACTGTCTGTAACAGCAGGAGACAGAAAAACTAACACAATCTCCACATCACACACAGGATGATCTTCATATCACGTGGACCTATTCTCAAAACATTATTTATAAAAGATGACTAGGAAAATGCACAATGCATCTTTTCTGTGTCACCACAAGGGTAATGTCTGAAGAAGTTTGGGATCTTTAGGATCTTCTACATTTTAGATATATTTTTTTTTTCCTTTTGGCTTTCCTTAGTAAGTTTAGCAGCCATGCGGGCCACTGTGTTTAATTAAGCTTTCAAAAGTCCTGACAATGCCAACAATTGTAGGACACTTCTGCGGCTCAATCATGCAATCACTGTGACAGTTCTATTTACAATTTGTCTTAGAAAGAGTTTCTCTGACATTGTACTTTGACAAAACATCCAAGCTGCCAGTTCACAACCTTTCTCTGTCTTATTTACAAATACAGCTTGTATATAGGACTCCCAGTTTCATGAACATTAGTCTTTGGATAGTGGCCTCACAAACATAGGCTCCCTATGAAAATCCTAGGTACTTATTAGAAAACAATATTCTCTACTCTCTGGATTTTGAAGGTAAGTAAAATGTTCACCAGTATATTGTTTTTTGTGGTAGTGGTGTTTTTTTGTTTTAACTGCCATGCTGAAAATTCACTTCAGAAGTCAGTCGTTTTTATTCAGAATCACATAAATAAAGAGAAAAGAAAAATAAGTAGTCATAATAGCATACTATAATTTATAGTCTCATTTACAATTACACCATAAGGTACACAAATACATCCTCCAGTTCAGTCTGAGCTAGGAGAGAATCAGAATGGATACAAAAAGAAAAGGTAAGTTCATTTTCTAAATTCTGAAAAGCATATTGTATTTGATTTACTTTTAAGAGCATGCTAATGTATTTCCATTTTGAATTACTATATCTCCCTTCTTTAGAGTATCTGTCTGATATATCATTATCTAAATACCAGCTATACTGTCTAGGCAAATAATTTTAAATACCCTGATATAAATGTCTATGTTCATGATTTTAAAGAGAAAAAATGTTATATATCAACAGGAGCAGACTTTACTACATTTTATAGGACTTGTCATATTTTTTCTCTAGTCTCTCAAAAAGCTAACTTTATGACAGCCCAAACCTAATTTAAAGATTCCTATGTGCAATAAGCCAAAACCTCAAATCTGACATGATGGGATAATGTTTGGGTCTTTTCTATAAGGGAACAGCAGTTTCACATTCAGTAATCTTCCATGAATATTTCCCCCCATCATAAAATATGAGACTAAAAAAAAAGAAAACAAAACAAAACAAAACCCCTATTGAAAGCTCTGACTGCAAGTCAAAGGCTGCTGATATCTGAGGGTGGATATTTGACACACATATTGATGAACTGGGCCCACACAACATAAGCTGCTAATTCCCAGCTAAATTAATACTACTTCAATGATCTCAATGGATCACAATCACACAATATTTTGAATATTTAAATAAAATGAAAAAAGCAACCTGATTAACATCTATGTGTACAGCTCATATGTGTACGTGGATGAAGTGGGGGAGCACATACCCATCTATTCACCAGGTAAAAAGAATCCTCTAAAAAATACTCAGTTTGGGCCAGGTGCGGTCGCTCAAGCCTGTAATCCCAGCACTTTGGGAGGCCAAGCCAGGTGGATCACCTGAGGTCAGGAGTTCAAGACCAGCCTGGCCAACATGGTGAAACCCTGCCTCTACTGAAAATACAAAAAACTAGCTGGGCGTAGTGGCACACGCCTGTAATCCCAGCTACTTGGGAGGCTGAGGCAGGAGAATCGCTTGAACCTAGGAGGCAGAGGTTGCAGTGAGCCAAAATCATGCCACTGCACTCCAGCCTGGGCAACAAGAGCAAAACTCTGTCTAAAAAAAAAAAAAAAAAAAAAAAACTCAGCTTGGAGAGGCCTGAGTACAGTGAAAATGCATACCATTTTACTCAAGATTTAAAGAACTCTGCCTTATTCTCCTATCTGAAAGTCCCGAATTCTAAGCTTTATTTATCTTAGGAAGAAGATCTGTCACTGTTTTATTCTTGCTTCCTGCCTATAAAATAGTACAGGCTCACAGTGAACTCAAATCCAACTTACATCACTTTAATAAAGCCTTTCCTACCCAGCACGCTTAAATGACTACCTTTTATGTGGTTGCCAAACACATTCTTCTAGAGATTCATCAATATATCTCTTTCCTTAATACAAGGCATTGCTTCTCCTTTCTTTTTGTGACACAATTCAAATATCTACTGAATGATTACTGTTATTGTTTCCTTCCTCATCATAAAAAGAAAAGCAGACTTGGAATTGTGCAGACGTGCTTTAGAGAAATGGGCTGGGGGTACACACACAGCCGTCTTCCAGAACTTCGCTTCAGGGGCACCTGAGGGCCAGAGCGTCGGAATTTATGTGCAATGGTAGAATGTTAACTTCACCATAGGAAACTCTTAATTCATTACTGTGAATTATGAGAAGTCGTGATTCTAGTTACTGACATCTCACTTTGAGATGTGACCACACTATTTATGTTCAGCCAGTTCCAGGGTGGGAACAGGTGATTAAACACAATGAAAGAAATCAAGACTTTGTAATTATTCATGCACGAAAGGTTTACCTCACCTGGGTCACAGCACTTGTTGTGCGCCCATTGAATATCTTAGACATCTTAGAGAGCTTTTCGTCTCAGTTAAATGATTGATTATTAGCGCTATAAAATATATTTTAAATTTGCTTTTGGTTTTGGCTTCTCTAGGCTCTGCTATTATACTTGTTCTTTAAAAAAATAATAACAGAACCTTTAGACAACCAGGGAGTTCAAGCAAATATCTCTTATTTCCCTACATAGATTCACAACTATAGCAGTAAAAGTCTTAACTATATGTAAGGCCTTCCCCCCAGCATTTAGATTCCTCCTCTAAATACAGAGGCACAGAATTTTTGAGCTGGTTAATCTAAGACTGAATAACCTATTTGGGACCTCAGTAAGAAGTGTGGTTTTAATTCTTGCTTGACAGACACTGTGTTTTGTCTTTTAAACGAGCAGCTCGATATGTAAATACGATGTTACATCACGCAAGTGTTACTCCATATTTGGTGATTTAGCAAGGCTTTGGATCTCCGAAGACGACAAATCCCCTTCCGCCTGCTCTTGCTTCATTAATCATGCCTTACACTTCTGTTCATTTTCCTTCCAGTCACAAGACAACACATGGAAATGGTCATTCCCACATCCTGCTGGGGGGTAGGGGAGATAAAATCTTCACCTACATGTCACATAAGGTAAATGTGGTGGATTCAAGAAATACACTCCACAAATGCAGCTTCCCTAGCAGCAGATTTCCCATTTCACTAAAGGGAAAGTATCTGAGTGCTATCACAGAAAGCACTAAAAAAAGAAAGAAAATGCCATGTTTGGTTTTAATGATCAAATTCTAGAGGGGGAGAGGAGAAATAATATGACATTTAATCCCCTCTAGACCACTGACCTATTATGGTTCAACTTTGTGGTCAAACTAGGTCGGAGAGACAAGTTCCAGTGAATCAATTCATGATATGCACTACCTTTCCTAAAACTGAACAAACCTCTTGCCTTTCGGGAGCTGGGTGGTAGGTAGATGGAAGAAAGCGATCCACCAACAGGCATGGCATGTCTGTCATCACAGAATCTGCATTGACTTTTGTCTAACATGCTCAAGCAAAAAATGTTTTGAGGGTCACTATATAGTGTTACTGTTTATCACTTAGAGAAGGGAATTTAAGTCCCACTGCTAGCCTTTAATTCCTTTTCCCTTGAGCTGCCGAGAAACCCACACACCTAGCTGCCTCCCTGCTAAAATTAACCAAAGGAGGGAGGGCTGTTGAATACGTGTGTGTATTTTTCCAAGAAAATTTTTACATTGTGTTATAGCAGAAACAGTGGAGTCTGGACTGGACATTTGTAAGGGTGACATGTGGCTGTGTAAACCACAAACAAAATCAAGATACATCTGTCAAAACCACATCAGAGACAAGAGAGAGCACAGAGAAGCATTTATCATTTAGCTGAGGAGGCAGGCTGCAGGGAGCAGCCGTTCCTGTCAAACCAACCTTTTGAAATTTCCAACATGCCCTTAAACTTTTCGAGTAAGCATGTCTGTGCGCTTCAGCAACTGCCCTCTCTACTCTGGCCTGGCCAGTCGAAAATGGCATCTTAAAGTCAAGGTCATGGTGTCATCCCACCACGGGGCTGTGTTTAATTACAGCCCCATCCGGGCTGACAGCCAATATGGATCCAAGGCTAGCCCTGAAGCTCAGTTAACTCTTTCCACCACCTCCAACTACCCTGCCAGCCCACTCTACTTCAGGGAAGCCTTGAGAACGAGCTGAACCCCTAAGGAGGCCTGGCCAGATGTTCTGAGTCAAACAAGTCATTGGCTGAACTGCAAATGCCTATATGGCCACTTTGCCTCTGACACGTCACCAAGGCTGGAAATGGACAATGGAAGCTGGACTAGGTGTAGTAAAGCTCAATACTTCAAAATGAGAAGGTGGGGATGGGGAAGAAAAGAAATCCAAAATCGACAGATCCAGAGAGAAGGTGTCTGATGTGTGTACCTATCCTGCCTACATCTGATTCAGTGAGGTGGAAAATATTTATTTTTCTGTGTTCTGGACGTAAGCAACAGAAATGATTATTTTAACATTACAGGGCTGTCATGGACAGTCACATAGAGTAATAGAGAAAGCACTTCACAACTCCTTACTGCTTGGCTACAGCACCTCTGAAAATGAAAAGAAAACATGCAAACAGCTTTTCTCCTTGCTTCTCATTTACCTGCTATGTGTTCCTGTTTGGGGCAAATTCCTCTAGATGACGTTGATAAACAATCGTCATCCTCTGGCGTGACCTGGATGCCAACCTCCACGGGATTGGATGCTTTTTTCATCTCGATTGGTGAAGGGGAAGGTGGCTTATCCACAGCTTTTTCTAAGCAGAGGCTGCCATTGCATTGTTTCCGTTTGTGCTCGATAAAAATAAGAATGTCCCCCAATGGGAAGTTCATCTGGCACTGCCCACAGGTGAGGAGGTCATGATCCCCTTCTGGAGCTCCCAACGGGCCGTGGTCTGGTTCATCATCTGTAAGAATGGCTTCAAGAGGCTCGGCTGTGGTTGGAGAAACAAAAGCACAATTATTAGAGTGCCAGAGAGGACAGAAAGGGGAGAAGCACATCTCAACCCCATGCCATCCCACCACATCATGTAAAGTGTTTCTAGGCTTCTCTATATAATACCCAGAAAATGTGAGCATACAAAAAGTACAAGGATGTGAAGGTTATCAACCAGAGAGCAAATTTGTCAATGAGGCAAATCATCACATATGTAAAGAAAACAGTCTTCCTTGCATAACTCCAGAGAACACACACACACACATATACCCATGCACACACCCACAGCAACAAATGTGTCTGGTTTGTAAGTTTAGAAAGAATGCTACTTAAATAGTTAACACAGGGAACATAAAGAAAGCTTAAATAATAACTACAAGAAAAACTGGTTAAAAAAAAAAGTGGATAGAAACCAAATTTGTTTCTTTTTTCCTATACACCAAGTTGTCCATTGTGCCAAAGAATGAAAGGAGAGGTGAATAAACACACACACCCTTTGTGTGTGAATGTATATACTCCTAAGTAAACAGACATGGCTTCATAAATTAGAAAGCTACTATGTCACATGAAAAATGTGCCACATTTACACTGCTGTAATAAGAAAACGACTGCATGCACCTATGAAACGGATCTAAATAATAATCATGTCGCAGCATAATTCACACTGCCAAAAACCTTTCTGCTCTCACTCTCAGCAGTGCCACAAAATCAAAGAAATACCAAATGCACGGGCAGTATTTCTCAGACACATTAGCTAAATGGGATACTTTTGAGTACTTAAGAAAATAAGCCAATTAGTCATTTTTTTTTTATTCTGAGAAATGGAATGCCTATAATATTCTAAACATGTTTGCACTTGGTGGCATCTATGATATAAAAATCAGAATGGTCAAGCAAACACCACATTTCAGAGCAAGGCTGAGAAGTCCTTTCTTTAGACTTGAAATACTTCGCCTAATGTTGTCAAAGTGGACTAATTTTCTGAATGAGCTCCAAAATGCTTCATTATGAGACTATTTCTGCACACATAATCACCAGCGGATGGTATAACAAGGTAGACATGTCTTTCTTTCCTGTTTGCTTTTTTTTTTAACTTTGTACTAAAATACTCCAGCATCTACTTTACCAGCTTCTATCATTTTTTAAGCTTCCAAAGGGGAAAAGAGAGTTGGTAAGTCTCTGCTTGTGAAATCTTATGCTTGCTCTATCAAAAAAAAAAAAAAAATCACAAAATACAAAACATCCAGGATGCTGCCAGTTAATAAAACTGAAGCAGAAAATGTACAAGTCTTAAACAGTTAATCAGTCTGACCTTCTTTAGCAAGCTGCCAATTTTACATTTAATGAACTTAAAGCCACAGAGAATCAAAAAATAGATTTTAATTTGAGTGTAGAATATTGGAACAGATTTTGATAAAGTGCAAAAATCCAGTGAACTCAGGTTAAATTTATTTCAACCCTACCCAGGCTGAATATTGAGGGGGAAGATCTGGAGTAACTCCCAGATGTGCTAGGTGAAATAATATTGAGAGAGCCCTGCCTAGCTGCACCTGTGCTCAAGTAGGACATCTCATAATTTCTAGCCTCTGGTACTCCTCCTAATTTAACATAAGGTCACCACAGGAATATGAAGGTTATATTCCTACTAATAAAGACAGTAAAGTAAGCACTTATGTTTCTTTGCCCAACATACTGGCCAAAAGATAAATACAGAATACATATGCATACTTTTCAAATAAAAGAAGACAAACAGAAGTGCCTCTGCATTGTGCCTTAATGTCATTCTTCTCTTACATTTGCTTCCATTTTGACCAAGTGAGGAATAGGGAACTCATTCTCAAAATATTCCTGTTGTCTGAATTAAGGATTTTAAGTACACATTGATAAATGTGGCTTTTTTGTTTAGCATTAGCTACAAGTTCTGAGGTTTACAGACTGAAGGAAGACTTAGGAAAATATTTTATCAAACTTACTAGTACATAGAACCTTTGCAAAAAAAAAAATTTTTTATTTCCACCGTTAAGATTCTTTTTTTTTTTTTTTTGTTCCCAAGGTCTGACACATTTCTAAAAGTGGGAATATTATTTAGGTGCAAAAGGAAATATTCTCCTAGGTATCAAATAGTTAAAGGTAATGTGGTTCAAAACAGACTTGGTTAAAGTCTTCTAAATGTAGTGACTGAACTGATTTACAATCAAAACCGGGAAATGAAGTGGTAATTCAGAGGTTGCTGATTACACCTCCACATTTCACCTAATTAATTTTATAGGAGGCAAAGTTCTTGAAAATAACAAGATGATCAAATGTACAGATATAAAACCTGTAACCTCAACATTTTCTATGCTCTTAACGTAAATTATTGCTAATTAACAAGAATTATATTCTAATGTATGAAATACGTTTAACATCGGTCTCCTTGCAAAACATTTGGCTAGTGGTGTTCAGAGAAATACCAAAACGTGTTTTTATCATTGCTGGTATATTATTAAAAATCAGACAAAGTGGGACACAAAGAAAATATGAAAATACAATTCTCATGGTGTAGTCTACTGATTTGCATTGACATCTTTTCTCAGTGGCAATCAACATTTCCTTTCTGGGCATCTGATAATTTCTCTGCATTTTAATGCAAATTCCCCTTTCCCTAAAAACCTTCCTAACCCTCAGCCATTTACCCCCTCCCTCAATTCAACTCCATCCTCCTTCGCCCCAACAATACCAACATTTCTAAGCTCCGGCCTAAACTCCGGCTACAAAGCAGGGAGTCCTCGATTGAAGTGGAAGGGAGTGGGCAAATAATCATAATAATTAGCCGCGAATTCTCTCTACGAGGGGAGGAAGAAATAGAAAATAAAATGCTTCTACGTTCAAACAGCAAGACAGCCTGGAACGTCTCAATGTCTCAGTGACAGACTGAGATCTCTTTCCTCTCTGTGTAGTTGCAAAAGAATAAATTTAAGGGAAAAAAATAATCCTTATAGGAAATGTTGGTAAGGAGCGAGCAAAACGAGAGCTGCCGGGGAGCGGAGGGGGAGGGGGAAAGGGAGATGTGTCTTCAAGTTTGCTTTCCAAGTCCTTCTCCTTGATTGTCTTAACAGGGTAAAGAAGCAAACGGAGGCTGAAATTCAGAGAGGAAAAGCAAAGAAACAAAAGCAAAGCCGGGGGCTACAGGCCCGGGGCAGGGGCCCCGGCAAGGGTGGACCGTGCAGAAAGTGAAGTTGGGCGCGGGGACTCTGAGGCACAAAGCGAGCAGCGTGCTGGCTGCAGGCTCCCGCCGCGCTTGCTGCGAACACGTGCAGCAGCGGCCGCGGGGCCTTGGGGCCCGGGGGCCCGGAGACGGAGGGCAGCCAGGGGCCCTGACTGCTGCCTCCATGCCCGTCCAGCTCGGCCAGCTCGGCCGCGGGGTGACGGTTCCCTGGGCCTGCCAGTTGGTGAAAAAGGAAGTGAGGTTTGGAAAACCCGGCTGGTTAACCTGGTGCAGTCTCAGTATCTCCGCACACACCTCAAGCGCGGGTCCTGAGATTCATTCTGTGTCCACAAGCTTACACTTTTTACTTTGGGGGATCTCTGCAAATGCATTTCCCCCGCAATTCTGGGCACTGGGTGTGCGCGGCGGCGGCTGCGGTTATTCATTATTAATGACGCTGCCTGCCCGCATCATTATGATGATAACTATTACTATTGTTGTGATTCCGAGCTCCGAGGCGAGAGGGGGGGTGTCGGGCTGCAGAGCCGCCCAGCAAGCCAGCCGAGGCCACCGAGGTCTGTGCTTTGCATGGGGGTGAGGGGGTGGAAGAAGTGAGGCTGGAGACCAAGTGCAAACTTGCCATATCCCCCTCTTCGGCCATGCCCCGAAGCCCTAGAGCGCGCACTCCCGGTTCCTCCCTACCAAAAATGCCGGCCCCGAAAGAAAGCGAAAACTGCACCGTGCTCCGAGCCCGGCGCGCGCTGGTCTCAGCTCGCGCACGGGGGTGTCGGCCGCGCGCCCGGTCGCTTCTCCGCGGCCCCGGCCAGAAGCATTTTTAAAGTCAAAATGAAGAACAAAGACATACGGGGTGATGGGGGAGAGAAAGGGAATTCTGCCTAACCGTTCTTTCCCCCCACCCCCACCCTCGCAAAGCTCGTTCCTCCCCGGACGAGAATCGCCGGGCAGGAGGTGGGGGAGGCTCTGGTACAGGTTCAAGTTCGCTGAGCTTTCTTGATCTTGTTCTGCCTCCTAGCGACCGAATGGCTCATTCAGCCCACATAGCAGAGGCGGGGGGCGGGGGGGTGGTACTGAGGACCGGGATGGCTCCTGCCCCCTCTGAGCACCCAGAAAATGAGGACAGAAAGAAGTGGCCCCCTCACCCCCTCCCAAACTGGCCCTTTAACCCCGGGACAGGAGGAGGGGGTACTAACCCTCCCAGCCTAGAGTGTCCCAAGATGGACCCAGGAGGGAGAGGGGTACGAGGGAGCAGCCTGGACTGCGCGCCCCGGTCTGTCCTTTGAGCCCCCACTGCATCCTTCCGAAGAAGGGCCTGACTTTCCCGAGTCCTGCGAACACTGCCCTTCCTTCCCGCCGGTACCTGGCCGGGCTGTAACTTCACACCGCCGCGCGCCGCGTCTGATCCGCATCCGGCGCGGCCGGGGGAGTTGGGGGCGGGGGAGAGCGGCGAGGGAGGGATGCGAGGGGGTGGGGAGAGGGAGGGCCGCGCAACGTGCCGGGGTGGGGGAGCTTCCGAAGTGTGTGACAAGTTCCAGGGCCCAGTGAAAAATTAAATTCCCTGTGCGCACCCCCCACCACCACCCCTTTAAAAAAACACAGAACCAAGTATAGGTGGTCCTTTAAAACTGCATCAAAAATTTAAAGTAAGAATCATAAATTGAGTAGGGGGGGAATGTGGGCCCTCACGCCTTTCTTTCCCTTGCTGCCAAACTTTCCTAAGTGCCCACCGCCCGCCTTTCCAGGCGCAGTCAGCGGGAGACAGCCACCACCACCAGCTCTTATACAGACTCACAAGAACCTCAGACCAAGCCAGGCCTGGGGAAGAGGGCAAGACCCAAAGGGTGAAGTGCTCGGGGTCCCAGGATCCAGCGCCCTTAAAATGCACACTCAAACACACTTCTCCCCTGCCCTTCCCCGGCAACCCCGCCACCTGGCCTAGTCGTGCTCGGGGCGCAGGGGGACTGGTGACCAGACCGGGCGGGGTGGGGGGTGGGCAGGGAAAGCACGTGGTGACCTCCTCGCGGTCCCGAGCTGTGGACAAGAGACGTCTGAGAAAGTACCCAGGGCGGAGGGGAGGGGAGGCGCAGAACGCGCTTTTACAGTTGCCCTGCAAAATAAAAATGCTTTGCAAAGCCGAGTTTCACCCAGCCGATTTCGCAGTCTGGGAGGTCGAGAAGAGGTCTCGGCATTGTGCTGGGGGCGGACCAGGACCACGGGCCAGGCTGGCGCGGAGACACTGCGTGGCCTGCCGCCGTGCCTGGCGGGTGGGCGCCGGGCGCCGGGTGGGCGATCCGGGGCTGGGCTGGGGCGCGGCGAGGTCGGGCAAGGCCCGGGCGAGGCCAGGCCGCCGCCGCCGCCTGCTCCGGGGCTGCCGCGCCGCGCTCGGTCCTCTGTCTGTTTGTTGGCAGGAGGCTCCCGCACACGCGGTGCTTGTAAACATTCAGACACGAGATTTTTCCCAATCAAAATCCACTTCCACTTTTTTTGAAAATCTTCCAAAAAATAGTAAGAGGAGGGAGTTCCTCTCTCCCTCTCCGTGCCGTCGGCGCCCTAAGTTTGCAACTGAAGGGGTTTGGGGGAAGAGGGTGATTGTAAATTTTTTTCTAGATGAGAGATTGTGAGATTTTTGCAGGGGGGCTGGTGGGGGAGTCAAAGAGAAGGCCGTCACAGAAAAGGGTTGGCAGAGCGTTTGGCTTCGGTTTGGGGGCAAGAAATTGTACATTCTCTTGCCTTGTTTTATTTATTTTATTTTTATGTATTTATTTATTTATGTGCCAGTCTTCTCCTTGCTGCCTCTGAGGTTCGGTCGGGAGGGGAGGGCAGCGGCAACCCAGGAGGCAGCAGTCCGGGCTCCCTCCCTCCCTCTCCCGCGTGCCCCCGGCCGCCTCCTCCCCCGGCCCTAGCTCCTGCCCTTCGGCGGCGGCGGCGGCGGCGGCGCGGGAGGGCAAGCGCGAGGAGCCGGCACAAAAGGCAGCGGGACAAACACCCACCTCTGGCCGGAACAAAAGGCGGCAGTGCCGGCCGCGTCTCCCGTCCTTCCCGGTCCCACGGCTCTCCCCGTCGCCGCGGCCCCTCTCCCGACTCCGCGGACTCAGGAGCGCCGGGGGCCCCTTTCCACAGTGCCACTTTCTCACTATTGTGGGGATGACTACTTTCCTCCCGCTGCACACTTGACCGTGAGCGCGCTGGTGTCCAAAAGCCAGTCTCACCTCTTTTCTCCCCGGGAATCGTTTTTTAGACTTGTACTCACTCCCTCCCTACCCCCCCATTTTCTTACGGTGAGTGGGAAGCAACCTCCCTTTCCCCACCAGCTCCCACCCCCAGGTTTGCATGTGAGTTGTTCGCAACCTTAGCATTGTTCATTATTTTGCAAAACTGGCGGGGCGGGGGGGGAGTGGAATCATTGCATTCCTTTTCGAAAAGAGAAATAAAGCGGCGGAAAGGAGGAAAGAGGAGGAGTCAAATTTTTGTAAAATTAAATAAAATTAAAAGGTGCGTGCTGTCTCAAAAGTGCATACACGGCAATGGTTCCAGATGGGATGAGGGTTTTTTCCCCCTTTATCTCTTTTACCTCGACTCTCGGAGGTTTTTCTCGTGAAAAATTTAAAAATGCATGCACACACCCCTCTCTCCCCCTCGCTTTTGCTTCTAGTCCTGCGCGCTCTCGTGATTATTAATAATTATTATTACTATTATTGGGTTACTTACGCGAGAATTCCCGTTTGCTTAAGTGCTGGGGTTTGCCTTGCTTGCGGCGAGACATGGTGGGCTGCGGGGCGGGCGGCGGCGGCGGCGGCGGCGGCGGCGGGCGGACGACGGCTCGGTTCACATCGGGAGAGCCGGGTTAGAAAGAAGGAGACTCCAGAGAAAATATCTTCATCAGTGCCTTTTGACATCCAAAATAAATTAGAAATAATACAAAGATGGCGCAGGGAAGATGAATTGTGGGAGAGCCGTCATGGCTTTTTTTTAAGCAAAAAAAAAAAAAAAAAAAAAAAAAAAAAGAGGGAGAGAGAGAGAAGAGAGATAGAGGGAGAGAGAGAGAGAGAGATGAAAAAAATGGCAAAAGCCCCCCTGAGCTGCAAGTTCAAGTGCGGACGTGACGTCCCTGCGAACTTGAACGTCAGGAGTCTGGATGGACAGAGACACACAAAACATGGGCAGGGCGAGCAGGAGAGAAGGGGAGGAGGGAAGGGGAAGCTCACACCAATGGACACACATCAGGGGCTGGACATGAAAAAGAGACCAGGACAAGCCAATGGCCAGTGCGGGGAGGGGGAGGTGCGGGGCGGGGGGCTCCGCGGACGCCAGACGCGGCCCCCGGGGGAGGGGCGGGCCGAGGGGAGGGGGCGCTGGGGCCGCGGGCTCACCAGTGGCCGCAGCGAGCGCCGCGGCGGTGGCGTGGCCGGGAGAGAAGAAAGGGGTGGCAGGGGTGGGAGGAAAGGGTGGGGGGGAGCAAGACGTGCGCCCTGCTCCCCCCCACACACGCGGACTCTAAAATGAAAGATTATTCAAAAAAGAAAAAAATAGAGCGAGAGTGCACCGGGAGGCTGCAGCCCCGGGCTGGGGAAGCGCGGGCGGAGGGAAGCCAGGTAGAGTTGCTCCCGGACACCCTCCTCCGTACGCACACCCACTTCCCCTCCCCGCCGCCGCCGCGCTCGCTCCCCGCGTGTGGACGCCAGGGGCCGAAGTAAAAGCCCCGAGCCCGCGGCTGCGCTCGGGAAACTTTGCCCGAGGAGAGGACAGCAAAGAAAAATCACCCGAAGTTGAGAGCTGAGCCTCCAAGTTACAGCTCCGCAGCGGGCGAGGGGAGGTGGGAGGGAGCGCACGGCAACGCGGAATCCAGCCTAAGTTTGGAGGGCTGCGGGTCCGGAAGGGCAGCGCCCAAGTCTCCAGGAGCCCGCGCGGCCTGGAAAGAGGGGACCGGGGAGAGGCAGGCGGCGCAGGCCGGGGCCCGAGGGCGCCCCCAAGGCCGAGCCAGGGACCGGGAATCTGAGCGCCCCGCCAAGCGACTGGGTCTGAATGCAACTGAAAGCGCCGAGTCCCCGGCTCCTAAGGGTCGCAGAAAGAGAGCCCGAGGAATAAAGAACGAGGAGCCAGAGTCTGGCCCCCGGAGGGGAGCGCCGGGGGCCTGGGCAAGAGAGGCACCGAGGCGTCCACCTCTCTGAGAGGCCGAGGACAAAGCGCGGGCAGTCCCGGGAGTCCCAGTCCCTGGGAATGTGCTCACGGCGCCGCGGGAGGTCCCCGAGCCGGGTCCCTGGGAGGGACACACCCCCTCCCACTCCAGAGCAACTGCAAAAGCACAGAGGGATGGGAAGAAAATGTTTCTTACGGGCAGAGCACAACTGTTCCTGTGCTGTTACCCAGGGAAAGAGAAAATGGGAATGGAGAGAGAGCGACAGGCTCGCAGGAGCAGCGGGGAGACCACGGTGGTGAGATGACCGCCTCGGGTCACCGCCGCGCTCCCCAGGCGCCGCCGGCCAAGGCGCACACCCAGGAGCCAGCAGCCCCCTCTCGCCTTTCTGCAGACGTTCCCTGGAAATTAGGGAAGACCTGTTGGAAATAAAACCCTGTCTCTTTAATGCACACACGCACACACACGCGCGTGCTGCCGCTGTCAAAAAGCGGGCTTCACTCTGGCGTGGGATACTTTCAGTTTTACGTAAAATGTACAGCAACAGCACCCCCTGCGATTGGAAAGTTTATTCAGAAACGTGCCTGTAAAGTCCCCTGGCGCCTCCCGCCTCCCAGCCTCCCTGCCTGCCAGCACCACTCTGCAGCCGCCGCCGCCGCCGCCGGGGAGATCGCAGTCCGATTCCAAATCTGGAAGGAGTTGGGGGGAGAGGAGAATGGACTCAGGTCCAAGGGAGGTGCGGAGGGTGCAGGGTGGAGACGGGTCGCCATGGCCCGCGAGACCCTGAGCTGCAGGTGGATATGTGTGAGTGTGTCTGCAGAGCGAGGAGCCCTCCTTCCCTCTCCTCGGAGCGGTTCCACAACCCCCGTCTTCTCATCCCCCTCTTCAGTCTAAAGGGTGTCGCTTCCGTAAACTCACCCACCCGGTGGGGGGGCTTTATTGTTTTAAGCGAGGGCCCCGGGCTTGCACGCGCTCACCCATCCCGCAGCCCTGCCGGCAAGCGGCTGTTTATTCCTGTTTCGTCTTAGTAAAGTTTCAAGTCTACTGTGTTAGAAAATGACTGGCTTGCCTAGCTCGGCGGAGCTTCGGACCCCTCTAAGGAAGAAAAGGAGGTTTTGATGCTCAACATTGAGAGAGATGTGGGCTGTACTGGGATTGTGTCAATGTGGTTTGTTGTTTGTTGTTGTTTCCCTCCAGTTTGTGGGAGGGAGACCTCAAATTCTGTTTAAGAAGCGGGAGGATTCACTAGAAGTTAAGCTCTGTAGCTTGTGTGTGACACCATTTCCCCTTTTCACTGAGTTCTTCAGAGCAGGTCAGCATCTCTATTCCACCACAGTCTGCTTTTTGTCTTGTTAAACCAGCCTTGGAGTCACCAAAAGAATGTCTTCTTGGGGGGTGGCGGGGGAGGACGACGTGGGGGACGGTTGGAGGGAAGGTGAAGAGAGGGAAGAAGAAAGTGCAACTGGGAGGCCTTTGAAAAATAAATAAATAAAAGAAAAGCCCCTTCAGGTAACAATAGTGAGCCAGATTCTTTCAGAACCAAGCTTTTCAGATTTGAATATTGTTCCCACCCGTCCATAAAAGTCCATCTATAGAGAAGATATATAAATGAGCGAGTGAGTGTTGTGGAAATATATATATATGTATGATTTATATATAATGGTGTGTATAAAGCTTTTCGGGGTTGGCTGTAGTGTAAAAAGTAATGACTTTATTACCTCTGAAAGGTTCTGTGGTTCACATTTAACAGTCTTCTGAATTACAATTCATTACACAATTGTGTGCGCTCTGACGATGGCACCCTATCAGGGCTGCTATCTGTGGCTATTTCCAATAAATAACTGGCAACATTTTATTGATTTTCCTTTTTAAAAAAAAACATAGGAAATTAAGCACTTAGTTACAAGTAGGTCTGCTATGTTATTGCACTTGTTTCAGATTCCAGGGGGTTCCTTCCTAAACCACATCTTAAAACATACATTAAAAAGCCAGTTTTGCAGCTGCTTTCCCTGGGTGCCAAAGGAGAGGTAAGCAGCGACGATTCCCCGACATATATTTAATTTCACCATCATAATATGCCCAGGGTGAAATGGGAAGTGCCCTCCGCTCCCGCCCCTCCCCCAGCCAGATTTCACCCAGTCCAGAAAACCACGGCTGTGTGTCGGCATTTGATCCCTCCTGGTCGTCGACCCCCCTCCCCGGCCCCTGGTGCCCTCCCCTAGGGCGACAACCCCTCCCTCAGCACTGCTGGATGCTCGCTAAAGAGCCCGAAAGTGGGGGAGGGGAGGGTTTGTATGTGTGTTTAAAGAAAGATGTGTCGTTTTAAGAGATTTTAAAATATTACGTAAGTATTGATTAATGATGCAGGTGGTTTTGTAGAGGGGGTGAAAGGTCACTTTAAATGCGCACACTTGGATACACAATAAGTATATTTACCTTTCCAGAAGTGGCTTTTAGAAAGTAATAAATTATGACAACGTTAAAATTATTTTCTGGCCGTTCAGTTAACTTCGTTTGGGGCTGTAGAGCTGTTGCTGCTCCCATTGAAAGGGTAATTACGTTCCGTGGGCTCTTTCCCAAACCTTTGGTGACGACACTGCGTGTAAACTCCAGGCCAGCAGACGACCCCTCCCCTTCCCTCCTCCCCCTTTTTATCTTGCCCGCGGAGGAGACGCCCCAGGACTTCCTGCAGTATATATTCTGCCTCTGATCTCCGTACTTAATAGCCAAGTCCTAGTTTATGCTTTATAATGTGTTGACAAGTTTTCTAACAGACTTTCTGAAATAATGCACATATATTCACGTCGGTTAGAAACCCACCGTATTTTTAGAGTTGAGTAGATCTATACCCTAATGCAGTGAGAGAGTGTAAATCATACAGGATTTCATAGTCCTTTCAGTAGTTTTCGGTATGAAGTATGAGCCGCGTGGCCTCCAGACGTAACCTTTTAGAAAAAAAAAAAGACAGTGCTTTTATTTTATGGTGTAAAGTGCTTTTAGCTCAAGGGCTCTGAACGTGAATGTGGTCAACAAACAGCTCGAAGAGGGAGACTTAATACAGTCCCAGCCCTCGGACCGAGGATCGCCTGGCGCGAGGAACTCGGGCTGAGCTGGAAGATGAAGGGTTAAAAGGTCTGTCAGGATGGAAACTACAAGATTAAAATAAAATATTCACTGTCTGCCTTTAGGGGGAAACACCTTCATAGACTCAAAGATAAATAAGTGAATGACTGAATGAATGATTAAAAATACAATCATTTCCTTCTTGATTTTTACTTTAGCCTTTTTTCTTCTTTTTATTTCTTTTCTTTTAATTTTTATTTTTTGTTTTTCCTAATTGGCAGGTCACAAAATAGAGAACAGGCAGTCATCTTCATAAAAATAAAACTTAGGTTTGGATTCTATGCTTGGCATAGGTTTTGTATTTTGGGTCTCAATGATGGAAGTGCTAGGCTGTTGTTAAGACAAAGGAAAAATGAATTTTAAAATGTTGGGAATGGCTGGGGGTGGTGGCTCACACCTGTAATCCCAGCACTTTGGGAAGCCGAGGTGGGAGGATCACTTGAGGTCAGGAGTTCAAGACCAGCCTGGCCAACAATGTGAAACCCCATCTCTACTAAAAATACAAAAAATTGCTGAGCATGGTGGCGCATGCTTGTAGTCCCACCTACTTGGGAGGCTGAGGCACAAGAATCGCTTGAACCTGGGGGACAGAGGTTGCAGTGAGCCAAGATCACATCACTGCACTCCAGCCCGGGCAACAGCCTGTCTCAAAAAAATAATAATAAAAATGTTAGGGAGTTGCTTGTGGAAGAGGATGAGCTTCTTTTTCCTCCTCTACTCCCAGTGTGACCCACAGGTTGGGAGGTCCCTGGAGGACAGTATCTATACCTTCTACAAAGGCACAGACATCTCTCAAGGAGGCTCCTGGGAGAACCATTAGTCTGGCATCTTTCTCTCCAGGCTCCCTGGGCCTTTAGCTAGCTAGCAGTCAGCGCTTCAAACACCTGAATGAACCTATCCAAAGAAAAAGGAAAAGGAAAGAAGGAAGAAAGGAAGGAAGGAGGGAGGGAGGGAGGGAGGGAGGAAGGAAGGAAGGAAGGAAGAAAGAAAGAAAGGAGGGAGGAAGGGAGGGAGGGAGGAAGGAAGGAGCGAGCTGAACCTGCTCTAAGTCTATACTTTCCTCTAGATGAGGCTGCTGTGTGCTAAGTCAATAATGTATGGGGAAGAGGGAGCAGTAGTCTTACCACATAAGTAAGGGGCCCCTTGGAAGAGACAAAGAGTTCTAGTTAGAACGCTACTGAATGAAATGCTCAGTTTAGCTTCCTAATATTGACATCAAAGACACAGAGGTGCTGGGCAATGCTGCCAGTCCAATGAATGTACTGCACTAGAGAGTTCCTAATGCAATAATCAGCACACAGTAGATGTCCAATAAATGGTCTTTGATAAATAATAAATTAATAAAGTTATCTGATAAATAATAATTTGATAAATAATAAACTAATAAATCCTATCACCACATACATGAAACCAACATAACCATCCAAATTCTATTCATTTTCCCCCAAAACTAATAAGGCTTTGATCAGGCAACCCTATTCCAAGAGTGTGTTTAAACATAAAAGTGATTCCCACCAAGGATGGTGAGCTCAGAAAAGATTATCTCGAATATCAGAGCAGCTGAACAAGTAACAATACAAGATATTTCCATCGTCTCCAGCAGCATACATTATCAAATATCTTCCAAATAAGCCAGTATCAATAAGCTGGTATCAAATGATTTCTTTTTTTTTTTAACATTGCTTTTGGATACGTACAAAACTGCTTTCTCAAATGAGACTACTTTTAAAGGAAAAAAAATACAATCAAAACAACCAAAAATAAAAGGTATTTCAAACTTGATTCTCTATGCTTCCCTACCCCATGCATCTTTTACCTTTAGCAAGGGAATAATTTTTTAATACGTGTTTTTCAAACCCAATCTTAAAAACAACCTTCACCTATATGCCTCTCTCTTTCCCTCTCTCTCGTAAATAAAAAAAAAAGCAACACACACACACACACACACACATCTGGTCTGACATTTTGTACAGCCAGCTTCAGCCCAATGTGATTTAAAACAATGTGAGTTAAAAACCTCTTAAAATTTGGGTTTATAATGGAAACGCTGACAGACTCTTAATTATAGCAGCCCTGCCAGACACTGCTATAATGAAATAGTTGTGCTTTCATTACTATAGAGGCACTATAGTTAAGGGTCTGTCAGTGTTTCTATTATAAACCCCAAGTTTAAGAGGTTTATAACTTGGGCTATTTAAATGGCACTGGGTAGAATTCAAGTTATCAGTCCAGATGTGAACTTGTTTTATAAAAGGCAGAATAACTCAGCTGAGGAAGCTTTTGGATCTCTCTCTCTCCTCTTTCTCTCTCTCTCTCTCTCTCTCCTGTTTCTCTCTCTCTCTATCTCTTCTGTTTCTCTCTCTCTCCCTCTCTCTCCTCCAGAACATTTCAGAATGTTTTTAGTAGTTTCAGATGGTCTTATTGCCAACTTCCAGCTATGACTTCACTGCCTGAAAGGAAATTTTATAGGCAGTTAGTCCTTTATTTGGACAAGTACTCTTTGCGATTTTATAAGTTTTTATTATTTTATCCTGGAGTATGTATGTGTGGGTGTGTGTGTTCCTACATATATATAGGCGCACACACAGAAAGAAACAACTTAAAAATCAAGACTATATGCCAAGGAATGTTGCGACCTCATACATATACACAGAGGTATGCATTCTGTGCTACCTTCTGATGAAAAAGTATGAACTTACCAGAAAGGAAAAATAAAGCACCTCAGATCATCTTAATCCTGTCTACCAACTGTGTGGTAAAAATAAGAGTTAGTATTCACATCTTATTTCATAAAAGGTACAGCTTTCCTGGCATCACTTGGTTTGTTTGGAAGGCAATAGCATGGTGCAGTCATCCTGAGTTACCCAAGGACTGTACACAAACACCATGTATTTCTCTGCTTGACTTTGACTGTTGACAGATTGATGAAGAATTTACTTTGTATAATCCGGTGGACCAGAGTTTTGAAATATGTACTATTAACCTGGTATACCACCACCATAATATGAAACTAATGTTTATGGGTGATGATGTGGCCGATGCTGAGTATATGCATGAGGAAAACAAGGATGGTGGTGGTAATGATGATGATGGTGGCGATAGAGGTGGCGGTGGTGGTGATGATGATACTGGTGGTGATGGTGATGGAGAAGGTAGTGCTGATGGGGTGGGGAGTGGCAGTTTCTCTAATTAACATGTCCACCAGAGGGCAGTAGAAATAGGATGAAAGATGGGGTAAGGTTAGAAGCTCTAACACTTTGTTTCTCCAAATCTTGTTGCTTTAGAAAAGCCACTCCATAAACATCAGGTGGCGGACAAGTTAAAGTGAAGTTTTTAAATGCATGCAGCTCATGGCACCTCCACCAAAATGTGACCTTGGCTGGATGTTGTTGGCAGACCCTAAGGTCACTGACTTCACACAGAAAGGCCCACCAAGAGCTATGCAGCAACCACATCTGCATTCAGAAATCTTTTCACTTTCAGAAGAGCAGTTCCTTTCCTCTATTCCCTCTGACTGGGATCAGACCACCAAATTAGGCCACTGAGGACCACAGGCTTTGATCGTTCTCACTTCACAATAGCTTTAGTTGGTCTCCTCTGGAATTCAATGAGTGACAAAAGGGAAGCAGTCATCAAAACATGTCACCAGGCTCAAGTTCCTTCTCTACCAGTGTCTCATAAACCCCATAATTGCCTAACCCCATAACCACTCCAGCTGAATGCCAGTCATTCCCAGAGAGCACTGCACAGCCCAGACTATTCTGGTCCCTTCTCTAGAAATTAAGACTTTTTTTGTGTGTGATAGTCAATAGTCTTTTTTGGTTTTTTCTTGTCAAATTCAGCAAAGGGAACTTTTCTAGGAGAAAATACCTATCCCTCTGTCATCTTTCTTTGGCAGCTTAGTAGAGAATAAACAAATCTCTCTATTCTCCCATTCCCAGTTGCACACAATTTGCCTGTTTTCTCTTTCTCTTAAAAAAAAAAAATCCTTGCACAAGTTCAGTTATCTGAACCTCCAGATTCCTATAAAATGAAGAATCTGGTCCTAAGAATTGTTATTCTTTCCTTCTTTATGGAGCACTGCACTGTGCAAACATAAGATGTGGTCCCTGCTTTTGGATGATTGGTTTTGTTTTGTTTTGTTTTTTAAGGCGGTAAGACACACATACACAGGCACAAGCATGTCACATAAAGTTCACCAGTCACACATGCCAAAGCCATACAAATGCACACTATTATCCTATTTTGTATAGCCCTAGCTTCATATTACTAATTTGAGCGGTTCTAAACCTATAGCGAGGATCTATGTGAGGCAACACAGCTCTGGTCACTCTGACACCAGATTTGTACTTTCTGGAGAAAAACTTGATTTCCCATAAATGAGAATGGTAAATAATGAGGTCTGGTCATAGATATCTGTGATCATCTATCTCTATCACAGTTTTTATAATGTTTTCAAATGGCTTAACTAGTTACTTTTGAGAAATGAGCTTTCTGTGCTACCACTTGTTTTGTAGGCAATATTATGGACTATTCCTAGCATGTATTTGTGAATGTGCCTTTTTTTTTTTTTTGAGTCGGAGTCTCGCTCTTTCACCTCTGGAATGCAGTGGCACAATCTTGGCTCACTGCAACTTCTGCCTCCAGGTTCAAGCAATTCTCCCTCCCTCAACCTCCTGAGTAGCTGGGATTACAGGTGCCCACCACTATGCCAGGCTAATTTTTGTATTTTTTTAGTAGAGAGGGGGTTTCACTATGTTGGCCAGGCTGGCCTCGAACTCCTGACCTCACGTGATCCACCCACCTCAGTCTCCCAAAGTGCTGGGATTATAGGCGTGAGCCACTGCGTCCAGCCAATTTTTTGTTTTGGTTCCCTAACACATAGTAGGCACTTAATACATTTCCTGAATCAAGGAATGAATTCCACAAATATATTTTCAGTTGCTGCTGCCAGTGAAAAAGACATGGGTATTTGCGTTGCTCACTAATAAGTACTCAATAATTGAAAATTATATTATTTTATTTCATTTTTTAAATAGTTAAGAAACATGGGCCATTTGCACTGCTATTTAACCTACATATTATAAACTCCACACCCACTTCCATCAGGGGGAAACAATTACATGTCTCTCTGTGTATATTCCATATAATATCTGTGTATATATGTGTGTATAATATCTTTGTATATATGTCATAAAAGCCACCACATCACCCAAGTCCTAAGTTGTTAGAGCTTATAGGGCACAGTCTCTGTCATTTTCATCTTTCTCTCCCTCAGCACAGAGTAGAACCTTAGGAAAATGTCTGGTACATGAACAAAGACTTACAAAGTAAACCACTTAGATTCCCAGGAACTTCAAAATCCTATCTACCATAGACAAAATGTCCTTTTTATTGTTCTCAATTCTCAGATTTTGAAATGCAGCAAAATATTCAAACAGCCAAATTTCAAGAGCATCATAACAGAGTAACTCTGAGAGACTAATTCTGGAGGCTGATTCTCCAGACACTACGTTCTTTAAATATCAAGACCTGTCTAGCTGGTTTTCATTTGCAACAGGCAAAGCTCACAGAGCTTTATATGGGCAACCCCCTTCCCATACACCCCCAAACAGTGATTTTTTCTGGCCTGGCTCAGGGAGCAAGGGAAATATCAGTATATGCTCTTGACATATGATGAGTAAAGAAGTATGACCTTCTCTTCTCAAAATATTGAATCTTGAACTCAGAGCTTAATTAGTGGATTTTTAAAATAAACTAAGCTTCTGACTACAAATATATTAGGGGAAAGCATATACATTATTTGAATATTAAGCACATAAGGGGGTTTTGCTAAAGATTATAGATCTTTTGCTTGTATTGATTTAAAGGTTCTAGAAAATTTTAAATATGCTCATTTTAAAACATGTTTTATAAGAAATCAACTCTCCTTCATGGGAACATGCAGCTTTCCATTTTTTTTCTTTTATTTTAGCATAAATAAATCAAACAGAGGCAGCCTCCAACCAAAAAGGAACTCCTTTCTTTTAAAAAAAAATTATATGATTTTAGCTTTAGTAATGTCTTCAGAATTCCAAGATGGATCGTTTCTTTCCACTGATGTTCACATTTAAGGGGCTGGATCTCTTTAACTTAATGTGACCAAGAAAGAAATTTAAATACTGAGTCCATACTTGTGTTTTCAGCTATTTTACCCTCAGTAAGATTGACATGATATCTGATTTGTAGTAACAACCAAAATTAATACATTTATGACAATGCTAAAAAGTTGCGCTTCAATACTTACAATTTTTAAACATTTTAGAAGGAAGAAGATTGTCACTATGGATGCTAAAAGGGACAAAAAAGCCCCTGATTTCAGTTGGTATCTTTTATTAATTTTTTTAGGAATGAGAGATTAACCAACAACCAGGAAACAAATATTAATCCTGAGGTACATTTTTTTCAACACAATACCAAATGCCTAAACATTGTATGTAAACTTGCACTGAAATAATAAGATGATGGCAGTAATTATTTCAGTGAAAATTTCCCCGGCCAGAGTAACAAGCAGAGAGATCACCTAATGTTACACTGAGAGGTAGAATACAAGAACGCGTAGTGCTGTGGTGACTAATGGGTGATAAGAGAATCCTTCTGCTTGCTGTTTGGGCATTTATGTCTCCAGTATTATTGATAGCACATATTATTTTTACTACATGGTGTCTTTATTATGTAAAACCTAATTTCAGGAAAAATTATTTTTATCCTCTTGATTTTGATAGGCATTTGCATAGAAAGGGTAAGATGCAGAGAAGGCCGTGTCTTGTGGAATTCCACTATCATGAAGGATGTGCTGATGATTGCTAATACCAGTTCTATAAGCACTGTGTACACCGGCCATTTAAAAGAAAAGGAAATTAAGTACAATAGACTTGTGATAAAATAAGAAAGAGGTTCTGGTGAAGATACAGGGAGGAAGCAGGATGACTCAGAATTAGAGCTTCAGTCTCATCCTCCCTGAATGTTCCTGTGTCCAAGTATCACCAACTAAAGAGTATATGAAATCTCTCACTAAACTGAAACCCCTGGTGAAACAGCACATTAACTGCACCTTGGTCTTGAGGTGGAGATAAGATTAGATTTTTCTGGGTGTAATTTCAATTATGATGCTGACTTTTGGTGGAGTGGTTTTCAAGAGAGCAAGCAGAGTAACAAAAATCTGGCATCCAGAACCAAACAGGCCTGAGTGTCTGGACCATGGACAGCTTCCACAAAGAGGATCGGTCAAGAAGGGCTGAAAGAAAAGGTATATCAAAGGTATCCTTGGAACTCAGAGCCAATAAAAATGAAACTATTCTCTTCTGAGACCTAATTAACTTTTATATCCAAAGGTACACTACACATTTGTTCTTTGCTTATGATGAGAACTAAAACAATATATGTGCCATGGAACTAGGGTTTTAAATGATCTATTGGGTGGCTTTTCCTCGCCTGTAAGGAATTTTCTGTTCTTTAGAGGTAGTCAGGCAATGAATAAGTAAGTCTATGCTGATTTTTTTTTCTCAAAACATTAAGTATTTTCCTATATCTATTTTCAAGGAATCAGGGACTTAGTCCTATAACTTCCAAAATATTCCTTTCGTATCCTAAAACAAAACAAAAACAAAAATATTCAGGAAACAAATTTCATGCTTCCTTGCAAGGATTAGTCTCCTATTAGTCACTGCTCCTATATGATCCTTTTTCATGTTTTAAAGGAGGATATATATTTTTCTGTTACCTTTCCTGACTGTAAAGCAATCACAGGAACCTGCAGGAGGCACTATAAATATGCAAATTTCTGAGAGATAACTGTTTTCAGTGGTTATGCCTCCAAGTAGTAAGGGAAACAGGAAAGCCGGAGCTTCCTCCTACTTTCAAGTAATTCGTATGTTGGTGGTGCCCCCTGCTGCAATCACAGGTTGTCCAAGAAAGGGAGAATAAAATTCAGAAGCATTTAGATCTGGTTAATATGTGAAATAAATGCCCACTTCCCCTGCTCCAGGAACAGCCATACCTGAGTTCAGAGTTCCTCCCGTCAGCCACAGTTCCACTTTAAACATTCCTCAACCTAAAATCTGGAAATTTGCTTTTATCTCAAACCCTTTAAAGATGCATGTTACATAGAGATAGGTTTAAAAAAAAAAAAACTCACCAAGATCCCAAACACCATTTTCAAAGAATGAAATGTTTTAAGAATTTCCTAGAGGTTACCTAATGATAATAAATTCTGAATTAGAAGAATTTCCTGCCACTTACTAGGACATTAGAACAGAAAGGGAAAAGTTAGTGTTAACAGCATGTACAGCTATTACACAGCTTTAAATGGCTTTATCTATTAAAGGAAAATTTTGTGAGTCATTAGCTTATAGTGTAGACTGGACATTTTGATATTCAAAATAAAATGAAATAAAATAAATAAATGAAACAACCAAGTTAGGCACATTGAAATCTGATGGCCATAGCTCTATAGTCACTCTATTACAGATTTTCATATTAAGATGGGCAGGGCGGGGGGTAGCTGACAGAACAGAATAATATGATATAATTCAGACCTGTGATGGTCTATTGAATACATAATATGCATTTTTAAATTGCCTGAATATATATTCACATGACAGAATCTAATGGGTTGAGGAGGAGTCCTTGCTCTGATCAAATCACAAAAACTGTTAAAACTTGTCTATCACATCAAATCACATACACTTTTATTGAAATTGGGTGGGGTTTTTTTGTCTTCTTATTTAAATTCTAAAGTTGAAATAGATAAAAGGAAATTAAACCTACCAAAAGAAACTCAGGTGTACATTAAAAACTCTAGATTCTGAGCCACCAAGGCAAGCCTTGATGAAAGACACTCAACTTTTTCTGTTAGACTCACCTCAATCTTCCCCAAGGCCCCACACTCCCTAATTTTGCTATTTTTTAACATCAGTTTTAGGAATATAAGCTCTCTCCTAATGTAAACATCTCACCGTGGCTACATACTGAAGTTTGAATTTCAACTTAGCTCTGTACTTCTTTTCCATATTCAGATCTTTACAGCTACAGCAAAGTGGAGGACTGAGGAAATTACCTATGTAATTTCAGCAATGAGCCTGCCTTTATCTGCACCATCCAGGAATCTTGTATCCTGTGTGTTGAGCTCTGACCTGAGGGCCCACAAGGAGAGAAAGGGAGAGAAACTGGTGGATGCTATTTACCAGGCAGAACTAATTAGAAATAGATCCCGATATTAATGGTACCAACCCTTTCCTCACCCAAAACTTAAACAAGCACCCATCACTCTATATGATCAGGAGAATTTTTAAACCCCTACTCCAGGTTTTACTGCCACAGAAGGTGAACTGTTAGAAAAAGAAAACCAGCATGCACAAAACAGCAGTTGGGAATGGAAGCTCCTCTTTCCCAGAACCCCTGCCATATACGCTCTGTCGCTCACCTTCTAGACACTCCGTACAACCATTCAATCTATTGAATCAAGAGACTGTTTGATCTTATCTGCATCTGTGAGCTGACTGTCAACCTGCTTAGGCTGCATATTAAATCATCTATAGTAGCTGTATCAAGCTGGGATGATCTGTTAATTCTAAATTTATTAACCCTTGGAGTGCAGTCATCATGTTTAATCTAGTGTAGCCCGCATTTATTTTACAAGACTAAATCCTTCTTTAAGATATGGCTGTGCTGTAGGTTAAAAACAGCTAATGTGGGTTTCATTATGATAATTGGGGGGAGAGAGACTGTCTGAAAAATGCTAGTGTGGCTACCCTAACAGGCTATGGATGTCTGATCCCAGGCACTCTCCTAGGCTGAGGTTTGCCTGTGAAGTGAAATTTTCTCCAGAAACAGTTCAGTCTCTGAAAACAATGCAAAAGGAAAAAGAGGAGGGGGAAGAAGAAAGGGAAGGAGTCCTCTAACAGATTTCCAATGGTCCAAAGCCAGAAAGACTGATTTCCAGCCAGTGTCAACCCCTAATGTAATGCCTAAGGAATAAATTTCCAAAGGCACACACCTGGGAAAAAAAAAAAAAAAAAAAAAAAAAAACCTCAACAAATTCCTCCAGTAAGTCAAACTTCTGAATCAATAAGGATCAGCTATTGCTGGAATGAATGATTTTTCACCTCCCCTCCCCCAAAGAAGAACTCTAAGCAATTAGAATTATAGGTAGTCCTGCTAAAGGGGAGGGGGGGAATATTCGTTTAATATGTTAGTCTGTCTTCAGATAAAAAAAAGATATCCATCTCTTCTACTTGCCCATTACTGATGTTATCAACATATTCATAGCTTTTCTTTCAGACACAAACTGCTAGGCATGCTCCCTTTTTTGGTAACCACGTGCCTGATATCTCTCTAATGTAGCCTAATAACAATTTTAGCATTCAGATGAAGCGATTTCATTCTGTGACTGCCTTTTCTATTAGATTTGATTTTGAGAAGCCCCAGTGGGTGCCTTCGAGGCAGAGATCTATCTGTGAGGCTGCTACCGACTCAATAGCAGCCTGGGCTAACCTTGACCTTTCCTGAGACCCCGCTCCATCTGGTGCCAGCCTGCTTTCCACCACCCCCCCTCCTTTTTTGCTTCATAGTCAACATTGATCAAGGCAGAACGGAGCGCCTCGTCTCCTGGAAGGGCTGGGCAGACTCAGGAGAACAGCACATTTCAGTATATGGAAATGATCAAGCCTCTTATGCAATCATAAATCTACATAGGAGTCTTGTGATTTGATATTTCATTCACCTCCAAAGATTTTTTTTCTCCCTCCCAACAGGGATTTATAAGCTCTGTAAGAGCTCCCGGACAACGGCTTTCCCCAACACCTGGAAATTATCAAGCTTCCTGCTTGCTGAATGATGCTAACAGCTCTAATGCTGCAAATTCATTTTTAACAACTCACTGGCTTTTATCTAGGATTTGTGTGTGTGTGTGTGTGTGTGTGTGTGTGTGTGCACATGTGCCTTTCTTTAATAAAAATCTACCAAAGCAACGGATAGTATCAAAGATACCAAAATCAAATCTGACTTGAATATCCTACATCTCCACACCCATCCTCATTATGCATTTCTAGATAGATGGGTTTTTCCATCTCTGAATTCTGACCCCTTTTTTAACCATCAAGAGGGGAGAGATAAAGAGGGAGAGAGGAGAGTCAGAGAAAAGAGACACAGAGGAGAGAGAAACAGATGGAAACATGCCAAACAGAGAGAGGTAACGATGTAACACTTGAATGGAGCTTGAAATCAGCTTCTCTCCTCCCTAGGCCACATTCCTCCTTTCCCAAAGACCCACACGAACGTCTCCTTCTCCAGATCACCCACTAGAGTACACAGATGCCTCCTCTGCCCCACACTCTCTTTCTTTCCTCCTCTTCTCTCTGTATCAGGGGCTGGGTGGTAAAGAGGCTGACTGAGGGGGAGTCACGTGGGCAGCCCGTGGGCAGCGGCGGCAGCAGCTCAAAAGAAATTGACTGACTGGCCGCTTGGGCGCATTTCAATATATGGAAATGACCAGAGGCTTCTGCAATAAATCAGCACTCAACACTTTGTCATTTTTCTAGTTCTGCTTCATTTTCCTATTTTCCTCTTCTCCTCACAGAAGCCTCATTTCTTGCATTTTGCCTTGCCGCGTCTCTTCCCACTTCCAACCTACACCCTCTCCAAATCTTGCCCCATCCTCTCCATCGCTCCCAACCACCGCGCGCCCCCACCCCCGACACACACACACACACACACACACACACACACACACACGCACGCACACACACACTTTCTGTTCTCTGGCTCCCCTGTAATTGGAAACATCCGGTCTACGACGATTTTTTCCTTTTCTTTCCCTTTCAAAAAATTTTCCGACAAAATCAGGCAGTATTTGCTGCCCTGCCTCGGATTATCTGAGACAAGAGGCGCCCAGGATGAGCTCATGTAATCCCCAGGATGGGAACCTCAAGCCCCTTATGATAAAGAAAAAAGAAAAAGACCAGGATACTCATTCCTTACCCCAGCCCCCACTCCACCCTCGAGGAGTTCCCTTAGCAAACTTAAAAGACTATCAGAAGCAACTTGTGCCATGCAGTGCCATGGAGAGCGCTGGATGGCTAGCCAGAAGAAAAGGGAAGGTTGTAGTGGAAATCTACGTGGGTTTGCAGGTTCCTGCTTTTCTTGTGTAGAGCCTCCGGTGCCCTCCACCTAACCCTGCCCCAATGCCTCGGGTCTTTTTTGAACTAATGCTGTGCGTCTCCGCAATCTGCAATTACTTTGGATATTTCTCAGGAGCTAAACGCAGCCTGAATTTCGTGGCGCGTGCAAAAAAAAAAAAAAAGGCGAAATTAACAAAACCCCACCACCGCGCTGTTGTTTTTTTCTGGAGTTTTTTTTTTTTTTTTTTTTTAGTTCGGTTCAGAAGCAAACGCTACCTAGTTTCTTCCACTCCCTCCCAGATCCTACTTGAGATCTCTAATCTTTCAACTTGGGTCTCTGTTTTGCCTACTGGGCAGCCTCTCTTTTTTTTTCTTTCTCTTGGATCTAGGAACAATAGGCATGTAAAGGGTCAGTGGGCATCACCCTATAAAGCTCAGAACCTAATTAATTTTATTAAAGGAAGATCTGTTTATGCAATATGACAGCCTGGGGGAATTAACCATTTGAGGACGCAGACGCTGTTGAGTCACCAGAGATTCCATCCTCACATCATAAGCTTATACTTCCTGCCCCATTTGATCCTGGGCGGCACCGTGATCCGGGTCTGGTTTTTGTTTGACCTTGTGAAGAGCTTGTCTGAATCCCGGGGTTCTGCACAATTGGAGGGACACCCGGAAAATCCGTATATTCCCATTGCCAGACGGCAGTTGAAGTGCTCACCCATTCATAGTTTGTTGTCGTGACAGCCCCAAAGCTCTCACTATTTGGAACTGGTGGGGAGGTGTGGGGCAGCGTGAACCTCCGGTGCATCCTAGAGTGGATATTTTCTTGAAAATAATCTGCTTAGAAATCACATTCTATGAAATCCAATATGCCTTCTCAAGAGCGAAGGAAAATGTAACAGTTTTTAAGTTATTATTTTTTATTTTTTCCTGCCACTCTGGTAATTTGAAATACATTTTTAATAACCTCCTGGAAAAAACCAATTTAATAGTTCAGACATATTGTTCTTTGACTTAATATCCCTGTGTATTCCTTAATTGCCAAAACAAAGTTTATTTCATTTACAAGGGCTAACTGTATATCTCCTAGGAATTCTAATGTCATAGTCTCATGGTTTTTTTTTTATATTATCACCTTGGATTTTGTTCAACATGGATCTAGAAACGTATAGCATATGTATAGAAATAGATATGATAAAATATTCAAGAGCTCTCTGAAGGAAAATGTGCTTGAAAATAACCCCCTCTTTTATGGAATTTGTTTTGATTTAGATCTATAGATAGTAAAAAGAATGAAAGAAACTGTGAATTACACTGAATCTAAGATGTTTATCACTTTAATATTACACTTCCTAGCTTCCATGTTACAGAGCTTTAGGAATAGTCCCCAAACTTTCAGATTGAAGCTCTGCCTTGTACGGTCTGAGGTTTGTCTGGAAAGACCTGCCAGCACATGCCAGCTAAAAATGAGTGTCAATTAATAATAATAAAAAAGCTCCCTTATTTCTACACTCATGTAATTTAACAGGTTTGGAGAGGAACATAGGATGACAACAGTTGTGAGAACATTCCAATATATGCAGTTCTAACAGCTTTCATTCTAAGACGCCAAACCTTCCGAAAATAGAATGGCTTAACATTTCTTTTTTATATTAAAAGTCCAATCTACACTTCACATAAAATGTTTTTTTATCACAAAAATATTTGTCTCTAACAAAATGCACTTTTTGTTCTACCAAAAAAGCAAACATCTTGAAACAGATTCTCCCAGCTTTTTACAGCTCCCCATGGCAATTTTCTGTACTATTTTCAACTGCCCCTCCCCCATATGAGACACTTTGAACACTGGAATAAAAATAATTACTATTGAAACACTGAACTAGAATGCCCTGTTTCCCAATATTGCTAACAAAATCTCTAATTCTCAGACTGCTCTCTGATGGAACTAGGAGAATTGGGGAACTTACACTGATATTTCTAAGTGCAGTTTGTTGTTTTAAAAACATATTGTACTGATTAATAAAAATGTGAAATAATTTGAGTTACAAATTTTGAACTACGAATCGCCATCTGCTCAAATGGGGGAAAACCAAAAATTGCCGAATATATTTTCTCACCTCTTTTTTTTTTATGATAACATAAACAACATTCCTGAATAATTTAAAAAAGAAACTGACTACACTTAATGCATTTTTATAGTTCAACAACTGCTTGGTGAGTCCACCTTCTCAAACGTGCAATTATTTTTTCCTAATTACTTACATAGGTTCTATCAAAAGATTCAGGTTCTAGTGCTTTTCCCACATATTGTGCAAATCTGCTTAGCTTTGTTTATCAGGACTCTAAGTCCCTGGGTTGATATGATAAAGTAGACTGCATTGTGCAGTAACCCCAATTTGGTCCTCGGTGTCAACTATGTCAGAGACCTGTAAGAACATTCAAAGTATCCTCTGGGAGTGGGGAGAAAAGAAAAAAGTCTCCATGAACCCAAACTTGGAGGGAAAAGCACAACTATCAAATAGATAAATAGATACAAAGAATTGTGATAAAGAATTATCTTATCTTTTTGTGGGAAAGAAAGTAGGTAGGTGGATCTGCCATTCAGGGCTATTGAAAGCAGTTGTTGATGGTCTGGCATCCAGGACCCAGTGGAACTTACTATTCCCCCAGCAGAAGAAACAGCAGAATACAGATCATCTAGGATGTACCAAGTTGTAAGGATTCAAGCAATGAAGATGATGAGCCAGGAGCAATTGGTACAGGGGGTGTAATAGAAGATCTGATGGAGAGGCAAATGTACTGTTTTTAAAACCATATCCTAGGCTTCCACATGACAGATAAAACAAGTTGATTTTCAGGCATCCTAAAAATAAAGAAATTCAATTCTATTAATCACAGAATAATATGATGTATTTTCCTTTCCTTTTTTTTTTTTTTATTTTTCTTTAAGAGAAGAAAACTCTGACTGTCCAGGGAGGAGAGGATGCCTCGTTTTTCTTATAAACAGACATTGGCACCAAGATCAAAAAGCCAGAAATTTGTAAGTTATGTCTGCAATAATCACCCTTTGCCAGGGGGAGGGAAGAGTGAGCCAAATGATGTCATGTTGTCATGCCTATCACCGTCACTGTTCAGTTTCAGTTCAGGTAAAAATGAGGGTGTAAATTCCCAGGCCCCTGGAATGATGAGGACGTTGCTTCATCGTGTTGGAGTTGGGTAGAAGAAAATGAAGAACTCGTCAAAAAATGCTTCCAGACGACCTTGAACATCAGCTGCTCTCTTTCTACTCAAAGTATAATTCCTTGAACATGGCAGCTGCTACTTTTGTTTTGATTTGTTTTTCATTCATAAACAATCTCTCTAAACTTATAGAATATTGAATATTGTGTATAATGTGAAATAGGAAGTTCTCTTATTTAGAGTCAGTTCAATACCAGGTGCTTTTGAGTATCAGAAAACTGTGTCACATGTTGAGGGGACCGAAGACAAGTTAACAACAAGAAAAGGTCCATGTTGCGGAGTGGGTCAGAGTCCAGGGGAGGGACTCACATACAAGTCTGACTGGGGAACTGGCAATAGGTAAGAGGTCAGGGAGGTGCCCCAAAGCGGGAGAATTTTCAACTGCTGGGGAGGAATGAGTAGGGCTTTGCTACATGGAAAATGTGAGAAGAGCACTCAGAGTGGAAATACTGGCCTGAGCCTAGAGCAAGAGGCTCAAGCAGGCCTGGTGAGTTTGGGGGCTGCATCTTGCCTGATGTAGCTGAAGCACAGTGGAGTGACAGGAAGATGTCTGCAAAGGGAGGTTGGGGCAAGTCTGGGGAGAACCTGGAATGTCGTCATTCACAGCCTTGACCTGAATCTCTAGGCAAAGGAAAACCATTAGAGGTTTTGGAGTAGGGGTGCTGGGTGACATGCTCTTTGGAAAAATTGAAAGCTGGAGGCAATTTAGAGAATGGCTTGAAGCAAGTTGTTCTCTGCCATTCAACTTATTTTTCTATTTGCCAGTCTGCAGAGGAAGTGGCCCATATGCAAATGAAATGATTTGGACCTCACCAGGAATGAAATATTCACCATCTTCTCTTTCATAATTGACGATGATGCTTCTGATGGTGATTTCTATTTACATACACAGGATGGCTGAATCTTCTCATAGAAAGTCTACTCTTTGAATGCTTCTATAATTGGACTGTCTAAGAACCTAATTCATCCTTCCCTGTGGGGGCCCCAAAAGTTTTTACCTCTAACCCCTTGACCCAATTTGCCAAAAGGTAAGACTCAAATTTATGAAGGAAATCCCTCTTCTCCACCTCTAGGAAGAAACACTTGAAGATGTCTAAGCCTGCCCACTATACAATCACATTCATTCAGCATCCACTATATGCACAACCTTTTGCTGAATCTTCTTTTAAAAAATGAACCCAAATAGAGATATTGAGAAAACAAGGATGAATAATACATGACATTATACATTTTAAAACATTACCTAAAATCAAATGAAAGAGTAACAATTGCTATCTGTTAACCGGTTGGATGGTGAGCTGGTTTTTAGCACGACATCCCTGGTGCAATAAAGCTAAGTTTTGTAAATTAAAAATCCTTTAAAATTAGATTCTGTTTTTACAGGGCTGGAGAGACCAACTTACAGAACTTTAACCATGAAGTTTCATGGCTCTTGTCTTACTTTTCTAGTTCTATCCAGTAGAAAATAACAGTATGAAAAATGGGACACCATGCTGCATTTCAAATAGCCTTCTGCTAATTAGAAAATTACCCTGTATCTTCATAAGGGCTGCCAGCATTGTTTTAATATGGCTCTGCTAATATACCGAAGGCCCTAATTTAAAAATCTTGTATCTTGGCTGCTAAAATCACTGCAGGCTGAATCTTGTCATACAGGAGGAGATTTTGTTTCTCAGTCCAGGGCATGGAGCATGATTGGTGTCAGTTTTACACGCCTGGAATGTGTGTGTGTTTAGAGGGGTGGGAGGGTGGAGAGACAAAACAATTGTCTTTAAATGCCTTCTTCTTAGCACACCTTAGCTGTGATCCCAGATCGGAACCCAGTTCTCTTGAGAATGAAGGCTGCTTTGACATGTTAGTAAGGAAAAAATCAAGTAACTCAAAAATTTCTCTTACAGGATTTAGTTAAAATATATATTTATGTGAGATTTAAACAAAGTAATTTCTGCTGTATGTTTACAATTGATATGTTTGTCTGTTAAAATTTTTTTTGCTGTTTAAATAAAATCTCTTAATAAGAATGAGCAAAATGTGTGGATCCAGTTATATAAACACACATTCACATGCATATCAGCAAATATTATGTAATACATAGAAATATACAGTACATCCACTTTGATATCAAAATTGAACACCTATGGTCTGACTTTAGAAAAATGTTAGGAATATCAGACTTAAATTCTTACTTCCATTCTTAATTATGACTTGGTATTATTTTTATATGCTTCCCTACTTCAAATATCAAACAGTAAAAGCTTTCATGTGTCTTACATATTCATGTCATACCACAGGGTCAAGGCCAAATGCCAAAGAGTCGTGACACAAAAAAAATACCTTTCAGCCTGAACCTCGAAACATCAGCCTTCACTTTATCTGTTTAGGGTATTATTTTAATGTAAATTGGTATATGGATATGATATTACTCAAGGGAAGAGATATTCATAAATAGCTATATTTCTGAGATTTAACTCAGAAAATTAGTTTTGGTCTTTTATTTTTATCTTCTTTTGCTAGCTGTACTTTCAAAAATGGTTTCTCGTTTAAACAACTTCTAGTTCAACTAAAAAGTGATTATACCCTTGAGTTATTCTTATTTAAATTACAGGCCCATAAGCATTTCTTTTCATCCTTGGCAAAAATTAAAAAGTATCAACTTAAAATGTAAAAGCATCTCTATCTAAGAAACAAGTTTAATAGTTTACAGTATATGGCAATTTGAGTGTGATGACTACTTCCAAGCTCTGTAAGCATTCATTAGCTTAGTTTCCTCCCGTTAGCTTGCAATAAAAATAATAATATTTGCCATTTAGTAGGGGCTTTTCACCCTCAAAGTGCTTTACAGGCATCAAATGGTTTATTTATTAATAATCTATGTTTCTGCTTAATAAACTAGATTTCTGTTTACAATCAAAGGGAAAATTAGAAAGTGTTCCCCTTGCAATAAGTAAAAGAGTTGCTAACAGACTATCAAATTATGTATTTATTTTGTCCTGCCCATTATTTTAAAATAACTTTCTCTTAGCCAATTAAAAATTTCAAGGTCCTAGGCAATGAAATAAAGCAGTCTGTTTCATGTCTGTTTGTTTTACTAATTTGAAAGGAAGTAGGTAATTTTCAAAATTTTTACCCCCTCAATTTATTCATGCAAAAGGAAACTTGGTTTCAGATATTACAGATTAGACACCAAAGAGATTTATCTATTTCCATTTGTGTTTATAAGAACATAGTGGATCTGTGCTGGAGGTAAGGGAGCCTCTGGAACCCCTAGGGTATCAGCTCAAAGGCCCTGGATTCTATTCCAACCTGAGTGGGAACTGTAAGCTAATATTTTAAAGACCTAAGGCCTCCAGGACATTTGAATTTTGCTTCTTGGGCTCTGGCTTTAGGGCAGCGGTTGGATGTGGGCAGGGGTTAGCCTGGCCCCAAGATAGGTAATCTCTACAGAAGAAATCACATAAACTGGCCTGCGGTTGGGGGGCTTAGATGATACCTATAGACTCAGAAATAAGGCCACTTCCTATAAAACCCCACACCGTTTTTCAAATTGACCTTCCCCATCTCATGATATGCTGTTCCCTGAAAACTAATGCTTAGTTGAAACTACTTATGATTCTATTTTGACTTTACCATCCAGAGTTCTCATGAGGAACATCTGAAATGTTGCAGGCTTCTGGAGATTTCTTTGAAGCAGTGCAGAATAAAAGGAAGATAGAAACTAGTTTACACAGAAGTTTAAAATGGCTCATTGTCCTGCAACTTAAATACATAAATACAGGAAACATCAGAAAGCTTCAACACATTAGGAAACTGTTCCAGTCATGCCCTATGCTATCTTTTAAGGCTTATAGGTAATTATGATAATAAGAATGTTACCAGGCCAGGCGCGGTGGCTCACACCTGTAATCCCAGCACTTTGGGAGGCCGAGGGAGGTGGGTCACATGAGGTCAGGAGTTCAAGACCAGCCTGGCCAACAGGGCGAAACCCTCTCGCTACTAAAAATGCAAAAATTACCTGGGTACGGTGGCACACACCTGTGGTCCCAGCTACTCAGGAGGCTGAGGCATGAGAATCGCTTGAACCCGGGAGGCAGAGGCTGCAGTGAGCCAAGATTGCGCCACTGCACTCCAGCCTGGGTGACAGAGTAAAGACTCTGCCCCCCCCCAAAAAAAAGAATATTACCTTATGTGTGGTGATACTTTATAATCTTCACTGTATTTACACACATATATTTTTTCATTGAAACATACTTTCATCTCTTTTCACATTGATTTTGGCTTGTTTGCTCTTTAATATTTTCTGTTGTTTTTCTTCTAACTGATAAGAATGGGGTAGGGTAAACATCACCCTAGCATGTTTGCACAATGCTGCCTTGTTATAATTAAGTGTATTTTTCAAAGGCCTCTAAACCAGTCATAAAAATTTGGTCAGAGCTAAGCTTGGAATGTTAAGGTCTGATCCTGCAAGCGAATTCTCTCAAACACCAAAATAACCTGAATTTTGGGCATTTAAAAATATGCACTCATGAAACATAAACTCTCCAAGAGGATTTCTGTTTTACAAAATGATTTGGTGTGCCTCCTACTCTTATTTATGCGAAGAATGGATGTGTTCAAAGTTAATTTTGGTCTTTTTAATGGTTGAACAGAAGCCCTGGAGGCAGAAATAGGACTTGTGATTCACCTTCAGTTTAAAAGCGCTAATTTCTGCCTTCTGGGTGCCTTTATAACAACTTGTCCCCATCTTTGGCATCAAAAAGCAACTTTCGAGTGAGAGGGGAGGAAAGGATAGAGGGAGCCAGCCCCCTCTCCCAGAATACAAGCCTCCCTTCTGACGCTGGCTGCGAAGGAGGCTGAGAGAAACAATTTGCAAAATATCCACAGGCAGGACAGAGGTGGAGACGCACCAGCATTTAACAGCTCCTTCTGAGAACACCCACTGAGGTCTGTCTCCTCCCACTGAGGGCCTTAACTCACCTTTACCATCCCTGTAGAAACAGAAGACTAAGTAGGTAAGAGGACCCACCTCTCTCTCTATAAAAAGCCATTTGCTGCCTCATCCCTTATCTCTTTCCAAAGACAGCAGTCATAAAAAAATAACATTGCAAAGTTGGGCAGGAATGGGAACAAAATTGCAATTCAATTGCTTTTTTTTATGTTTTGTAAAATAATGGCAATAAATTAAATAATCAAAATATTGAGCCCTACCAACTGGCTTCTGCCACTTGTTCAGTGACTTCTTTTCATCAGGAAGGTTGCTTTACATACCAATAGGTATTTTTAAAATTATCTCAATGTCTATTTAAATGTGCTGCACCATGAAGGCCTTCTGGTTTTTTTCAGTTGAAATTAATATTTGCTAATAAAAGAACTGTCAGGTCATTGAAGTAAACATTCATTGATGTACCCAAAAGAACAGAATGTTGCCAGTTTTTATTTGCGTGGTATCCCTCTGCCCGAGTCAGTCAGTTACCCAGCAAGGCTGCAGCTCTGGCCACAGCCGGACATCAAGCTCAAGATATGATGAAGAGCTACCTCCCTGAACAAGGAACATAGAATATTGAATTAATTCATTTCACAAGCCCTATATGCTCCTGGCAAAAGCAAAGACACTGTGTGGGCTGGATTTTGCATTTACTCATAAAGTTTAAGGTGTTGGCTATAAGAATGACTGTCAAAAGGCGATTGCAGCATAACCCATGAGAATAAAGTGGGGAGACTCCGGAGGAAAAACTCAATCTCACACCTACTAAATTTTCATATCTATTTCAGGCATAAATGGATTCTGAAATTTTGTGGCTTAAAAAAAAGAAAAAGTTCCGTGAACGCAGCAGAAACTGCAACGTTGAAACATTTCAGTGTGGAGATCTGGAAGCACAGATCGGATTTTGGAGCTGACCTGGGCATGTTTATGATCACAGTCCAAATCAAACATCACAGACCGGATTATCAGCCAGGAGCAGCACCCCTGAAGGTCCCTGTGTTCTGCCATGCGACAGCTTTGCCTGGACCTCAAGTTCTCTTCCTCGGCCTTCTCTTGTGCCTTTGCATTCCTACCTCAGGAAGACCCATACAATAATTGAAAAAACTGAGATTTGGTAATACTTTTCAAGGATTACCAAGTCAATTACTGAGAGGGAGAAAAATAAAAAGGAAATAGTTGAGCATCACATGCTAGGGCACATTCAATTCAAACAGCTCCCAGGGAGTTAAAATTCTCTCTATATGGTGAACAGTGTGTGCTTACATGTCGCTGGCAAGCCCACAGCAGTTTAAGGTAATATTTTGGTCAGCAGGTGTAGACCCCAAATGAACAGTGGTTTAAGACCTGGATTGCAAGAGGCAGGCATGTACCGAAATTAGAAAAGCATTCTCAGGCTATTGTTTAACATTCTACATATGTGAGATACAGAATGAAAGAATGAGAATTATCTTAAAATCCCTGCTAAAGCAGGGCCTGCTTTCTCAAGGCAATCTCAAGCTTTAGTAGTTCAGACAGATTCTCTAACTGACAATTAATATTAATAGGTAGATTTCACAATGTGGCATTATCACACGGGAGATGGGTGGGCACACCATCTGGGTTTTGGCAGGTATTAGATGTAATCAAAGGGATTACTTGGCTCAGGGAGAAATAGAAAACCTTGGGTTTGTTTAGTCTCTTTCCTCTTTTGTTTGGACGCAGCTCTAGGTGTGCTTAACTATTTTCCCCCTTGTTCTTTATTTGTGGTCGGCAACATCTCCAGGGGAAAAGAAACAAAAACAAAAAGAGATGGATGGACAGCCCACAACGATAGCTTGGATATGGAATCCTGGCCCATTTTCCCTTCTTACATAAAATTCACCAAAAATTTATTGAATGCCTACTATGGGCAAGGAGCCTTGCCAGGACACCTCAGCTGTAGGGCAATAAGATGTCAGCACTTACAGGTCTATTTCTGGATGCTTTAGAATAGGTAAAAGGGCATATTGAATCTTCAAGGAGAATGTAATATTTCTTGATCTGTCTTTGCCCCTTGCCCACCATGTACCTCTATCCACACACACACACACACACACACACACACACACACACACACAAATGTTACCTGGAAGATCAAAAGGTGGATGCTAAAAGGTGGCATCCACCTCAGATTTTAGAAAACAGTCACATAATTGCATTGCTTATTGGAAAGATTCAATACACTAGACCAAGGAACCTATAAGAAGGTATACATGTTTATTTTCAATAAAAATAAATGGAAGTCGTTGATTGGTTTACATTCTTGGAGGAGACAGGTGACGAGGCATTCTTGAGGTACCAGAACCCTGATGATTGCTGCTGCAGGTAACTTGTGAATTTTATGTTCAACTTTTGCTCTGATGATGAGTGAGAAGTTGGCTTGCCACCAAGACATTCCAACTCATGAAAAAACACTTCTAATTCCCCAGTGTCTCTACCCAGGACTGTCTTGCATCCCACAGATAAACACCACCCTAACACACAATGATACTGCCATTGTTTCATATTTATCACATGCCCAGAGAAAACAGCAGTGACAGAACCTCAGGCTGGACGGTCAAGCTCCCGCAGATACCGGCACTCCTCCACGCCTCCTTCTGAGCACACAAGACCGCAGAAGATCCCAGGTTCCTTCAAAATTATTTCTGGTAGGATGATCTTGTCCCAAGAACCCAATGTGTGGGATGTATATACTTAGCCACTTAATAGATGACAGTGATTAGCCCCAAACTTTCTGTAACAATAGATCAAAGATTAGGCAGTCCCATTCGCAGGACTAGCAAGGCATTGTAAGGACCTATTTCATCTTCACCTTCATTCTCATGCTACGTTACTCCACACGCAGGGCACCCCCTAACCATCTCCCTAAACAGACAAAATAAACTCAGCTGGCACCACTTTTTCTTTCCCAGCCCCCCAGCCACTTCCAGGATCTTTTCGGGTGTAACAGGCACATGATCCATGCTGTATGTGAATCTTTATAAAATTTTACTGTCAACAACATAACTACATATTCTAGTGCTCAGATCGACTTGAGCCCTTAAGACTGCAGGGCCCACTACAAAACCCACTAGTCACATGCGACTACCTAAATTCAAGTTTATTAAAATTAAATACAGTTTAAAATTCAGTTCTTCAGCCACACCTCAAGCGATCCATGGCCACGTGTGGCTAGTGGCCACCATATTGGCCAGTGGAGACAGAACATTGGCATCATCCCAGTAAACTCTACTGGACTGCGGGACTAGAGGGTGCCAGAACACGAGAGGAGAGAAGTTTTCCTGGACCCCTGCAGAGCTGCGCTTGGAACAGCCAGGCCCAGATGCTCACGAGTTTGCAGTCAACCTAAATGCATGTCTCCTCTGCACCCGGGACACCCAGGCCCTGTAGCCTTTCAAATGGGAAGTCAGGGCAGTGCTGCAAAACCTCCACAGTGCGGAATTCCGGGAAAATTCTTTACAGAGGTGTGGAGGTGGAGGAAAGCTTCCTGGGCAGGCCTTTGGGGTCGTCCCCACGCAGGCGCTTGCAGCCACCCCAGCTCGCGCGGGGCCGGGCTTTGGGGTGTGAGAGCTGGGACGGGAGTCGGGTGGATGCCTGGCCGGAGCCGCCAGCTCCCCTCGTCCTCTTTGCTTGTCCTTTAGCACAAGGGCGAGCAGCGTAGGACAAAGACTCGGGCGGCAGCTGCCTGGTTCGGCGCGCAGGGGCGGCCTCGGCCACCCGGGGCGCCCGCCGCCTCCACCGCCCCGCGGGGGAGGCCCGATGCCCGTCTTTGTCTGTGCCGCCGCCGTGGGCCGGGTCCGCAGGAAGCGGGCGCCATCGTGCGGCCTGAGCTGGACACTGCGCCCCCGGAGGCGCGGAGGCGCGAACCACCAAGCGTGGCTCCAAGCTCCACGGGGACGCTGGTGTCATCGTGGCCACGACTGCTTGTACTGTTGTGGTGCGTTCTCTTTTGTATACTAAGTGCTGTGTGAACACAGAACCACTTCCAGTAAATGCAACTGAGCCGTCGCCAGCAGAAAAAGTAGAAGGAGGTGGACAGACTTGTCTATGTACAATGAATAAAAATACCATGATCAAGAATATTTAGTGATGTAGTTGCTTGCATATGCGTGGAATATATCTGGAACGTCACAAAGGAAAGTGGTTACCGTACCTGCCCTGGTGACCTAGGAGGGTGGCTCATGACTTCCTTGACTTTCGTACCATGTGCACATATTACCTACTCAAAACCAAAGCATTTAACAACCTAAAGATATATTTAATAAAATGTGTCGGTCAGGCGCCGTGGCTCACGCCTGTAATCCCAGCACTTTGGGAGGCCGAGGCAGGAGTATCACTTGAGGCCAGGAGTTGGAGATCAGCCTGGCAAACATGGCGAAACCCCGTCTCTACTACAAATACAAAAATTAGCTGGCGTGGTGGCACATGCCTTTAATCCCAGCTACTCGGGAGGTTGAGACTAAAATCTCTTGAACCCGGGAGATAGAGGTTGCAGCGAGCTGAGATTGCACCACTGCACTCCAGCCTGGGCAACAGAGTGAGACTCCATCTCAAAAAAAAAAAAAAAGTCTATGATATGTACCATGTGCAAATGTTGCTGAAGCCAAAGGTAAGTAAATGCCAAGTCCTTGCCTTCTGGGGACCCTGAGTACATGAACAATCTACAAGTCACAGAAACGGAATTAAACCATGTTTCAAAGGATGCTTGGTCAGGAAGGGTTTTTTGTTTTGTTTTGTTTTTTGTTTTTAGCTTGAATGACCCAGTTCAGCAGGTGAGGTTTTGCAGTCTTGGTGAGGACAGAAAATGTCTTCGTTGTCCTGATTCAGTTGGCCAAACTCTTCTTACCATAGAGTAAATTCCTCTAACTATGTTTGTCTCTGAAAATGCTCACCCCAGAAAGATAGCAGAAAAGTAGCATTTACCCTCTGGCTTATTTTAGAAGCCATGGGTAGAGTTGAAGCTCTCAGAAATGACACTCTGTGTCCTTCCAACCCAATCTTCTCTCCTAAACACTCCACCCCATCCTCTAACCGAAGTCCAAAGTACTCCAACAAATTTAACCTAGAGCCATGTACCAAGTTAGAATTGATTACATTTAAGCTACTTCCAATTACCAGAGCCTTGATTCTGTGGCATAGCCACAGAGTTGGGCCTTGTTGTGGATGGCCTCCCAGAGCATTTAAATCTGGCCAAGGAGCCAAGGTAAATGCACTGGGCCAGTGGAGCTCCTCCAGGCAGGGACAGCACCATCATCCTTTTTGTGACCTCCCCCCAGTGCCTCCATCAGTGCCTGGTAGAATACCTGGCACTGTATTAAACTGAACCCTAAACTTTTTATTTCCCTGGAAGTGCTCTGCAGAGTCATGGAAAAATGTTGAGACAGAAAGCTCAGCACTCCTGAGGTTGGGCTGGAAGGAGTGTGGGCAGCAGGGCTGCCTTAGGTGCTTAAAGAGTCTCTCCTGATCATAAAGAAGACGTGATCTGCATGCCAAATGGAAAAAGCTAGAGTCCTAAGAGCAGGGAGAGCAAACGGCTGGGAAAGCCTCCCCCAAGAGGAGAAAATTTAACTCGGCTGGGAAAGCATGGCTTTGGCCTAAGAAGGGAATGTGTGTATTCACATGTGTGTGCATGTGTGTGTGACAGCATGCATATGTGTGTGTGAACATGCACACGTGTAAGTGGCTGGGTCTGTGCAGTAAGCATTCGAGAATCCTGGTTCACCTGCCTGCTTGGAGCAAAGCATCTGATTTGGGGAGCAGGAGAGCAGGGGAGAGAGAGCTTATTGAGTCAAAATCTATATATAAATATACATTTTTTTTTTTGCCATTGGACCCTTGAGGACCAATTTATAAACAATAACTTCCAAAAATGCAAGACCTAACCCCAGTCCCTATCCTAGATCTCTGATGAACCTCTGAGGCATGAACAGGAGGGGCCTGGCCGGGCAGCAAGAACATGACCAGCATTTCCCTAGCAGTGGGGAAGGGAGTAGAAATGCATCTCAGACTTGCACGAGGCATGAAGTGGGTTAGCTGGTTTTCCTGTTTTCTGTAGAAACAGGGCGGATGCATCCTTCCATGTCCTCTGCTCCTGCCATGAGTTCTCTCTTAGACCTGCCTTGATTGTCCTGCTTCTGATGGGATAGACAAAAGAAATCAGGAACAGTAAGGAGCCTACTTCTTGGGAAAAACTGCTCAGCCAACTGGAAAGTACTTAGAATCTAAACTGCCCACTTGGGAAGGGGGACTAAGTCAACCTGCAGTCCATTTATTGAGTACCCATCAGCATCCTGCACCATGCTGGGCACTTTCAGGCAGGGTAGCATCTTCCATTTTATCTTATTGGGATTTCTGTGACCTAATGAGGGTGGCAATGAACCCAACTCCCTCTGTAACTCCAGAGAAGACAGTATGTCCACGGTACAATCCATGTTTGGATGGACAGTGTCCTTCAAACAGCTGCTTGTCAGTCAGGCGTTAGGCCTTGGTAAGCAAGTAGATGCCTCTTGCCTCAGCTGAGGCTTATTGGCCGTGTCAGGAGCCAAAGATATCCTCCAGTTCCTTAACTACCCCCTACACCACCTTCCCTTCTCTCCCCTCAAAAGAGAAGATTGGCGCCATTGGCTCCTTGAGGAAGACTTTGGCCTCCATGTGCATGTGTGTGTGTGTGTGCGCGTGTGTGTGTGTGTGTGTCTTCCCAGTGGGGAAGCCCTTTGCACTCTCGATGGGGATCCATGAAGCTTCTCAGCCTTGCCTTGGGCTCCCCTTGGGCTCCCCTTGGGCTCCTGGCTCACGGGAGACAGAGGTTGGTGAGAATTAATTGTGAAGTGCATTGAGAGGCACAAATGAAAACCAGTCCCGCGGCGGAGAGATTATTACTGTTGGCAATTTGGGTTTTCTAAAATAGCTCTTAGGATATGACTGTGGCAGCCCAAACCCCAGAGGTGAGCTCAAGGCTGATAGATTTTCAGAGCAGCCCCATTTTGCTCCAGTCTCCGGCTTCCCTTCCCTCCAGGGCGGGGGTGAGCAAGGCAGAGTGGGTCGTGGGCTGGGGAGCACTGTCCCTTCCAAAGGCTGCTGATGGGAGGGCAGCTGAAGGCTGACCCCACGTTCTTGAGAGAAGGTCCCCAGACTTCCCGGCATAATTTCCTTCTCACTTCACTGTTCTCTTCCCTGTCTGAAATGGCAGGTGACCTAAGAGGGAGCGGTGTGCAAATTGATTTGGAGGCGATCAATGGCTCGGGGCGCGGCCCCGGCTCGCTGCCGTGTCACTGATCCTCTCCAAATCGATTCACACACCATTCCTCCTCAGCACACCTGCCATGTCAGATGGAGAGGGACGCATGAAGTGAGAAGAAAATTACGTGTTCGTTAGGCCGCCGCCACCTCCGCCGCTGCCGCCTCTCCTCGTCCCAGCTCCCCACCACGTTCCAGTCCACTACCGCTTGCCTCGCGAGACTGGGGAGCCCTTTTCCATGCACGTGGAGAAAGAACCCAGAGGGTGACGGAGCTGCAAATATTCTTGCACCGACACCACCTCACTGACAGCCTCTAACTCAGGCAACTAAAAGTTGGCCCTCTCCATAACACTGGCTCCCAGAGCTTCTTACTCTTTTACTCTTCAAATTCTGTTGGGGACCAGTTTATAAACAGTCAACTTCATTGGTGGGCCCAGGGTCACTTGACATTTGAATTTCATTAATTTGAATTAATCCACCCATCCATCCCTCCACCCACCCTGTCATTCAACAAGAAGTCAACTCTGTGGAACCCCCCACTGGGTGTCCAGCAGTGACCAGAGCTCAGGCCTGCTCCTCAACATCATGAGTTACGACCAGGACAATCTACTTTGGAGAAGTCAAAGTATGCTCACAGGAAAGGAAGCAAGGAATTAAATTCACAGAAAGAGTTCTTTAGCTATTTAAGACAGAACTTATTACAGTGCTCAGTCCACTAATCATTCATTACCAGTCGGCTAGGGGCTCAGAGGGTGACACCAGAAGGCGAATACACTGAGACGCTAAGTTTTTTCACAGTAAGACTTTCTCAATGAAGGAAGCAGTGCATTTTACGTTCTGGTGCAAGCACTCCCGGACTGGCACGTTGAGGCAGGCACAGCTTATCTATTAGTCACAGTGGGCACAGTGCCCAAGCCCCAAGATACACTTAGGGATTGTGGTAGCTAAATAATGCCCCATCCCCCACCAAAGATACCTACATTCTGGTTCCCAGAAACCATGGACATTACATAGCAAAAGAGATCTTGCAGATGTGATTAAATTAGGGATCTTGAGATTGGGGAGGTTATCCTGGATTATCTGGATGGGCCCAAAATAAACACAAGGGTCCTTTTAAGAGAGAGGCAAGGAGTCAGAGAAACAGATGTGATGACAGAAGCACAATTCAGAGAGTCAGAGAGAGGTATGAAGATGTGAATCTGCTGGCTCTGAAGAGTCCACAAACAAAGCAATATGAGCATCTTTTAGAAGCTCAGAAAGGCAGAAGCATTCCCACTTTGTGCCTCCAGACGGAACCAGACCTGCCAACACATTGATTTCAGCCCAATGAGACTTCCAATCTCCAGAACTATAAGATCATGAATTTGTATTGTTTGAAGCTGCTAAATTTGTGGTAATTTGGCACAGCAGCAATAGGAAACTAACACAGGGGTCAACGACAAAAAGTTTTATTTTCTTTTCAGAAGAAAAAAATAAATTTTTAGGTCAAAGAAAATGTTCTACCATAAAATCCTAATATATTTCTCTTTATACCAATGCAGCTGTAAAATAGAATTTTTGATTTTTTTTATGGTGAGTGGGGCCCACAGAGACAAGGTGCCAAGAGCCATGGAAGTCCCCATGTAACCATGCTTTGAGTAGCAGTGATCACGAGGAACCCTGTCCCCACAAAATTCTAGAAGGATAGGAAAGTACATATCTGATGTACAGCTGAACAACCCATTTGACCACCAGTCTTAATGCAGCCATTCTGTAAATCCTTCAAAAACCGGCATTTTTAAACAGAAGTTAAGTGTGCTAAATTCATTTGCCAAAGTACATCCAAGTTACTTATTTAGAATACGGGAGGGTGGGTCTGCTTCCTTCTGTCTTGTACAGTCTTCAGTTACACAGAAATGGTTTCCCTCAAGATTAGAGGTGTTTCCTATTTATAACTGAGGATTCCTTTTCTTTGAAAAGCTCCCTGGAAGATTTCTGGATGACTTGGAAGCTAAATCAACTAAAAGTTTTTAACGATCTTTTAATCCTGCTTTTGTCTGCTCTTGAGCCACTGAAATCAAGATTCTTCCACAGGCAGAGAACCAAAGTGATTCCTCTCAGCAAACTCTTTGACTTACTGTCCAGGTTCTGACACATTCCTCTGCCAACAGCAAATAAGTGAGAATGCTTCCAATGAGCAGTGGCATCTCTTCTCATTTGTAAAAGGGAGTGTCAGACTGAAAATAGTGGCCAACTGTTTTAACCCAAAAAGCAAGAATTTCAGGCCAACTGCAGCCAAGTGGGCTATTCTTAGCTATGCATAGGAGACTGGGAGGTCTCTCTGTGGGTTGTGGGTAGATGGTTCAGGGTTTGTGACTTTTAAGTTGCTCTTGCAAATGTTTAAAGATGAACAAGCCCCTGCAGATCACATTCATCATGAACACTTCAATTCTATCAGACCTTCATGGCCCTTCTCAAACATCAACTTGTTTTTGAGGTTTCCCCCCAGTAACTCAGGAATCAATTCAGAATGATTCTTTCCACTCCTGATCACCCATGATCCCTTTGATCAGTGCTGTATTTATACTTGGATGACTTCCTAAGTGGTACTTGGATGTTACTTTTGCAGAGTCCTGACACGGTCTTCATCCACCTTGAGTTTTCAGAAGTATTTGAGGTGACCGCTTCTTCCTCCTTTTGTTTCTAGACCTCTGTGACACATACTTGCCTAGTTTTTCTCACACCTCACTGGACTTTTTAAATTCTTTACTGATTTCTTGTTCTCTAACAAATCTCTAAATGTTGAAGCACTCCAGGGTGCTGTCTTTTGTTCTTTTCATTCTCTGTCCACCTGTCTCCCTAGATGATCTTATATGGTTCCATGATTTCATGAACCATGGCTTTATCATAACTGCCAAATGCTACCTCCAGCCTGAACCTCTTCTCTGAATTCTGAACTCATATTTCCAACCATTCACTCAACAGCTCCATGTGGATGTTGTCGTGGATTTGTAATGTGTCAGCTTGGCTAGACTAAACTACGTGTTTCAGCACTCCCTTTCTTACACGCATGCTTCTTGGCATAAAATAGGGTTACATCCTGATAAACCCATTGCAAGTATCATAAATCAAAAATGCGTCTAATATACCTAACCTATTGAACATCATAGCTTAGCCTAGCCTAACTTACATGTGCTCAGAACACTTACGTTAGCCTACTAACTTACTCATATTTTTTTAAAGACAAGGGCTTGCTCTTTCGCCCATGCTGGAGGGCAATGGCATGATGAAAGCTCACTGCAGCCTTGAACTCCTGGGCTCAAGCAGTCCTCTTGTCCTAGCTTCCTGAATATCTAGAACTACACCACACCTGGCTTGTTTGTTTGTTTGTTTGTTTGTTGTAGAAATGAGGTCTGACTTCTTTGCCCAGGCTGGTCTCAAACTCCTGGCTTCAAGCAATCCTGCGGCCTCAGACTTCCAAAGAGATGGGATTATAGACATGAGCCATCATGCCCAACCTTCATTAGCTTATAGCTGGCAAAATCATCTAACACAAAGCCTCTTTTATAATAATGTGTTGAATGTCTCATGTAATTTATTGAATACCATACTGAAAGTGAAAAACAGAATGGTTATAGGGGTACCCTAAGTATTTTCTACTCAATGTGTATTGCTTTTGCACCATCATGAAGTCAAAAATCATAAGGAATTCTGTGTTCTGAATGTGCTGGAAACTTTTTTTAATAGAATAAAATTAAACTAGTAAGTCAAACCATCAGAAGTCAGGGACCATCTGTGTATTTTCAGTTAGGATGGGCTACAAAGGTGATTCCTGGAAGATTTTGGAAGGTGGAACAAAAGCAGCACCCATTTTATAGCTCACAGATATTATTGCTGATCTGCTGACTCATTTCACTGGTGTGAAGCAGCAGTTGGGCCTGCAACTGCACTATCTTCCCTGGGATCTTTCTTCAGCTTTTCTGAATCTTGAATCTGGTGTGTGTGTTTAGATCCAGGACAAAGGGCCCCAGCTTCTGCAGGATATATCTATCTAACAGTTTTATATACATATATACATACACACACACATATATATGTATAATATATATATATATACACATACATATTTTATATATATATATATTTCTAAAAGGCATATCAGGCTGGGTGTGGTGGCTCACACCTGTAATCCCAGCACTTTGGGAGGCCAAAGTGGGCAGATCACCTGAGGTCAGGAGTTTAAGACCAACCTGGCCAACCTGGTGAAACCCCATGTCTACTAAAAATATAAAAATTAGCCAAGCACGGTGGCTTATGTCTGTAATCCCAACTACTCGTGAGGCTGAGGCACAAGAATCACTTGAACCCAGGAGGCGGAGGTTGCAGTGATCCGAGATCCCACCACTGCACTCCAGCCTCGGTGTCAGAGCGAGACTCTGTCTCCAAAAAAAAAAAATGAAATAAATAATAATAATAATAATAAAAGGCATCTCAAACATCATGTGGCCCAAACAGAATTGCTCCATCACTGCTCCCTAATCTGCTCTCCAAAGTTCTCCCCATCTCAGTAAATGACAGAAGGGAAACCACAAGTTAATTCACCAATTGGTCCTGTTAGTTCTATCTCCAAAATACATTACCAGGGTAACTGCCTGTTGCCACCTCTACTGCTAAAATTTTTATTCCAGCCACCACCATCTCTTACCTGGGTAACTGCAACAGTCTGTCATCTACACTCGCAGTTTCCCCTCTTGTTCTATTTACAGCAGCCTATCCTTCACACAGTAACCAGAAAATCTTTCTGGATCTTAAATCCAAACCCTTCCTTCTCCTCCTTAAAACCTTCAATACCAGACCACATGTGGTGGCTCATACCTATAATCTCAACACTTTGGGAGGCCAAGGCAGGCAGACTACTTGAAACCAGGAGTTTGAGACCAGCCTGGACAACATCGTTTTGCCCATCTCTACAAAAAATACAAAAATTAGCCAGGATTGATGGTGCACACTTGCAGTTCTAGCTACTTGGGAGGCTGAAGTGAGAGGATCCCTTGAGCCCTAGAGGTCAAGTCCAGCCTGGGCAATAGGGTGAGATTCTGTCTCAAAGAAAAAAAAAAAACCTTAAATATCTTCCCACTGCAATCAAAATATAAATCCAGAATCCTCCAAGATCCTATATATTTTGACCCCTCATGCTCCTTGGGCCTCATTTCCCTGCACTGTCCCATTTATTCTCTATCTTTAGGCACACGCACTCTCAGACATGCCTGCTCACACCCTGGAGCCTTGGCACCAGCTGTTCCTCCTGCTTGGAATGCCCTTTCCTCAGGACCTCACTTGGCTCCCTCCTCACTGTTTAGACCTCAACTTAAATGTCACCTCCACAGAGTTTCTCTCCACTCTCACTTGCTCAGTTATCTGAGTAAGGTTTCTACCACATTACTCTAGTTTGTCTTTTTCATAGGCCCTCACTGTACATGAAATTATCTTATTGATATATTACTGTTTTGTGTTTCTGGAGTGTCACCTCTGTGGAATGTAAGATCTTTGAAGGCTGACAATCTGTCTGGTTCATTGCTATTCTCCAGAAGTAAGAAAGTGTTCTTGCAGGGAGTAGGAGCATAATAAGTACCTTTGACTATTTCTTACGTTGTTCCCTAACTAACTGGTTCAATCTTTTAACCTCTCCAGTGATAGTTTACACATCTTGGAAATCAAAACCATCTTCAGAAAAGGGAGATGTTACAACTGACACCACAGAAAGAGAAAGAATCATTAGAGACTATTCCAAACAATTATACACCAACAAATTTGAAAATCTAGAAGGAATGGATACATTCCTGGATACATACAACCTACAAAGATTGAACCATGAAGACATGGAAAACCTCAACATGCCAATAACGAGTAACCAGATGGAAGCTTCCCATCGAAGAAAAACCCAGGACCTGATGACTTCACTGCTGAGTTCTACAAAACATTTAAAGAACTAACACCAATTTTACTCAAACTCTTCAGAAAAATTGAAGAGAAGGGAATACTTCCAAACTCATCCTACAAGGCCAGCATTTCCCTCCTACCAAAGCCAGGCAGGGACACAATGAATAAAGAAAGCTACAGGCCAGCATCACCGATGAACAAAGGCGTAAAAACACTCAACGAAATAGTAGCAAACCAAATTCAACAACACATTAAAAAGATTATTCACCATGATCAGGTGGTATTCATCTCAGGGATGCAAAGATGATTCAACATACACAAATTAATACATGATACATCACATTAACAGAACCAAAAACAAAATTTATATGATCAATTCAATAGATGCTGAAAAAGCATTCAATAAAATTAAAATGTTAAAATCCTCAAAAAACTGGATAGAGGACGAACATATCTCAAAATAATAAAAGGCCATATATGACAAACCCATAGCTAACATCATACTGAACGTGGAAAAATTGGAAGCCTTTCCTTCAAGATCTGGAAGAAGACAAGGATGCCCACTTTTACCACTTTTATTCAACATAATACTGGAAGTCTTGGCCAGAGCAATTAGGCAAGAGAAAAAAAGAAAGGGCATCCAAATTGGAAAGAAAGAAGTCAAATTAGCCTTTTTCACAGACAACACGATCTTATACTTAGAAATGCCTAAAGACTCCACCAAAAAATTGTTAGAACTGATAAATGGATTCAGTAAAGTTGCAGGATATAAAATAAACATACAAAAGTCAGCAGCATTTATATGTGCCAACAGCAAACAATTTGAAAAAGAAATCAGAAAGCAATTTAATTTACAATAGCTACAAAAACAAAATACTTAAGAATCAGTTTGACCAAAGAAGAGAAAGCTCTGTACAAGCAAAATTATAAAACACTGATGAAAGAAATTGAAGAGGACACAAAAAAAGAAAGATATATTCCATACTCATGGATTGAAAGAATTAATGCCATTAAAATGACATTACTACCTAAAGGAATTTACAGATTCAATGTAATCTCTATCAAAATACCAAGTATATTCTTCACAGAAGTAGAAAAAAAATCCTAAAATATACATGGAACCATAAAAGACCCCAAATAGCCAAAAAAAAAAAAAAAATCCTGAATAAAAAGAACAAAGCTGGAAGCATCACATTATCTGACTTTAAAATATATTACAAAGCTATATTTACCAAATCAGCATGGTACTGTCAAAAAAAAAAAAAAGCCAAAAACAAAAAAAGAAAAACAGACACATAGACCATTGGAACAGAATAGGGAACCAGATAAAAATTCATTCATTTATAGCCAACTGATTTTCAACAAAGGCACGAAGAACATACAACAGGGAAAGGACACCCTCTTCAATAAATGTTGCTGGGAAAACTCTATAACTATATGCAGAAGAACAAAACTAGACCCCTACCTCTCACCATAGGCAAAAATAAAATCAAACAGATAAGAGACTTAAATTTAAGACCTGAAACTATGAAACTACTAGAAGGGAACATTGAGGAAATACTCTAGGACATTGTTCTGGGCAAAGAGTTTTTGTGTAAGACCTCAAAAGCATAGGTAACCAAAGCAAAAATAGACAAGTGTGATTACAACCAGCTAAAAACCTTCTGCACAACAAAGGAAATAATCAACAAAGAGACAACCCACAGAATGAGAGGAAATATTTACAAATTATCCATCTGACAAGGGATTAGTAACTAGAACATATAAAGAACTCAAACGTCTCAATAGCAAAAAAACCCTGAAATAATCCAATTACAAAATGAGAAGAAGAACTCAGTAGACACTTCTCAAAATAATATATACAAATGGCCAACAGATATATGAAAAAATGTTTAGTATCACTCATCATCATAATCAGAGAAATGCAAATCAAAACCATAATGAGATATCATCCATGTCACCCCAGTTAAAATGGCTTTTATCAAAAAGACAGGGAATAATGGATGCTGGCTAGGATATGGAGGAAGGGGAACCCCCATACACTGTTGGTGGGAATGCAAATTAGAACAGTCACAAAGGAAAACTGTATGGAGGTTCCTCAAAAAACTAAAAATAGAACTACCATATGATTTAGCATTTTCACTACTGGCTATATATCCAAGAGAAAGAAAATCAATATATCAAAGAGATATCTGCACTCCCATGTTTACTGCAATGTTATTTACAATAGCTAAAATATGGAATCAACCTAAGTACTCATCAGTGGATGAATGGATAGAGAAAATGTGATACATATGCACAACAGAATATTATTTAGTCATCAAAAAAATGAAATCCTGTGATTTATGGAAACATGGATGGAACTGGAGGTCATTATGTTAAGTAAAACAAGCCAAGCACAAAAAGACAAATATCTCATATTCCCACTCATATGTGGGAGCTGAAGACAGACAGTAGATTGGTGGTTTCCAGAGGCCAGGAATGGTCAGAGGGGTGAGGGGCAGATGCAAAGAGGTTGATTAATGGGTCCAAATAAACATAGAAAAAACAAATACAAAGTTTGATAAAAGAAATAAGACCTCATGTTTGATAGATTAGTAGAGTGACTACAGTTTGCAATAATCTATTGTATATCTCAAAATAGATGGAAGAGAATAACTCAAATGGCTCTAGCATAAAGAAAAGACATATATTTAAGGTGATAAATACCCCAATTACACTGATTTGATCTTTACAAATTATACAAATGTATTAAATTATCACGTGCCCTGAAAATGTGTACATCCATTATTTATCAATTATAAAACATATGAAATGTGCTGCATGGTGCCTAGCAAAAGGCTAGGAATATGGGTGGCAGGTTCTCAATAATATTCATCTCAGACAAGAGTGGTGGTTGCAACATAAATCACTGTTCAGAGCCACCTGTACCCCAAGCCTCCATGTAGTTCCTTCTTTTCTCTTGGCTTTTCTCTCTTTGCTTCTTAAGGAGTGATTAAGAACACTGGGCCAGAGAGACAGGGCTCTGGGCTGAGATGTGTTGCTAACTAGCTGTAGAACTCAGGGCCAGTAGCCTTTTGCAGAACTCAGTTTCTGAAACTCTAAAATGGACAGGTGCCATTCAGGTCATGGAAGTGTAGGAAGAGGCCTGGTTTAAGTCATCCAGGAGTGGAGAAGACCAAAGGACTCCAGAGACTGCCAATGTGCCCAGCTTCCCTTATATGGTCTCTTACATACATTCAGCTTTCCTCCTCTCCTTCTGCCTTAGATTGAACACAGCCCTTTTGCCATTTCTTAGTTCAGTTATCTCCTCCAGCAAAATTCTACAAGAACTGCTTCCTCGCTGATGCTTTCAGTAAGTGCTGGAACCTTCAGTCAATGCCTACACTTCTGAATGGTGCCCGCACCTGATGGCTAGGCCACCCTTTGGAGAACCTGTTCGTCTACTCCCCTGTAATGCCACTAGTGTTTAGGTTTATAAAAAGGCAACGGAGGGTGGAGAGTGAGCACTTGGTTGCTTCCCAAACAACTCAAGGCAAAAGCACCATTATGGAGAGGGAAGATTTCTGACTTAAACTACTCAACTAATTGTTCAACTGCAAACTTCAGAATGTCACAGCAGAAATATTTTTTGTCTTCCAACATTTCAGACAAGGCTATGAGATCATCATGGCTCAAAGTTCTTCAAAATGCAATTTGCAAATAAAGGCAGCAAACTGGGCAGATGGTTGGGGCGGGGGTGAAGGGTGAGCTCCTACTCTATTTTGGGAACCCTCTTTTCGTAAAGAACCAGGTCTCTGAGACACAGCTGTGGATCTGATATCCCCCTCATGCCTTTGACATCTGAGCAAGAGATATTGGAGCTCAACCACAATGAAGATCCACTTCAAAAAGGCTTCGTGGTTTGGGAATGCTGTGCTTCCTTCCACAACAACCACCTTCTGTCTGGCTGAGACCATGGTGGCTTAAGGGATATCACGACTTCCAAAGGTGTTCTGTCAGCACCTCCTAGGATCTATCCCTAGCAGACTAAGCAGAGATTTTTTTTAAAGATAAGCAAATAAGCATTAAGAGCAGCCAAATGATGATGCCTCAACCAAGGAGCTCATCATTTCTATTCTGAAAACTGTCTCTGTGGACAGGTGGGCAGAGCCATGGCCATATCTTTTTGTGACAGGGGAGTCATTGAGTAATTCCAAAATAAGACAATTTCCTTAACTATGCAAATGAATTCATATTAATAATTCCATGAAATGTGTCTATAGTAACACACGGACAAGAGATGGGCCTTGTAAGAGTGGCCCACTACGTTCTTTGAGGTCTTTGTCAGTTTTACCTGCCACAGACTGTGTAGACTAGCTGCAGTCAAAATTCCCATTCCCTCATCACTTGCTCTGAAATTTATCTGAAGTCAAAAGGAGTGGGTTACCAAAAGAGAAGCATCCAGAGATGTGGATGGTGCAAGAAGAAATGTTGTAGAACCTCAAAAGCTAGGTTCTAGTATCTGATGCTCAGTAAGCCAAACACTAACATGTCAGCACTTAGGAGCAGAGAAAGGTTTATTTGGTGTCCCCATAGTGTGAGGACGGGAGAGGCAAACCTTAAATCCAGCTTGCCTTTGAACATCACTGGGGGATTTATGAGTAAGGTAGGCATGCGGGAGGTGAGATTTCCAGTGATCAAAGCTACTTGCGTCTCTCGGCCATCAAACTTCTGGATGCCTCCAAGAAGGTCTATGTGACCTAAGGATCATTGTTCTTTGAAAGAAAAACAAGTTCATTAATCTTGCAGACAGCCCCAGGGGTCAGGATATAAAGTTAATCAATGATTAGTGAATTAGTGACCACGCTCTACCAAAATGACTATGTGCAAGTAATCATGCATGGAGAAAGAAAAGGACAAAGAGAAAAGAAAATAAGTAAAATAAACACTTGATGATCATATCACACAGGCTTGGTTACAGAAACACAGGAGGAAGAATCTGAATCTACACTGGGGTCCACAAACAGCAATATTCCCTCTCTTTTTATTAGGATTATAAAATGTTAGAGCTCACAAGGGACATAAGAGATGATATTATGGGTTGACTATTGTCTCCCCAAAATTCATTTCAAGTCCTAACCTCCAGAACCTCAGAATGTGACCTTATTTGGAAATAAGGTCATTGTAGATGTAATTATTTAATATGAAGTCATAAAGGAATAAGGTGGGTCCCTAAGCCAATATGACTGATGACTGATATGGCTTGGTTCTGTGTCCCCACCCCAATCTTATCTCAAATTGTAATCCCCATATGTCAGTGGAAGGACCTGGTGGGAGGTGACTGGATTATGGGGGCAGATTTCCCCGTTGTTCTCGTGATAGTGAGGTTTCACAAGATCTGGTAGTTTAAAACTGTGTGGCACTTCCTCCTGCTCTCTGTTTGTCTCTCCTGCCATCATGTAAGATGTGCCTTGCTTCCCCCTTGCCTTCCACCATGATTGGAAGTTTCTGAGGTCTCCACAGCTATGCAGAACTGTCAGTCAATTAAACCTCTTTTCTTTATAAATTACCCAGTCTTGGGTACTTCTTTTTTTTTTTTTTTTTTTTTGAGACGGAGTCTCTGTTGCCCAGGCTGGAGTGCAGTGGCATGATCTCAGCTCACTGCAACCTCCACTTCCTGGGGTCAAGTGATTCTACTGCCTCAGCCTCTCGAGTAGCTAGGATTACAGGCACGCACCACCACACTCAGATAATGTTTGTATTTTTAGTAGATACGGGGTTTCACCATGTTGGCCAGGCTGGTCTCAAACTCCTGACCCCAAGTAATCCACCCGCCTTGGCCTCCCAAAGTTCTGGGATTACAGGCGTGAGCCATCACACCATCTCCCTCAGGTAGTTCTTTATAGCAGTGTGAAAACAGACGAATGCAGTGACCTTATAAAAATGGGAGATTTTCACACAGGCACACACACGGGGAACTCTTTGTGAATGTAAAGTCAGAGATCAGCCAAGGAATGCCAAAGATTGCCAGCACATCTCCAGAAACTAGCAGAGAGTTTGAAGAGATTTTTTTTTTTCTCAGAAGGAACCAGCCCTGCTGATACCTTGATCTTGGGCTTCTAGCCTCCAGAGCTGTGAGACAATACATTACTGCTGTTTAAGCTGCCCAGTTTGTTGTCCTTTGTTATGGCAGCGCTAGGAAACGAATACAAATAACCTACTTCACCTCCTCATCTTAGAGCAGTAGTTCTCAGCCAGGGAATTTTGCCCTCCAGGGAATATTTGGCAACATCTTGAGACATTTTTGGTTGTCACAGCTGGGAGGTGCTATGGCATCCAATGGATAGAGGCCAGAAATGCTACAAAACATTCTACAGTGCACAGAACAGTCTCTTACAACAAAGAATTATCAGACTCAAAATGTGAATAGTTTGAAGACTGAGGAACCCTCTTTTAGAGGTACAGAAATGGAAGCTCAGAGGGCGTAAGCAATTCACAAAATCTCTAAGAAAATTAGGGCAAAACTGGAGCCAGGATCCAGTAAGAAACAGATTAAGCCTAGCAAGAACATTGGTGGAACAATGTCCTAAGATACAGACAGAGGAAAAGAAACCCACAGGAGGCAAAGAAGGAGAGAAAAGCTCAAGAGGAAGGAAGAGACCACAGTATGTCATCCGAGGGCCAAAAAGAGAGGTGCTTCATGGAGAGCGAGCTCAACAGTGTCCGCTGCAACAGGGAGCCCAAACTAGAACTCTGCAAGGGGCTCATAGAAGTTGGGGATTAGGATGTTGCTGAAGGACCATGGAGAGAGCAGGTCCAGGCACCCAGGGAGCAGGGCCATGAGTCAGACTCCCGTATGACTGTGAGTGAGATGGCGAAGATGGAGTATTCTAGAGCAGAAAACTTTTTTTTCCTAAATCACCATTGGATCTACTGAAGAGCATAAATCTCTTAAAAGACATTGGAAGGGAAAAAGGGATGGAGTCCAGCTTGCAGGGTAGGGGGATTAGCTTGACCATGAAGAGGATGGCAGAAGCAATTAATGGAAGGTGACCTTTAGAAGGAATAAATGCTCCCTGTCTACTCTGCCTTAATCTTATTTTACCTTGAGAATACTGTTTGTTAATAACTAACAAACACGGTGGAGAACTCTGGACTTCCTGGATATACGTGCTCAAGGATCATGTATAGGAGCATGATCTCAGGAAGGCTTCCAGTTTTCCTTGCTATTCCCTGAAAATCTGTTGCTACTTCCTCCTATGCATTGCGGATATGCCTTAGGAAGTTTCCACACTCTGGTCCTGCCATGGCTGGTAGATACAGGGAAAACAAAAAACAAACAACAACAACAAAAAAAAACCCAGTGAGAATAGTCCAAATTCCACAGGAAGGATTTCAATAGGATATGGATGACAAAGAGGGTGGCTTCATGGGCATATAACCCTTGCAGTCTCACAGCACCCTGTGCTCAGAAGGGAACCCCGGGCTAGGGGTTTAATGCTCTGTGGTCACCATCTTCAAAATGTCAGTAACTATTTTTTGACACGGGGTCTCACTATGTTACCCAGGCTGGAGTGCAGTGGAGCAATCACAGCTCACTGCAGCCCCAACCTCCGAGGCTCAAGCGATCTTCCCAACTAAGCATCCCAGTAGCTGAGACTATTGGTGCACGCCACCACTCCCAGCTAATTTTTAAGTTTGTTTTTGTAGAGACAGAGTCTCGCCATCTTGCCCAGGCTGGTCTCTAACTCCCAAGTTCAAACAATCTTCTCACCTTGGCATCGCAAAGTGCTGGGATGACATGTGTGAGGCACCACACCCTGTCCAAATTGTCAATAGCTTTATCTTTGAGTTTTTATTTTGTAAATAAAGTCTGATGAGACAATGGAGTGTACCCTAAGGGCTTAGAACTTCGGCTCACACGTGGTCCTGCCTCCCACCACCTCCCAGATCGGGCTCTTTACCTTCGGCTCTCATACTCTTACCGAGAAATGGTGTCCCCCGCTCAGAGTAAGTGAGTGAGTGAGAGGGCCCAGGTGCAGGCAGGTGCCTGTGGGGGTCTGCACTCCTTATGCAAATATCCCTATGCTCCAGGGTACACAACATTATATAGCAAATTAAAAAAAAAGAAAACAAAAAAAAAGAAACTACAATAGGTCAAGAGAGAGGGAGAATGAAAACAGGCTTTCTTCCTGCTTTTTAAACAAGGGCTCCCACATCTCCATTTTTCACTGAGAGCATGAATTAATGTAGCTGTTCCTGCTAACTGGCATAAAAGGAGCTGAAAGAACTGAGAAGCAGAAAGTTTCCTGGAGTTTCCATCACCATTTATCCAACTACTAGTGACCAAGCACCTCACAGACACAGGGATAAAATGACTAAAAGGCATATTTCCTGATTTCAGATCTTAGAGAATAGGAGGGCTGAGTGGACACACATGAAAACAAATCATTGCAGGGCTGTGTGCAGCATCAGGAGGAAGTTGGCCAGGGGTCTATGGGAGCACCAGGAGGGCCCCAACCTGCCTTAGGGAGGGCAGCGAAGGCTTCTCCGAGAGCATCTCTTCTGAGCAGAGTCCTGAGCGAGGACCATTCAGAGGAAGAAAACGGAGCTGTTATTCCAAGGAGGCAGAGAGTACATGGCCAGTTTGGAAGCTGCAAATCATTCCAAGTAGCTGGAGTACAGGGAAGAGGAGCACTCAGAGAAGGAGGCCCACATCACAAGGTGCCTTGTTCTGTAAGCTAGGCATTCCAGCATTATCCTTAGACCACGGGGAGCCACTTGAGGGGCTTTAAACTGGACTGACTGACTCAGACTGGGGCCTTAGAAAGATGGTGCCAGCTCTGTGTGGAGGTACCCAGATTGGAGCCAGAAAGAACACTGAGGTTTTTGTTTCAATCCCAAATCCACACAAGAAGCAACAAGGACCTGAACCAAGGAGGTGGCAGTTGGAATGGAGAGAATTGACCCCCAGTTGGGTGACCTTGAGAGATATTTCAGAGGTAGAATAGAAACAACAAGACAAGGTGGTAGATTCGCTGGGGTGGAAGGGAAGTGAGCAAAGGGTGACTTTGTATTTCTGGTTTGGGCCCATGGGAGAATGGTCCCTCTTCAGGGTCCATCACACTGCTCGTGGAATAAATTCATGGGATAGGCAGTTTCCTAAGATAGTCCTCCATGATCATGTTCTGCTATTGATGTCCTTGTGTAATCCCCTCCTCTTGAAAGTGGGATAGACCTAGTGACTTGCCTCCAATGAATAGAATATGGCAAAGGTTATGAGACGTTTCTTCCGAGATTAGGTTATAAAAGATTATGACGCTCATCTGTTTCTCTCTCTTTCTATCTCTCTTGCCCTCCTCCTCACTCACAGTAAGAAAAGGTGGCTACCATGCTGTGACCTGCCCTATGGAGAGCCCATATGGCAAGGAGAGGCCAGGAGGCCTCTGCTCAGCAGCCTGCAGACAACTGCATCCTGCCAACAACCACCTGAGTGAGCTTGCAAGCAGATCCACCCCAGTCAAGCCTTTAGATGACTATAGCCCCCGCCAATACCTCAAAGCCTTGTGAGAAAACAGAGCCAGGGGACCCAGCTAAGCCACGTGCAGACTCCAGATGTACAGACACCGTGAGATGATAAATGCTGTAGCTTTGAGGCACAGTGTTTTGAAGTAATTTGTTATACAGTAATAACTCATCAGTACAATAAGCAAGATAGGGTTATAGTCACAAGGAATAAGAGAAGAAAAATTTCAAGTACATTTGGAGAACTTCTGGAGCACTAATTTATTTATCTATTTGTTTTTGTTGAGACCTGGTCTTGCTCTCTTGCCCAGGCTGGAGTGCAGTGGTGTGATCTCAGCTCACTGCAACCTCCACCTCTGAGATTCAAGCGATTCTCCTGCCTCAGCCTCTTGAGTAGCTGGGACTACAGGCACACATCACCATGCCCAGCTAATTTTTGTCTTTCTTTTTCAGTAGAGATGGGGTTTCACCATGTTGGCCACACTGGTCCGGAACTCCTGAGCTCAGGTGACCTGCCCACCTCAGACTCCCAAAGTGCTGGGATTACAGGCATGAGCCAGCATGCCTGGCCTGGAGCACTCATTTATAAACAATAGTTGTCTAAGTATGAATCACGTTTATATTTCTTTTACACTTTTTTTTTTTTTTTTTTTTTAGAGACAGAGTCTCACTCTGTCACCCAGGCTGGAGTGCAGCGGTGCGACCTTGGCTCACTGCAGCCTCCACCTCCTGGGTTCCAGCAATTCTCCTGCATCAGCCTCCTGGGTAGCTGGGACTACAGGCACATGCCGCCACACCTGGCTAATTTTTGTATTTTTACTAGAGACGGGGTTTCGCCATGTTGGCCAACCTGGTCTCAAACTCCTGACTTCAGATGATCTGCCCACCTTGGCCTCTCAAAGTGCTAGTATTACAGGTGTGAGCCACTGTACCTGGCTCATGTTTATATTTCATTCAATAGGTTTCCTAATAACTTCTACTGAATTAGACTTTTATTTGTATATGTTCTCTACTTACAACACTTTGACATATCTCTTTGTATGACTGTCTCTCCATTAAGCTAGAAGATCTTGGAAGACAAGAATACTCCTCTATTCAACTTTGCAGCCCTAACACTTAGCATGGAGTGTAGAGTCAATAGTGACCAAGTGTTTGTTGAATGAGATTCTAGTTGTTGAATATTCTCAAAATCTCTATCAAACTTTTGTTTGATTAAAAATTGCCATCATTAATCTAGTTCTACTCCCAAGAGGAATTTGGATATTAATTGAGTTCTGGTAAACCAAAACTAGCAGAGGCAGAAAGATTAATAAGAATTTTTTTTTACATTCTCCAGCGCTATTTTTTGACATTTGTTAAAAGTAGGTGAGTATAATTTCTTTCATTATTTGCCATGGTATAAATTGTTTAAAACATGAGACGTGAGAATACTTAGACATTTCAGAAAGAATTTGAAAGTGTGAGGTGTACAAAAATATGCTTCTCCTAACTTCTACAGAAATTCCACAGATTCATGAATTCATTTATTTAGCAAATGACTCCCTGCTTTGCCGTTTCCTACGGGACCTTGGACACATTCCTTCTCACCTCCGAACCTAGTGTCTTCAATTGTAAAAATAAGAGGAAATGTGGTCAGATCATATATTTTCGAATTTCTACTTCATGTCTCAAGTTCTCTGAATTCTGTGAAATATCCTGAGATATTGTTCTCATTTAGACCCGGGGCAGAGCTGGGTTTGAATCTCAGTTCCGCTTTTCAATGAATAAGTTATTTTTATCTGTGTGCCCAAATGTAAAAGGGGGTCGTTGTTAACAATTAGACATGAAGAATGTAAAACATCTGCCTTAATTAAAAAAAAAAAAAAAAGAGCCATGACCAATGTGTCAAGCACTAATGGGGAAATACAAAAGAAAAATGTAAGACATTAAATCAACTTTCTAGGAATCTCCAGTCTGGCTGGGGACACTATTATTTATGATCATCTTTTAAAATATCTTCCAGCCTCTGCTCAGGTAACTATTATCTTATCCTGACCAACCATGAACGTATTTCATTAGCATGAAAATTTTCCCAATGCTTTTGAGATTCAGCCAGCACACCCTGTCCTAACACTGAATTTCCTGGCCTCAATACCTGTGGAAAGCGGTGGTTTCTCTTTTCATTTAGCTTACATTTGCTGCCCTGTAATTTGATTCTTCCCCTTCATTCCTGGACTCTCTCCTTTCTTCTCAAACAAGGGGCCCACTTCGGTCTTGACCAAGCCCTTCATCTTCCTGAATTTCTCAGCTAAATCGTTTCTAACGCTTCCCTTTTTCCAACATAAATAGTTCTTTCTCGCTCATTGTCCCACCCTGCCTCACCTCTGGCTCCAATTAGAGCAATATTTATTTTTCCTTTTTAAGAATCTCTGTAGCCTCTACTCTTCGGAAATGAGGCAACGCAGCTCGTGTTAAAAGCCCTTTATTATGGTCACAGAAAATCTGCTCTGACAAGATCCAGCTCGACAAGATTGTGTTCCTGGAGATCCTTCCCTCATTTATCTGTCATCTCACTTTCTAGGTCACATCATTTCCTAGCATCTAAAGTGTTGTCTGTTTATATATATTTTAAAGCAATGGAGGAGTGGAATGCGGAGTGAGTGCCTCGTGGTGCTGGAATGTAGAAAAGTCTCTTCTAATTTCAATGAAGGGCATGCTGCCATTTTCCAGAGAAGGAAGAGGAACAAACACACATATAGCCTTGTTTTCAAAGAACCTGTTGATGTTAATGGGGTTTATTTTAGTTCATTGAGACAGCTAACAGTAACCCAAAGCCCAAATGCAGACTCAGATTTGCTGGAACTAGGGCATAGGTCAAACCTCAGGGAAGTGAGTGTGAGTATTCCCTGGAATCTTCCGGAAACACAGACAGCCCTCAGGGATTTGGGGCCTCAAGAACTCCGGGAGGACCCTACAGGCCCCCACCGTCTTAGAAAACAGCCAGTCCCATAGTAAGTCAGCTTGCATCAGGTGGGCCCAAAATCATCTTCCTGGCATCTTCTTCCTCAGTCTCTTGCCTCCCTTTTTATCATAATGAAATCTATTCATCAAGTGCTTATAAGCACCAGCACTGTGCTCAGCACGGGACAAGTGCAACCACATAGATGCTTCACAACTGCACAAAAAAGGAGGTTCTATTATTACCATTCCCATTTGCAGTGAGGAAACAGAGGCCCATTGAGCATACACAACTTGCCTAAAGGTTCGAAGCGAGTAGAGAACAGAGCCAGAATGTGAACTTGAACTGTCTGGCTCAGAGCCCAAGCTCTTAGCTTGACTTGGTTCATGTTATGTGTTGAATTGTGTCCCCCAAAAAAGATATATTGGAGTCTTAACCCCTAGTACCTCAGAATGTTACCTTATATGGATATAGGGTCTTTAAATAGGTAATCAATTTAAAGTGAGGTCGTTAAGGAGGGCCTTAATCCATTATCCTCAGTGTCCTTACAACAAGGGGAAATTTGGACACACTTAGAGGGACGATGATGTAAAGAGACATACATAGAGAAGCGGACTGTCTACAAGCCAAGGAGAGTGACCGGGGACAGATCCCTTGCCCACAGCTCACAGAAGGAACCAACTCTGCCAACACCCCGATTTCAGACTTTGGGCCTCCACAAATTGTGAGAGAATAAATTTCTATTGTTTGAGCCACCCAGTTTATGGTACTTTGTCACAGTAGCCCTAGGAAACTAATATTATTAGTGATCCTCATTGTAAAGCAAAGTCACTCTAGGCTCAAAATTCATTTAGCAAAAAGTCTTGGTTTCTCTTTCAGTGTGATCATTGGACCCTGACTGGGGTTCAAATACTCTTGAAGCCTAGGTAGGTGGAGTCTGACCTAACAGAGATTAAGGTGTTCTTATGCAATGGTGTGTAATATGCACCAAGTGTCTGTGCATCCATAGCAAAGCCCAGAGTGAGCCAAGGACTTGACTATGACTGGGCCCAAGACGGCTGAGGTTCCCAGGAACATCTTCACCAGCAAACAGTCAAGTCATCAGATTTGCTTAAAAGAGAATAACTCAGTGTGAGTTTATGGACAGCACCTGGAGGGACACTCGAATCCTCCTCCTGCCCACCAGACTTGGGCCTGGGTCTTCAAAAGAGGGCATGGAACTGCAGGTGAATAATGTAGGAGTGGCTGGGCTCAAGCCCAGTGACACATTGAGAGTGAAGGCAGCACAGCCCTTGTGCCCAAATATCAAGGTGACCGACAGAAGGAGGTGCAAGGGACACTTCCACCTTGCAGGAGAGTACTGAGGGCTTGGATACACCAAGAACTCCAAGACACATCTGCCTTGACAGTTCCCAGGACTTTCTTCAGCAAAAGGGGCAGACACTGTGGTTACTGCAGCTTCTGGGCACCCCCTTAACCCAGCCCAGCCCCCTCCTCCTCCTATGGACCTGGCCCTGGCAGCCACTTTATGGCAATCCCAGGTATGGACAGCAGGTCATCATCAAAGCCTGGTGGATTGGGAGCATGGCAGGTGCCTGAGAAATACGGTAGCTTCCAGTATATAACACACGGAGAGAATCTTGTGGTGGAGAGAACACAATCTTTGGAAGCCGACTTGTGACCTGTGGAAGTCAGAACACGCATCTTAACCTCTCTGAGCCTCATGCTCATCGTCTGTAACATAGGGATAACATCTATCTCAGGGATTATGGTAAGTACTAGAACAATGTAGGTAAATAATATAGCACTTAGCCTGGCACACTGCAGTTGTCAAATAAATTGTTGTTATTATGAAGATTATATATTTATGTATAAGTAGATGATCCCATTTGTGTCCGTATATGTTCCCTTATTTAGCACAAACTCTAAAAAGCTATATATAAGTCAATAAATTTATTGAGTAGTTCTTTCATTCAACAAATATTTGTTAAGCCCCTATGATGTGCCAGCTTCTGGGGTTCTAGCAGTGAGCAGGGCTCCAAGAAAATGGTGCCCCTGGGATCTTGTGAATCAGAAGGAGCTCTTAGTTCTGGGAAGAAAAAAGAGACAATCACCACACACTGTGATACAGTCTACAGGAGATATGGATATATACTGTAGAATCCCATTTGTGGGGGATCAGGAAGCTTCCCAGAGACCTAAAGTGCAATAGATGTGAGGCAAGTGAAAAGAGGGTTGGGAAGAGCGTCAGAGCGAGCACATAGTCAAAGACTGGGAACAGAGCGCAGAGCTCAGCCTGGCTGGGATCTAAAATGAATAACGGCATGGCAGAGTGAGAGGAGCTGGGCCCACATGGGCTTGGCAGGGAGAATAGCAGTAAAACACATTACTCTTTAAGATGCAAGGCACTGGAAAAAGGCAAGTGGCATTTTCTCTGCTATGCAGCATGAACAGAAAGTAAATTTTGCTTAGGAAATGACAGAGAGAACTCAGGTCCTAGTCTTATTTTTCCATTTGAGTAGCCCAAAGAAGGAAAGAGTGAAGGTGTGTCTTAAAACCTGATAAGTTGCCCGGGCACGGTGGCTTATGTCTGTAATCCCAGCACATGATTTGCCGAGGCGGGCAAATCATGAGGTCAAGAGATCGGGACCATTCTGGTCAATGTGGTGAAACCCCGTCTCTACTAAAAATACAAAAATTAGCTGGGCGTGGTGGTGTGTGCCTGTAGTCCCAGCTACTCAGGAGGCTGAGGCAGGAAAATCACTTGAATACGGGAGGCGGAGGTTGCAGTGAGCCGAGCATACTGCACTCCTGCCTGGCGACAGAGTGAGACTCCATCTCAAAAAAAAAAAAAAAAAAAAAAAAAACCTGATAAGTCTATGCTTTTTTTGCATGCATCATCTAAGTAGTATGTTATGTATAGATAAACATGCTACCACTCATACATATGGATGTATGGATTATAACTGCCTTGTTTTTCCATCACAGTATAGGTACCATCAGCTATGAATTCAGGGTCAGATTATCGGATGATTTAAATTGAGCCTTTTTTTTTTTTAATGGAGTCTCACTCTGTCACCCAGGCTGGAGTGCAGTGGTGTGATCTTGGCTCACTGCAACCTCTACCTCCCAGTCTCAAGCAATCCTTCCACCTCAGCCTCCCAAGTAGCTGGGACTACAGGCAAGTGTCACCATGCCTGGTTAATTTTGTTTTTTATTTTTTGTAGATAAGAGGTCTCACTATGTTGCCAGGGCTGGTCTCGAACTTCTGAACTCAAGCCTACCTTGGCCTCCCAAAGTGCTAGGATTACAGGTGTGAGCCACCACACCTAGCCTTAATTGAGCCTTAATACCTTAACAAGCAATATCTGATGTCCTCTGATTAAACAGTGTTGGCCAGCTACACACTTGTCCTTTCTCCTCCCTTCCTTCCTTCCTTATCTACTCAGGGTATATCGTTTGCATATTTCCACTCCGATATGCATATATTCGTAAGAAGGTATATTAATTTCCTAGGGCTGCCATAACTAATGACCACAAACTAGGTGGCTTAAAACAATGAAATTTAGTCTCTCACAGTTCTGGAGACCAGAAGGCTGAAATCAAGGTATCTGCAGGGTTGGTTCCTTCTTGGGCCTCAAAAGGAGAGTCTGTTCATGCCTCTCCCCTGACTTCTGGTGGTTGCTGGCAATCTCTGGAATTCGTTGGCTTGGGGCAGCATAACTTCAATCTCTGCCATCATTGTTGGATGGCATCTCCCTATGTGTCTGTGTTCAAATTTCCATCTTATAGAGGCACCAGTCCTATTGGATTTGGGGCCCAACTGAATCCAGTGTGACTTATCTTTATTTGATTACATCTGGCAAAGACACTATTTCCAAATTAGGTCACATTCACAGGTTCCAGCTGAGCATGAACTAACTTTTGGGGGACACTATTTAACCCAGAACAGAAGGTGAATACCATCAGGTATGTGGTCAGTTTCCTCTCCCCTCACCATAGGCTCCCACGAGGAGGCCATTCAGATCGAAACCAGTGTCAAGGACAGGACAGGCAGCAGGGCCAGCTGGCTTCTAGATTCTTAGTTCAACAAGTGGGAACCAGCTTATACCTAGGAAGGAAACCTGATTGGGTCTCAAGTCCCCAAACAATAATAAAACTTTGATTCGGCATGAGAAGTAATCCCACCATGTTCCCACCCTGGGATACCACTAGGCTGCCAGGGGGCTCTGAAGCCTGCCTTGATGTCCATGAGTCACTCAGGGGCTCCTGCAGACCAAACCACCTCTGTTTGCTGGGGGTCTGGTTGCCAAGTCAGCTCACAGAATCTAGATGTTATTGATTTTGGTCTCTTTGACACTACTAAATCGTGATAGGAATCCAGAGAATGACCTAGTGAATTTGTGGCTTTCATTTTCTAGACTGGTTGAGTCCAACAAATAACCAGTACAGTCCACTGTTTTTTCTTTTTTTTAAGAAAAATATATTTATAGCTATTAATATAGAAAGCTGTCTGCAAGCTATTATGTTAAAAAGATTGTAGGTGTCAAAAGAGTGTGTATAACTTGATCCCAATTGTGTGAAAAATAAATATGAAGATATATTCAAAAGTAATAACAATAACAATAAATAAATATTGAACACTTTACACTATGCCAGGCCCTGTTCTAAGAATTTCATGTAGCTTAATCCTCACAACAGCCCTATGGAAGTCCTATTTTTATCCTTATTTTACTACTTTCAGTAGAGTTGGCTAATCTGCTACATATTAAGTGTGACAATAGTGATATTCACAAGGGAGAAAGGAAAGAGTTTCAAATAAATATTTTAAGATAGAAATTAAATCCCGTGAATCATCAGAAAATCACAAATATGAATTTTAAATAAGCCCTGTGTGTTTCTCTTTTATTATATTTTGGGGTTTTTTGGACATATTTAATTCTTCCCCAAGTATAAACTATTTTCTTCAGGAAGGTTCCCACGTTTTGAACTCATATTCCTATCCTTTGATTCATTGAATTTTTGGCCATTCTCGCATTAGGTCAAAAAAAAAATATCTTGTAGGGCAGGAGTTAAGAGTTGCTCAGAGTTTCATGGGGAATAGCCAACTTCTTTTCCAAGACCTGCCTTGTACTTCCTGCTTCTCTCACTGGGGGCAAATAAAAGACAGGAGATTTAGGAGACAAATTATCCCAGAGAAAGCTTCCTAGAACAGAGTAAAAATTATTGAAAAATGATAACAAGTGGCTGAAATGTTCAGAGAAATAAATGTGATTTATCACAGAGCACATAAGCACAGACGTGAAATTGTAACTGCAGACTTCCCTTCACATCTGGTGACCTTTGGAACTTTCAGAAAAACTTCCACCACACACAAACACCTAAGAATTTCTAGTTGGAGATGAACCCTGGTTTGTGGTCCACTTTCCTAGATGTACCTTTTAATTTTCCTTGTTTTGTATTTTAGTCCATCTTGAGAGGCATTTCTTAAGAACTTAATCAAAAACTAAAAACAAAACCAGTTCTGTATCCAATATTGTAAAGTCAATTTGAGTTTCCAAGGATGAAGATGTGAAAGGTTGTTTTAAGTAAGACATTTTTCCTTCTCAACATATTTGCTAAAGAAAGAGGATGAAAAGAACATATGTGTATTGCTTCATTGTTATCAGCCAGTTAGTTTTAAATTTCTGTCTTCGCAGCATTTTCTCCTCATATACCTGATTTTCTCACCATTCTGTTACAGAATATGAGACAAGCACCACCACAAAAGAGATAAAGGTTTCCAATAAGAGCCTGCTGCTCTTTGGTATGGAAATTTGGGGTTTATGCTTCTTTGAGGTTTTTGTTTTGTTTTGTTTTGTTTTGTTTTTTTAAGTTTAGCAGCCAAGAATTCAAGAGTTAAGGCTGATAAAACTGCATTAAGATTATCTCACCTGCCCAAGTGTGGGAGAAAACATGAGTCCAGAATAAATTGCCTTTCTCAAAATAGAAAGATTTTTCTGGTTTTATTTGGCCTGGGAACAAAGCCGAAGGGTAGGTGGGGCTTCCCCCTCTAACATCTGCTTCTTGGATCTCTGGGAGGCTCAGAAACTGGGAATCCCCTAAGCACCTTTATGGATGAAGTGAGGGCTCTGGCTCCCCCAAAGAGCGGCAGGCAGGAGACAGTCACCGGGCAGCTCCTGCTGCATCCCTGAAGTGGCTCCTGCACCCCCAAATCTCACAGACTCACATAACATCAAAAATCCAGATGCAGAACCTGGCACCTCACCTTAAACAGAGTAAGACTCCGATTAATTTCTTGAATTATGATCTAATACATATATCTGTAGGTGTTTTAAAGACAATACTTTTGACAGCTAAAATTATGACCACGTATGGTGGCTCATGCCTGTAATCCCAACACTTTGGGAGGCCAGGGCAGGAGAATCCTTAAACTCAGGAGTTCAAGTTTGTAGTGAGCTAGGATCACACCACTGCACTCCAGCCTTGGCAACAGGGCAAGACCTTGTCTCAAAATATATATATATATATGATAAAACCAACACAAATCCCAACAAGCGTGCTAACTGTGTATACTGTTGCTGTCCCCATGGCAATCCATCATGCACTTAGATACTGACGAAGACACGTTACTAGCACGTAGTGCTGATGGTACTGCCATGTGGTCCACTAAACCCAACTGCTGCTGTATTTCCTTGAATTATTCTTATCCAGATCAACATCTTTAAATTCCTTAACTGTGTTGGTCAGTCAGTTTCTCTGTTCCTTTTCGTACACATCTTCCAAACCCACCATCTTCCCAAACCAGGCCTATTAACCAGAAATCAATTCTGAAACATTGTTTGTTTAAATTTTTAAATTGCAATTTAGCTGCACATGCCATGGGATCATGGACCAAAAGCCCAACTGGAGAATAATAATTTTTTAAAACAGCTCTGAGTAACAATGACCTTGTGAAAATGCATTTTGCACATGTTCCATTGGTGAATTTTTGCTGTTCTTTTTTTTTTTTTTTAAATGGGAAGCCGTCATTTTAGGAGATAATATAGTAACCTCAGTTAATTCGTATGCTGCTGTTCAATCGGAGTCTGAAAGCTGAAGGCCACAAGGTTGTGCTGTAATGGAAAAAAGCTTTTTAACTAAAAGCCAGGAGACCTGGGTTCTAATAGCCCGGCTTCTGCCTCGCTGTGAGACAGTGGGCAAGTCACTTAACCTGCCTGCGTCTCAGTGCCTTCATCTCTAAAATGGGGATAGCGGCCCCGTCCTTGCACACTTGGGGTTCTTATAAAGATTAAAAGCAGTGATGGAAGTAGAAGCCTATCATGAATTAGGAGTGCAGTGTATTTGCCATGTTTTTGCCACTGTAGGGTTTTATCCATGCCTTCTTTAGACATCAGGGAGCCAGGATTGGCTTTAGGGTACCTTTTCAGAGCAGCCCAGTACAGGACTTGTGAGGCTGGGCACTCACTCCAACCACCCTAAGTTTAAATACTGGCTCCACTATTTATAAACTGAGTGACCTAGGGCAAACTGCATAACTTCTCTATCTCTCAGTAGCCACATCTGTAAAGTGGACATAATGATATCTACCTCTTAGGGTTGCTGTGTGGACTAAATGAGTCATAGGGACTAAATATACCTAGTGAGCACTTAATACCATCATCATACTTCTTGGTTGTAGGCATATAAGGAGATATTCTTTTATAGAAATAATACTCAGTCGCTATCATGTCCCAAGTCTATCTGGTCCCTGGCTATGTTCAAGTAGCTCACCCATGAATAAGTTTGAAATAACTGGAGACCAAAATTCAACCATTTTCTGATGTAATACAAAGAATTCAGATAGTATTCAGCTCAGGAGTTACCCCCATCCTTCCAAAAGCCAGTGACAGACAGTCAAGACAACAGGCAGAGGCGACTTTGCAGAGCATGAAGCCGACTGAAATGGACCTTCTTAAATTAAGTTCTAGCACAAAACAAGTTTGTGCAGTTCAAGTCAGAAATGGGATCATCTGGAGCTGCCTAAATAGTTATTAATGACTCTGGACTTAAAACACAAACAGATTTTGAAGACAGAGAAACTTGAGAATCCTTTCAATTGGCTTAAAAATCCAAATATAATAAGGTGACCATTTAATGCTTCCACTGTCTCCTGCATACAATTAGCTCTCAAATTTCCATTTAAATCTCCAACCTGATCTTCTCTACCAAGTTCCAGAGCAACACTCAATTTATGCTAAACAACGATATCAAAAATTCACACAGCAAATATATGACGAGTACCTACTGTGTGCCAGGCAAGCCACACAGAGAACTTGTACCCTGGTGGGACATATAGAAAGATGAACAGAAAATTAGGGTATGAGCAGGGCCACAGGCTGCTTGGGGCAGCTACATGGGCTGCTCCTATCTGTGGGAAGCAGGGCACTTCCTTCACTTTCTGGAGGGAGTGAGGTGTCAGCTGATACAGGAAGGGCAAGTCAATCCGGTGTGTGGAAAGGGTTCTGAGGAGTGTTCAAGCAGAAGGAACTGCCTGTACAGACCCTGCAGCAAGAGAAACCACACTAAAGGGACTGGGAACCATGATTAGATTCAAACGTAGAAAATCTCTCTCAAAACTATGCATATTTGAAGGAGGCAAGACTAGAGGTAGGGAGACCAGTTAGGAGGCTGTGGGGTAACCCAGGCAAGAGATAGTGGATGGCAGTGGTTGAGAATTGGAGAACGGCAGTGGAAATGGAGAAAAGCTCATGAATTCAGGGATATGAAAGAGTTGGAGCCAGTCAGAAGTGGAGGTGGATTGGATGTGGACTGGAAATAGAGATTTGAGAGTCATCATACAAATCATAAAAATAAGCAAGATCATCCAGAGAGAGTATACAGTAAGAAGGGAAGAAAGCCAAGGATGGAATCCTGAAGAATGTCAGAGTTTAATTGATGGCAGATGGAATGAAGCAAAGGTGTGACTAAAGAAGTAGGAAGAAACCAGAAGAGGATAATTCTCTAGAAGCCAAAGCAAGAGAGTGCTTCAAGAAAGCATTCATCATCATCAGTGTCAAAAATCCAAGGGGAGGGAATGGGAGCTTAAGGAGTGGCTAAGGGGTATAAGTTTTCTTTCTGGACTAATAAAAATGTTCTAAAATTGATTGTGGTGATTAATATCCAGAATATATACAGAATTCCTACAAATGAACAACAACAAAAGAAAAGTCAAAAATGGGCAAAGGACTTGAATTATTTTTCCAAAGAAGATATACAAATGGCCAATAAGCACATGAAAAGATACTCAACACCACTAGTCATTAGAAAGATGCAAATCAAAACCACAATGAGATACCACCTCACACCCATTAGCATGGCTACTATTTTTAAGGAACAGAAAATAAATATTGGCAAAAATGTAGAAAAATTGAAATCTTTGTGCACTGTTGGTAAGAATGTAAAATAGTGCAGTTTCTGTAGTAAACAGCATGGCAGTTTTTCAAAAAATTAAAAATAGAATTATTGGCCAGGTGTGTTGACTCACACCTGTAATCCCAGCACTTTGGGAGGCCTAGGTGGGAGGATTGCTCGAGGCCAGGAGTTCAAAACCAGCCTGGAAAACACAGCAAGACATTATTTATATATATATATATATGTGTGTGTGTGTGTGTGTGTGTGTGTGTGTGTGTGTATGTATTGTGTGTGTATATATACACTATATATATATATACACACACACACACACACACACAGTGGAATATTATTCAGCCTTAAAAACGAAGGAAATTCTGACACATGCTATAACATGGATGAACCTTGAGGACATTAGACTAAGTGAAATAAGCCAGTCACGAAAGGACAAATACTGTATAATTCCACTTACATGAGGTAACTAGAGTAGTCAAATTCATAGAATCGAAAAGTAGAATAGTGTTTGCCAGGGGCTGGAGAGGAAGGAAAAATGAGCAGTTATTATTTAATGGCTACAGAGTTTCAACTTTGCAAAATGAAAAGAGTTTTCTGGAGATTGATGGTGGGAATGGTTGCACAACAATGTGAGTGTACTTAATGCCATGGAACTGTATACTTCCTGGCTAAGGCCAGGTGCAATGGCTTACGCCTGTAATCCCAGCACTTTGGGAGGCCTAGGCAGGTGGATCACATGAGGTCAGGAGTTCGAGACCAGCCTGGCCAACATGGTGAAACCCCGTCCCTACTAAAAATGCAAAAAAAAAATTATCTGGGCGTGATGGCGTGTACCTGTAATCCCAGCTACTAGGGAGGCTGAGACAGGAGAATCGCTTGAACCCGGGAGGTGGAGGTTGCAGTGAGCTGAGATCGTGCCATTGCACTCCATCCTGGGCAACAACAGTGAGACTCCATCTCAAAAAAAAAATGACTAAGTTGGTAAATTTCATGTTTTGTGTATTTTACTGCAATTAAAAAATATATAGGCAATAATTGAAGGAAATGGAATGGGATGGGTGTACAACTCTGTGAATATTTTAAAATGTGAATAAACTCATTGTTCAGTTTAAATGGGTGTATTGCATAGTATGTGAATTATATCTCAATAAATCCATTTCAAAGAAAACTCAGGGATAGTCAAGTAAAAGAACTGATCAATATTTGTTATGACAGTTACAAAGAGGTTGTTAGTGGCAGTGATAGCAGCGGTTTCAGTGGAGTGATGCAGAAGGAAGCCAGACAATGGAGGGAGGACTCAGCGGAGAGCGGAGGGAGGACTCAGCGGAGAGCAGAGGTCGGGAGAGATGAGCTCACCGTGCATACACACTGCCAGCATGAAAAATTCTTTCAACAAGTTTGCCTGGGGCAGGGAAGCAAGAGGAGCAGTATCTGGAAAGGACATGTGGTCAATGGAGAGTTGTTTCTAAGAAGAGAGAAATTTGAGCATCTAAAAGTATCCATAGAAAGAATGATAGACAAAAGTCAATGTTACAGGAGAGTGAGGGGATAATTGATCATTCCAGGTTCTGAAGGAGGTAGGTAGAGTTCAGGTGTGCATTAATTCATTTGGGCTGCTATAACAAAATGCCAGCTGGGGACAGTGGCTCAAGCCTATAATCCCAGCACTTTGGGAGGCCAAAGCGGGCGGATGGCTTGAGTGCAGGAGTTCGAGACTGGCCTGGGCAATATAGTGAAACCCCGACCCTACAAAAAAATACAAAAATTAGCCCGGTGTGGGGGTGTGTACCTGTAGTCCCAGCTACTCAGGAGGCTGAGGTGGGAGGACCACCTAAGCCCAAGAGGTCAAGGCTGCAGTGAGCTGTGATTGCGCCACTGCACTCCAACCTTGGCAACAAAGTAAGACCCTCTCTCAAAAAGAAAAAAAAAAAAAGCCATGAACTGGGTAGCTTATAAACAACAGAAACTTATTTCTCACAGTTCTGAAAGCTGGGAAGTCCAAACTCAAGGCACCAGTGGATCTAGTGCTGTGTGAGGATCTTCTTTCTGGTTCCTAGATGGCACCTACTTGCTGTGTCCTTGTGTGATGGAAGGGCCAAGGCAGCTCCCTGGGGCCTCTTTTATAAGGGCACTAATCCTGCTCATGGAGTCTCCACCCTCATGACGTAGTCACCTCCCAGAGGCCTGCCTCCTAATATCATCAACTAGGTGATTAAAAGTTTCAACGTATGAATTGCTGGGGGAATACAAACATTCAGTCCTTTGCAAGATGCAAGGGGCAGGAAAAGAGAAGGAAGAAAGCAGGTCAGTTTGGAGCCAGGAAGCAGGAAACTGAAGGAATTCTGATTTGATCCTTGGCAAAGTTGAAGATTGAGAGTGAGAAGGAAGATGGTAACACAAGGGGAAATCTGTGGAAAGCTGAGAAGGCTGGAAACACCACCCATGGAGAATGAGAGAGAGAACTGATAGGAGAAATTAGATATAGTTTGCTGGCAGTGTGGAAGACCTTGGTAAGACTCACAACACGAATCTTACGAACATATAGTACTTCCAGTAGGTGAGGTCCCTTGTAACCCATCTGTGGGAGATCAAACTCTCCAACTTACCTCTTGAGATGCCTTCTTCTCCAGATTTGGCTGCTTCCTTTACTCAAATCTTCACCCAAAGTTGTGCTTCTCTGACGACCATGTCTCAGCTGTCTCCGGGCTGTTCTATATCTCCTACTATCACCCTACTTGAGGCCCTTGTCTGTCTGTCTCTCTCTCTCTGTCTCTCTCTCTCACTTAGTGAAATCCAGACTAACCTTGTGGGAGCATGGTTCCAATCATGTCACCTCTTCACTACCAAAGGATGGCCAGTCCAGTATCACCAACCCCAGGTTCCCAGCTTGCTACAGTAGGCCATCAACCACACTTCAGAGCCTCACCTGCTCATTCTCCTTCCATACACCCCAATCTTTAGTCACATTGACTACTCACTGCCTCCCAGATACACTTTGTGTTTTCCTACCTTGGTGCCTCTGCTCATGTTCTTCACTCCCTAGGTAAGAATGCCCTATCTGCCAGCCTCCTGAGTGAAATCTCTGCCATTCAAGACCAGCCTCTTCTCAAAACAAATGAGATTTCTTGAACTGGACATAACCTCTCCTTTCCATGGATCTTTGCTAATACTTCTCTTATTTCCCTCTCCCCACAGTTCTTTGGTAAACTCACTAGGAGCACAGACAATGCCTTGTACACAGTAGGTCTACAATAAATATTTGCTACATTGAGTTACGTTAAATTAATAACATGGGATTTAGGAAGAGAGTCATGTCTAAGTAGGACTTCAAGGAGGCTACTCTTTAGTCAATGTGGCAATAATTGATGAGCTCTTGAGCTATATTTCTGGCAAAACAATTCCTTCTTTTTTTAAAGGATATATCACATCACATTTTTTCATTGTGGTAAAATACACATAACATAGTAAGTTCATGTGCCACATAACAGTGTTTCAGTCAGGGATAGACCACATATTCAGCCTCGTAAGATTATAATGGAGCTAAAAAAATTCTTATTGCCTAGCAACTCCTGTTATAATGTCATAGCACAATGCATTATTTTATTCACATGTTTGTGGTGATGCCGGTGTAAACAAGCCTACTGTACACAAGTCGTATACAAGTGTAGCACACACAGCCTGTAATCCCAGCACTTTGGGAAGCTGAGGTGGGAGGATCACTTGAGTCCAGGAGTTAGAGACCAGTCTGAGCAACATAGTAAGACCTCGTCTCCAAAAAAAAAAAAAAAAAAAAAAAAAAAAAAAAAATTAGCTGGGCATGATGTTGTGCACCTGTAGTCCTAGCTACTTGGGAGGCTGAGGTGGGAGGATTGCTTGACTGTCAGAGGCAGAGGCTGCAGTGAGCTATGATCGTGCCTCTGCACTCCAGCCTGGGTGACAGAATCAGACCTGTCTCAAAAAAAAAAAAAGTACAGCAGATACAATTATGTACAGTACTTAATACTTGATAATGATAATGATAAAAACTGACTACGTTACTGGTTTGTGTATTTACTATACTATACATTTAATCATTATTTTAGAGTGTACTCCTACTTGTTAAAAAGGCAGATCCTCCAGGCAGGTCCTTCAGGAGGGATTCCAGAAGAAGGCAGTGTTATCATAGGAGATGACAGCTATATGTGTGTTGTTGCCCCTGAAAACCTACCAGAGGGACAAGATGTAGAGGAGGAAGACAGTGATATTGATGATCCTGCCCTTGTGTAGGCCAGGATAATGTGTGTGTGCTTTGTCTTAGTTTTTAACAAAAAATTTTAAAAATAAAAAAATGTTTAAAATAGAGAAATCTTATAGGATAAGGATATAAAGAAAAAATCTTTATATACAGCTGTTACAATGTGTTTGTATTTTAAGCTAAGTGTTATTACAAAACAATCAAAGAGTTTTTTTAAATTAAAAAGTTTGTAAAGTAAAAATGTTACAGTAAGCTAAGGTTAATTTATTGTTGAAGAAATAAATTTTATTTATTTATTTATTTATTTTTATTTTATTTTTTGAGATGGAGTCTTTCTATGTCACCCAGGCTGGAGTGCAGTGGTGCGATCTCAGCTCACTGTAACCTCCATTTCCCAGCTTCAAGCAATTCTCGTGCCTCAGCCTTCCGAGTATCTGGGACCACAGGCACATGCCACCATGCCTGGCTAATTTTTTTTTTTTTTTTTTTTGTAGAGATGAGGTTTCACCATGTTGGCCAGGCTGGTCTCGAACTCCTGACCTCAAGCAATTAGCCTGCCTCAGCCTCCCAAAGTGCTGAGATAACAGGTGTGAGCCACCGTGCCTGGCCGAATGAAGAAAAATTTTAAAATAAATTTGGTGTAGCCAAAGTGTATAGTGTTTACACTTTTTGTCCTAGGCCTTCACTTTCATTCATCACTCACTCAGTGACTTACCCAGACAACTAGTCCTGCAAGCTCCATTCATGGTAAGTGCCCTATAGAGCTGTACTATTTTTTACCTTTTATACCATATTTTGGCTGTACCTTTTCTATGTTTAGATGTGTTTAGATACACAAATACTTACCATTGTGTTACAGTTGCCTGCAGTATTCAGTATGATCACATGCTATACACATTTGGAGCCCAGGAGCAACAGGGAGTACCATGTAGCCTGGGTGTGTAGTAGGCACCACCATCTAAGTCTAAGTACACTCTGTGATGTTCACACAATGACAAAATCACCTAACGACGAATCTCTCAGAATGTGTCTCCATTATTAAGCAATGCATGACTGTATTTATTATTTTAACCCATTTGTAAATGTATAATTCAGTGCCATTAAATATATTCACAAGGCTGTGCACCCATCATCATTATCTATCCCCAAAACTTTCTCATTATCCGCAACATAAACTCTGTACCCACTAAACAGTAACTTCCCTTTCCTCCTTCTCCCCAGCCCCTGGTAACCTCTATTCCACTTTCTGTGTCTGTGAATTTGCCTATTCTAGGAATCTCACATAAGTAGAATCATATAATATCTGTTCTTCTGTGTCTGGTTTATTTTACTGAGCGTGATGTTTTCATGGTCCATCTATGTTGTATCATACATCAAGATTTTATTCACTTTTATGGCCAAATAGTATTCCATTGTGCATACATACCACATTTTGTTTATCCATCTACTGATAGACACAGGTTATTTCCACCTTTTACCTATTGTGAATAACTCTGCTGTGAGCATTGGTGGACAAGTATCTGTTTGAATCCCTGCTTTCAATTCTTTGGCTATATACCTAGGAGTGGAATTGCTGGGTCATATGGTAATTCTATGTTTAACTGTTTGAGGATCTGCCACCTGTTTTCTACAGCGGCTGCACCATTTTACATTCTCACTGGCAACACACAAGGTTCCAGTTTCTCCACATTCTCACCAATACTTGTTATTTTCTTTTTTGAAAAAACATATTATTATAGCCATACTAGTAAGTATGAAATGGTATCTCATTGTGGTTTTGATTTGCATTTCTCTAATGACTAATGATGTTGAGCATCTTTTCATGTGTTTATTGGTCATTTGTATTATCTTCTTTGAAAAACTGTCTATTCAAGTTCTTTTGCCCATTTTTGAATTGAATTGTTTGTCTTCTTTATTGTTGAGAGTGTTTTCTTTTTTAAAAAGCTGTCTAGGGCTGGGCATAGTGGCTGACGCCTGTAACCCCAGCACTTTGGGAGGCCGAGGCAGGTGGATCACCTGAGGTCAGGAGTTCAAGACTAGCCTGGCCAACATGTCTCTACTAAAAACACAAAAAGTAGCCAGGCATGGTGGCAGGCACCTGTAATCCCAGCTACTCAGGAGACTGAAGCAGGAGAATTGCTTGAACCTGGGAGGCGGAGATTGGAGTGAGCCGAGATTGTGCCATTGCACTTCAGCCTGGGTGACAGAAAGCGACTCCTTCTAAAACAAACAAAAAAAAAAGGTGTCTAGGAAATACAAAAATATAAAATATAGAAATAACCTGTGGTCACTGCATGCTTGGTGAGAACCCACGATCCAGTATGGAAATTTTCTGTAGGCTATTGAGTTCCCAAATATATACATCAATTTTCTCTATATTCTTTTCATTTATCGAAGTGTTGGGATTTTCTTAGATCCCAGAGAATCCTCTCATCAAGATAGTTAAACCTGGACCTTCCAGGCAGCTGCCTACGTTCAAATCTGTACATGGCATTAAAACATCACAGCACCGCGGGGCACAGTGGCTCACACCTGTAATCCCAGCACTCTGGGAGGCCGAGGCGGGCGGATCACTTGGGGTCAGGAGTTCGAGATCAGCCTGACCAATATGGCAAAACCCTGTCTCTACTAAAAATACAAAAATTAGCCAGGCGTGGTAGCGGGCTCCTGTAGTCCCAGCTACTCGGGAGACTGAGGTAGGAGAATCACATGAGCCTAGGAGGCGGAGGTAGCAGTGAGCCGAAATCGTGCCACTGCACTCCAGCCTGGGAGACAGAGGGAGACCCCATCTAAAAAAAAAAAAGGCAGTGGGGTGGGGAGGAAATGTGGACACAGACATGCACAGAGGAAGAAGGCCCCGTGAAGATGAAGGCAGAGATTGGAGTGAGGCATCTACAAGCCGAGGAATGCCAAAGATCGCCAGCAACCACCAGAAGCTAGGACAGTCATGGAACAGATTCTCCCCAACAGCCCAGAGAAGAAATCCACAACCCCGCCAACACCCTGATGGTGGATTTCTAGCCTCCAGAACTATGAGACCATAAATTTCTACTGTTTATGCCATCCAGTTTGTGGTACTTTGTTAAGGCAGCCCTGGCAAACCAACATAGTTCTCTTCCTTCAGAAACAGAACTGGAGTGGTATAGTGGAGTTGTTTGGAATGGAAATTAAAAAAAAAAAAATTCCTGGTAGTATGTGGAAGTTGTTTGTGGTAATAGAACAGCTCTGTGTGTTGATTGTAGTGGTGGTTACACAAACCTATACGTGGAACAAAAGTGCACAGAACTATACACACACATTCCAAGGAGTGCAGGTTTAAAAAATGGTGAAAACTGAATAAGGTCTATCTCTAGTTAATAGAAATATGCTAATGTCAACCTCTTGGCTTCGATATTATATTACAGCTATATAAGATGTCACGTTGGACTGGGCAGGGTGGCTCACGCTGGTAATCCTAGCACTTTGGGAGGCAGAGGTGGGCAGATTACCTGAGCCCAGGAGTTCAAGACCAACTAGGGGCACATAGTGAGACCCCGTATGTATAAAAAATTTAAAAATTAGCTGGGCATGGTGACATGTGCCTGTAGCCCCAGCTACTCAGGAGGCTGAGGTGGGAGGATTGCTTGAACCAGGAGGTTAAGGCTGCAGTGAGCTGTGATCACACCATCACCCTCCAGCCTGGGTGACAGAATGAGACTCTGGTTTAAAAAAAATTTTTTTTTAATTAATAAAAAATAAAATGCCACCTTTAGGGGAAGCTGGCTGAAGAGTACACAGAATTATGTTACTGTTTTTGCGAATTCTTGAGTCTGAAATTATTTCAAAACACAAAGTTTTGAAAAAAATTAATAAACAGCAACACCCCCGACCAAAGCTGTCTTCCTGAGTATTTTTGCACTACTTGTATGCAAGCTGCGCACCAACAGAGACACCAGCCCTGAAGTCGGCCAGCTCACAGCTACAGTCAGTGAAATTCTGAAACCGCATAATGCTAAGCACAGTGTGACTATCAGGAACAAGTGCTGCATTTTGGCCAGGCATGGTGGCTCACACCTATAATCCCAGCACTTCGGGAGGCCAAGGCCGTTGGATCACTTGAGGTCAGGAGCTTGAGATCACCCCTGGCCAACATGGTGAAACTCCGTCTCTACTAAAAATACAAATATTAGCCAGGCATGGTGGCATGCATCTACAATCCCAGCTACTCGGGAGGCTGAGGCAGGAGAATTGCTTGAACCCGGGAGGCGGAGGTTGCAGTGAGCCGAGATCGTGCCACCTCACTCCAGCCTGGGCGACAGAACGAGACTCCATCTAAAAAAAAAAAACTGAAAAGAGGACAAGAACAGAAAGGTAAGAAACATTAAGCTGCATTTTTTTTCAGAACACTGTCACAACTTCATCCAGAAGTATATTTAGTAAGAAAATTAGCCTGTGATTACAATTTGTATTTCTAGAAAATCAGCGTTTTCCATATCCTATTAAATACAAGCTAAGCAATTTAAAAAAAAAAAACTGATTTGAAGGGAAGTCAAATTATTGTCATACTTGGAGCACTTTCATGTCTCTAAACCCAGCTCTACAGGTAAGACTTTCTAAGCAACATGTCTTTAATAAAACAAATTGAATGTGGTGCAAAGGCAAGTGAGGGTCAAATTGCAGAGAGAGCCCAATTCCTCTTGGCTCTGTCACCCCACCGCTATCTCCTACCTCCTCTTTGCTTGCTGGCTTTCTCCTTTTCCCACCCCTCTATTTTCCTATTCATCGTGTCATGGAGAAATGCTTGCAAAGGGTCAATTCCACCCAGCATGGTTCCGGTGGAGATATGAATCACCATCAGCAGCAACTACAAGAAGTGGCTAAAAATTATAGGATGTGTTTCTTAAAGGGAGTTACAGAAATAGAATATGTCACAACCATCCTGAAGATTCAGACTTGATCAACACTTGAAGGGAATGAAGCCCCAACTCCTGGGGCTGTGTCTTTGGTCAAAGGTAACCATTATCCTGGGACGATTTACTCCAGTGTCTCCACTGAAAACAGGTTCCTCTCTGTCAGATGGAGAGATGAAATTCTTCCATTTCCAAAGAAGGTAATTATTATGAATACTTTTATCCAACAAAATGATTTTGTGTCTCACCTCCTGGGTCTGGAAGCTGCACGGGCTGCCTCATGGGGTAGATGTTTCAGCGGGGAGAAACCTCTCACCTGTACTCTGTTGCTTTCAGGCTTGGTGCTTTGTTTCTTGGGAGCCTTTAATGAAAACAGGTTCATTGGGATTTTAACATAAATAAATTTATTTTCCTTCTGAATAAATTTATCAAGCAATTCTCCTGCCTCAGCCTCCCAAGTAGCTGGGACTATAGGCACATGCCACCACACCTGGCTAATTTTTGTATTTTTAGTAGAGACAGGGTTTCACCATATTGGTCAGGCTGGTCTTGAACTCCTAACCTCAGGCAATCCACCCACCTCAGCCTCCCAAACTGCTGGGATTTCAGGTGTGAGCCACTGCACCTGGCTAGCATTTATTCTTAAAGGGATAAGAGAGAAACTTTTGAGACTTTCTGGAAAGGCTTAAGTTCAGTTCCGCCATTGTACCTTGGCTTCTCTTTGAGAAGGGAGACTTAAAGCAGCCACAACCTGATGGCTTCTTAGGTGTAGGTGCCAGGATTCTCTTTGGCTTATGTGCCTTTGGGTATTGCAATTTATCTTCACATCCCCTGACATAGCTGTCTCATTAGTTGGAACATAGAAGTAACACTCTTTCTTTGTAGGCAGATCTGGCCCAGTCTCAAACTTGGTAGTAGCTTTTGTATCCTGCATGAGGACATTGGTGATAAGAAAAGATGCAATTCAGAATGTCATTCGTGCACATTGTAGTTGAAGACAGCTCCAAGTGTCTTGGGTCAACTGTACTCTCTGTGCCTCTCTTTAGTTTTACAGAAGTTGAACTCTCTGCGTTGGGTTCTCTTTCCCTTTGTTATTTAAGTTACATTTGATTCTTCCTTCCATCTTCATTTTACAACAGCTCCTTCCCTTGAGTAATCCACCTCACACTTTCTCTTCACTGCATCTTACGCCTCCATCTAAGGAAAGCAGGAACTATGACATGCAGCACTGTTGGTTGTGTTCTGAAAGGACCCAGTCCTGGAATAGAAATGAGACCTCTCTTATGCTTGATGTTAGAAAGTCATTGTCCCTCGGGCTTTCACCAAGGACCCATGGAACAAGTGCAGATGACTCTGGCCAGGGCCCCTTCTGTGATACCTTCCATTCTGGTCTGGAAGTCAAAACAACTCAGGAGATTATAAAGACAGCCCAAAATTGGCTTCTCTGGGTTCAAAGTAAAAATTGAAAAAAGCCCAAATTAAGCAAAACAGTTCTTGCTTTTGGTAGACAGAAGCAGAAAACTTGGATTTGTGCCTCATTCAAGGAAACTGGCACTCACCTGGCTGAGTCAAATACTAAACATGATCCATCTGCCCACTCCCCAGTCTCCTAGTAGCACTTGTACTTATTCAATAGAAGAAGAAATTTCAAGGCTTAATTAGTGCAGATGAAGAAGTGTTAACAGTGGTTAATGTACCCAACCAACAGTAAAAATTTTATTAAACATACTTCACACACATGCAGTTTCTATTACCTACTATAGTTAAGACTACTACCTAGCATTAGTAAGTGTGGGACTGCAGAGGTAGTTCAATAACAGATATTACCTTTATTCTGTTTTTAGTCAAAGCTGATGATATTCATTCATTCAACAAATATGCATTGAGTGCCTACCAGGTGCTAGGTACTGTGTTACATACTGAGAATAAGCACTGAAAAGATAGATCCCTGCTGTCCTGGAGTGATACGTGCTGTTGACCATGAAAAGTGGTTAGTACAAGCAAGATAAAAAAAGGAAAAGGTAAATTTTCAAAAGAAAAACGCTCACTGCCTTTCAATTTTAAAATAGCCTTCTGAGACCATGGGGTCCAGTGGTCATCCATTCTGTGCAAACAACTGTAACCTCACTCATCTTTTTGAAACACTCTTTTTCACTGGTCAGTTGAAGGTCAGGCTTGAAGAGCTTTTTTGGTTTTTTATTTTTCTGGTTGCCTCATTCTGTCTTTTAAACCATGACAGAAAAGGATTAATAGCCAGGAGAGCAGAGAGCCTGACAACTCAATTCCATCACCCATGAGTCCTTACTGAGCTGCCACCTGGACAGAGCCCAGTGCTAGATGCTCTTGCTAATAATATGTGGCTGTGTCTTCTCCCTGCAGGACCTTGGCACACACAAGACTTGACAGGAAACTGCTCCAGAGCCCATGGTGGGTGTGGGATTAGGGCCTGAGATGAGACTTCACGTGTGAATCTTTGTGGGGAGCAAGGAAAAAAGAGGCAAATATGAGTCTAAGGTTAATTACTTTCCAGAGAGTTCACACTTTGAGCAACATTGTGGAGAAGGGCTGGCTGGTGACCATGTGAAGGTTAATGGCACTATTATATACTCAAAGAGTCTATATTGTTCTATGACAATTAACAGTAAAGGGATGGACTTCTTTTTAATAATAACATAATTGATCATAACCACTCTTCTGGTGCACAGAGACAGGGCAGTAAAAACGGGGGCATTATTAGAAGACACAAACACACACACACACACACACACACACCCCAAGCACTTTGAAAGGAGACTCACTCCACTATCTTCAGCCTCTCAGATGATCATGGCATCAGTTAAAATTGGGAGAGCTTAATTATTCTTCCGGTTATTGGGTGATATGGTTTGGCTCTGTGTCCCCACCCAAATCTCATGTTAAATTGTAATTCCCAATGTTGTGGGAGGGACCTGCTGGGAGGTGATTTGATAATGGGAGTGGATTTCCCCTTTGCTGTTCTCATGATAGTGAGTGAGCTCTCATGAGATCTGGTTATTTGAAAATGTGTCACACTGTCCCATTTGCTCCCTCTGTCCTGCTGCCATGTGAAGACATCCTTGCTTCCCCTTCACCTTCCACCATGATTGTAAATTTCCCGAGGCCTCCCCAGCCATGCTGCCTGTACAGCCCGTAGAACTGTGAGTCAATTAAACCTCTTTTCTTTATAAACTACCCAGTCTCGGGTAGTTCCTTATAGCAATGTGAGAATGGACTAATGCATTGGGTGAAACTCATTTGAAGATACCAAAATGCTAAAGCTTAGCATGGAGAGAGTTTTAAGGTTTCCTTAGAGTGAGTTTTTTTTTTTTTTTTTTTTTTTTTGAGGTGGAGTCTTGCTCTGTTGCCCAGACTAGAGTGCAGTGGCACAATCTTGGCTCACAGTAAGCTCCGCCTCCCGGGTTCATGCCATTCTCCTGCCTCAGCCTCCCGAGTAGATGGGACTACAGGCGACTGCCACCACACCCAGCTAATTTTTTTTTGTATTTTTAGTAGAGGAGGGGTTTCACCATATTAGCCAGGATGGTTTCAATCTCCTGACCTCGTGATCCGCCCGCCTCGGTCTCTCAAAGTGCTGGGATTACAGGCGTGAGCCACTGCGCCCAGCCTTAGAGTGAGACTTTTAAGGCAACGTATATTTCTTAATTGGACCCATTGGGAAAAGGTCAACCAGGCACACTTGAAAACTGTGTCTGTCTTACTCTGTCCCTAGCATGCAGCATGTGCTCTGTGAGTACCTGCTAAATGAAGACTCTTCAAATCCCAGAAAGGTGGGCAAGGCTGCTTCTCCCTCACCCTGGGGGCAAGACAAGAGCAGAGACAGGAAACTGACTATTGGTTGAAGCCTCAGTTTTCTTTCCTTTAAAATGAGGCTATTACCCCAGTTTTGAGAATTACAAGGGACAATAACTGAAAATTTGTTTAATTATTAAAGGGATTATAGATGTAAGAAATTATTTTTACTAGTTTAAACACCATTTAAATGTTTCACCTTATTAAGGGTAAGAGTACAATGCTTTAAAAGGAGATGTTCTCAGTCTGGAATATTTGTATTATACAAGTGACTCTTAGTTCACCCAGGTCGTGTAAATGGGGTTTATGGAGAAAAGTGCAGAAGAGTTTTCAGTGTCACTATTGATTTCAGTTTGCCCAGGACTAAGAAGTTTCCCTGAGTGTTTTCAGTGCTAAAGCCAGAACAGACATGGAAAAACCAGGATGAGTTGTTCACCTGTTCCTGTTCAACTCTCTTAATTCCATTAGCTCCAAGTTTAGTTTTCTTATTTCTTACAGAGTGTTAATAAACCTATGAAAATAAAGACAATATCCTTGAGTAACGTTGGATATTGAATGAGTGGCAGAAAATCTGTCCCTGTGGTCCTTGGTGAGACATTAGGGGTACCAAGGGAGCAGAAGAAAAAAAATATTCTCTTTCATTCTGTTTCTCCTCCCAGCCTCCTGTTACCCATCTTTCAGAAGACCTGTGAGTTGAACAATGCACACTCAACACTGGCCAACTGAAATCAGTCACTGTGTGACTCCCAGGCTTCTCCAACCACAGATATGCAAGAATAATGTTTTCAAAGTGTCAGTGGAGAGCATAAGTTCTACTGAGCACAAACTTGGGAGGCAAGTAATCAAGGCATTTACCTGATGAATGAAGAGGGGGAAGAAGGCATTATCATTTCAAATACATCTAGCACATTCCCATTAAGCCACGGAACTTGCAGTTATTAATCACCAAAATAAATGCACCTTGCCCTTAGGCAAGTGCAGCCTTGCACAAGAGAAACCACCAATACAGCGCTTTTTTTCATGAAATTATCAAAAATGAAATGAATTTGAAAGAATATCCTAGGTGAATTAGACATTCAACTACTTAACAAGAAGAGGTTTTGCTGGGACCCTCGTTTATTATTTTGAGAAGTTAAGTCAGTTCCTGCCAATAATTCAGTAGCATTTACGTCTCCATTATTTCACAGGCAGGAGATTCCATGGCTAATGGCCAGTCCCTATTGTATCTTGAGTTTGGCATTGGAAATGGTTATGAGAGCTTCCCACTGAGCCCAGAGTCAAGTTAGAGATCTCCTGTGCAGAAAGGAGTGGGCATTCCATTATTCTGCAATATAGCAGAGTAAAATAAGTAGGATTTCATTTAGGCTGTGTGTTTTTTGTTTTTTGTTTTTTAGATTAGGTTAAATGGCCAAGATGCTAAAAGCATCCTATCTTGTACAAATTGAGTGCCTCTGTCTGCTGATTCTGACCATGCTGGCTGCATATTCTGAAAAGCTTTTGATAAGCATCTTAAGTGTAGACAGACATCTCATGTGTCTTGCTAAGCACAGGCACGTTTTCATATCGAAAAGGTGCTGCACCTTTTGAAAGTCACCCTCTTCCTTCAGGGGTACTTTATAAGCAATACAGAGAGTTTTAAACTAAACTCTAAATTCGAGATTCAAACATTAGTCCCCAGTTTTAGGGGAAAAAATTGTTTAGAGGACAAGCCAGGACATCAATATTTCAAAGTGTACCCCCCAGAAAGATACCTGTTCTCAAAACAGGGAAAGCTCATTTCACAGTTTAAAGAAAACAAAGAAAAGAAAAGGCACAAAATGAAAAAAGAAAAAGTAGTCTGGGTCTACTGTCTGTCCATCCACCCATCTGCATTCTGGCCTTGCCCTGCCTGGACTGTCCTCCTCTCCCTTCAAGGCTGGAGGGAAGGTCCCTCTGGCAAGAGAATATCCTCTTCCACCCACTGGCTGATGCTCAAAATTCTACTATTAGGACATAATCACTTTAGTTTCAGCTTTGATCCCTGTTAAAATGCAAATACCTCTGGGTGGGGTAATACTTAAACTGTTATCAGCCCTTTACAGTCCACCGAGGAGGAAGGAGCTGGGCAAATTTCACTAAGCTTTGGAGGGCAGATCTGGAGGCCGAAGAGCCACAGAGGGTGACGTGTGGGCACCCAAGGAAGATCCAAGGGCCAGAAAACAAACAGCTTCTCCCATGTGCCAAAACATGGCCAGACCTGAAAACAGGAATCTTATTTTGTCTGAATGGGACAGCATACATTTATGTAGAAATCCGTCCACCTAAGAATCTAAGAAAAGCATTAGCTGAACAATGGGACAAGCTATCATTCTACTGAAAGATAATTCAAATGTTGGGGCTTGTTCTGCAATAAAATATAATGGCTAATCCTCAGGGTTCAGCCTTTCTGTTCTAACTTTAACTAAGGAAAAAAGTTTAGCCTTGTTAAAGCTATTATCTGTTCCTAAATTGCATAGTATATAAAATGTAAATGTGATCACACCACTCTTAAATTATTATAACAATACGCCATTCTGTTTTCTTCCCCTTGACATTTACAAAATTCATTTGGAAGAGTGGGATCTACCTCACAGAGATTAGTGATAAATCATGTATTTTTAATGAATATCAATAGGAGAAACCCCATGACATAGCCCACCATCTAATTTGATTAAACTGTGCTTAAGGCAACACTACCTCTCTGGCTAGGGAATAGCTCCATAATGACTTTGTGAGCATTATTGCAGGCTGTTTTAATGATTTAATGAACTGCCTCTATATTTAGTTCAATAGCCTTAAAATGATTAGTGTTTAAGAAAAATTAGCTCACTTTGATTTGATTCTATTTGATGGTAAGTTTAAATAACCTAACCCTTCAAAACACAGTGGAAAAAAAAATCCTACAATCCCAGCCAGCTAACTGCTAGAAAACATTATGACCATCATTAATAACCATTCATTTATGTTTAGCTACAGTATCCAGCCTGACATGCTCATCCGAGGAGCTGGGCTGTAGCAACAAGGGCTAATGCTGCATTTCATCTTCCCTTTCTACGACTAGGAAGGGGAGGGAGAGGAGAGGAGATGGGAGAAGCAAGACAGAGCCTTCGATTTCATATGTTGGGCTATAAGGAATTTTCTCTAGTTCAGGTCTAAAGTGGGCATCTGTCTACATTTGGGAGAAGCTCTAGGTTTCTAGAAGAGAAGGAGGGGAAAATTGGTGTGAGGTTTTGAGCCAACCTCTCCTGCTGTGATGCAGGCAGTCAGCATGGTTAGGTTTGAGCAGTGTGGTCAGGAAGCTCCCTGGGACACCCGGATGAGAGTCAGGGAGGCTTTCTGCAAAGAAGACTGAGGCAGATGGCTTTTCACCAGGGAAAGTGATCTGAGAGTTGGTGTGATACTGCAGGGACCAAAGCCAGCTCCTTACTCCAAAAGAAAGAAGGTCACAGCACACACACACAGAAGTACATTCTGCAATATCCTCGTGGGTGACCGCTGCTTGTGCACACCCCAAAACATGGAAAAGAATGTGCACTGGGGACCCCAGTACTGCGCTTCATCTGAAACCATCTAGGCCAGTCATCTTCTGTGCAGACCACAATGTTACGAAACCATTATCAGAAGAAAGAGACAAACTGGGAGGTCTGTTTAACTTTGAACTTTAGAATAATAATAGGTAACATTTATTAAGCACTTACCAAATGCCAGGCACTGTTTACTCTTTATGTAAACCCAAGAGGTAGATACAATGATTATCCCCATTTTCAGCAAAGAAGCCAGAGGTCAGAAAGACTAAGAAGCTTGCCTAAGGGCACACAGCAGAGTGTAGGGAGGGGACAGGCTTGCACCCAAGTCTGCTTGACTTCCGATTCTTACCTACTCCATCCTGTTGTCTTTCATTTCGCCATCTGTGCCATGTGACGTGCTGAGTGTATTCTGAGTTAGAAACAGGGAAAGACTTAAAGAAAATGGATGTCAGAGGAAGGTGGGTGAGTATCCAATGAATAATTCACTAAATGAGGCCACTCACCCCAGCCTTCATTACTCAGAGCTGTCGCTGTGGATTCTTGGGCCTTGGGGGCAAGAATGCAATCCACTAACCATTACTACTCCTTGTCTTTGGGAAGGGAGAGGAAATATTTCTAGATGAGCCATTGTCATCTAATGAAAAAGCCCTGTATTTCTTGGCATGTGTTGGGTACTCCCAAGACACCTTCCTCTTTTCTCTCTCTCTCTGTTAATGTCCACCCCTCCTCCACTCTCCTAACCTGCCTCTTCCCACACTCTGATGTGTGCACACAGATCCACACAATGTGCTCACACATGCGACACAGGTGCACATGCACACATACACAGGCATACTGTTCAGTCCTATTTCATGGACATTTACTGAGTTCATAGTGTGGGGCAAGTACTATGCTGATATGGTTTGGCTCTGTGTCCCCACCCAAATCTCATCTTGAATTGTACTCCCATAATTCCCACATGTTGTGGGAGGGATTTGGTGGGAGATAATTGAATCATGGGGGCAGTTTCCCCCATACTATTCTCGTGGTGTGAATTAGTCTCGTGAGATCTGATGGTTTTACCAGGGGTTTCCACTTTTGCATCTTCCTCATTCTCTCTTTGCCTGCTGCCATCCATGTAAGATGGAACTTTCTCCTCCTTGCCTTCCATCATGATTATGAGGCTTCCCTAGCCGTGTGGAACTGTGAGTCCAATTAAACCTCTTTCTTTTGTAAATTGCCCAGTCTCGGGCAATTGTGTCTTTGTCAGCAGCGTGAAAACGGACTAATACATATGCCAACGTGGGAAACAGAGATGAATGAAAAAGGGTCTCTGTCCATGGCTCTGTACTTGAAGGAGGGCTCAGTCTCCTAAGGGGGAGGGAGTGGTTCAAAAATCATGCCCACCATCTCATGGCCATAACTCCCTCTTGGTCTAATCCCAGACAACCCAACACTTTTTCAGAGTCCTTTTTGCAAAGGTGTCAACCTCCTTTGTTTTGTTGTTTGTTTGTTTCTTTTTGTGACAGGGTCTCACTCTGTTGCCCAGGCTGGAGTGCAGTGGTGTGATCTTGGTTTACTGGAACCTCTGCCTCTCAAGCTCAAGGGATCCTGCCACCTCAGCCTCCTGAGTAGCTGTGACTACAGGGGCCACCACCATGCCCGGCTAATTATTTTTTTGTATTCTTTTGTAGCGATGGGGTTTCGCCTTGTTGCCCAGGCTGGAACCTCCCTTCTGATGTCACCTTCCCCAGTGCCTCAGAGCCACTCTTTGTCTTTCCCACCCTTACTTTAGACTTTTGTCTTCCTTCCCCATCCCCTCACCAAAAACAAAAGAAAACAAAACAAAACAAAACAAAATCCTGAACCGAACCCACAACTCATTTTCATGAGGCCAATTATTCTGACACACTCATCCTAGACTTACACATAAATAACTGAGAATAACTTTAGTAGCTTTTCTCCTCCCAGAGAGGCTATGAGCAACTATTTTATACTATTTAAGAGAACCAAGCCATTTGTGTGGACATTTCCTGATTGTGGAGCCGTGAATTCTTGTGCAGGGCAGGAAATGTAAATGAATGAAGTAAGCTACATGAGAACTGACCAACTAGACCAACAAGTTCCATCTAGAAGGGGTAGCACCACTCAGCGACAGCCCATGGCTGCCAATCAGTGCTCCCAGAGCACCCCAGCTTTCAAGGAAAATACAGCATTCTGATTTTTATTCAAAATATTCTAATTTTTTTAAGTTGGCTCAGTAAAAAATAAAATAAAATGCCATACAGGCTAAACAAATACAGTCCACAGCTGCCAGTTTGCAACCTCTGCCCCACCATTACACAAGTGGCATTGACAGACCAGCAATGTGATGGCTTATAGAGCAGGAGTCTCCAGTGCCAAGGTCACGGCTCCCCATGGGAGGGATGCTCTGCACAGGCTTGCTTTCTTATTTTGGAACAGGGTCCCCCTCTGTTATCCAGGCTGGAGTGCAACAGTGTGATCACCGCTCACTGCAGCCTTGTCAACTTCCTGGACTCAAGTGATCCTCCTGCCTCAGCCTCACGAGTAGCTGGGACTATAGGCATGTGCCACCATGCCTGGCTAATTGTTTTTTGTATTGTTTTGTTTTGTTTTTGAGATGGGGTCTCGCTCTGTCGCCCAGTCTGGAGTGCAGTGGTATAATCTCGGCTCACTGCAACCTCCACCTCCTGGGTTCAAGGAATTCTCCTCCCTCAGTCTACCAAGTAGCTGGGATTACAGGCTCCTGCCACCACACCCAGCTAATTTTTGTATTTTTAGTAGAGACAGGGTTTCACCATGCTAGCCAGGCTGGTCTCAAACTCCTGACCTCAGGTGATCCGCTCACCTCGGTCTCCTAAAGTGCTGGGTCTACAGGCGTGAGCCACTGCACCCAGCCGTATTTATTATTTATAAAGACGGGGTCTCACCCTGTTGCCCAGGCTGGTCTCCAACTCCTGGACTCAAGCAATCCTCCAGCCTCAGCCTCCCAACATGCTGGAATTGCAGGTGTAAGCCACTGGGCCCGACTGCACAGGCTTTCAAGAACGGCAGCCCATGCCTGTAGTCCTAGCACTTTGGGAGGCCAAGGCAGGTGGATCTCTTGAAGCCACGAGTTCAAGACCAGCCTGACCAACATGGTAAAACCCCATCTCTACTAAAAATACAAAAGTTAGCCGGGTATGGGGGCCACATGCCTGTAGTCCCAGCTACTCTGGAGGCTAAGGCATGAGATCACTTGAACCCAGGAGGCAGAGGTTGCTGCAGTGAGCCACGATCACACCACTGCACTCTAGGGGCAACAGAGCATGACTCTGTCTCAAAAAAAAATAAAAATTAAAAATAAAGAACAGTGCTAAAATAAGCACACAGCAACACATGTGTAAGCATATATCATGTGCGTGCATGCACGTATTTGGGTGTGGAAAGGGGTAGGTTGGGGGAGTGGATGAAGGGTGGTCATTAACAGAGAGACAGAGAGAAGAGGCTGACATGTGCCTCTTGAGGTGAACCTAGAAGACCCTAGATGTTGCTGCTAATAACTTTCCTGTAAGCCACCCAAATCTCCAAATATGTAATTCTTGATGGAAAGAAAAAAAGAAGCTCCTGGCTATGCATATGCAATATCCTCCAATTGGAATTAAAAATTACTTGACCTACATTTAGATCTTCTGACTCTGTTTTTGAGCACTGTGTTCTTGAAACAGCTGCTGCTGATTCAGAATTCTGACCCTACTTGTTATTTGCTTCTGCTGTGCCTCTGAGAGCATTCTGTAATCACAAATCCAGTTGTTTTAACAGAAAATATGAAGTTTTATGCAGAAGACAGGTTTTAAAATTTAGAAAGCTTTATGGGAAAGTGGCAGACTGTGATTTTCAAAGAGCGGGGAATCCCATAAATTTTCCACTTTAAATTCCGTCGTCTCCTGGCGAGTGGAAAACTTACCCTAAAAACTGGGGTAAAGAGATGGATCAGCGGTTTTGGACCCAAAATGGAAAATCTCAACAGGTTTCCTGTATGTGCAAAGCCACTTGAAATTGAGTATGTGTCAACAGAGATTTAATTAACTCCCAGCCAGGACCTATTGGAAATGATCCCAGAAAGTTGGGACAAAGGAGAAGGTGTTAATTTCTCAGCAGGAGAGAAAGTGCCTTTTAACTGCATTGGATTATGGCTTAGGGCCTGGTGATAGAGCCACGGTGCATTTTCAGATGATTCATTTCAAGTGGGCTGAAAACAAGTGGCAATAAAAATCAACAAGTCAGTCCCTGCCGGTAAGGCCAGAAGATGCAGGACGGGGTCCGGCAGTCAACCCCACTCACATTATTCACTTATTCCATGCACAGGTAGTCCCAGAATCTCTGATTCCAGGAAGGACAACAGGAAAGGGTCCTCAAGAATTTAAAATCCAGGTTACTCTGTAAGAGTTAAACCAGTTTTTAAAAATGAAAAATGACACACTTATATGATTACCCTTTTGTAGGAGAAAGCCAAGAGACTGGGAAGTTTAGGAGCTTCAAACCCCAATTGATAATGGCAGCCCCTAAACCGCGATCCTCCCTCGCATCCTCAGAAAGCCATACAGATCCACAAGGACAGCAAGTAAACCACACATAAGCCAGGACTTCAGCATACTGGGATGAATACTGTGAATTTCAAATTACCTCTAAGTAATAGATATTGATTGATAAATGATAGAATAGATAGATAGATAGATAGATAGATAGACAGAAGCAAACATCAGTTGAACCGATTGAAGTAATCAGAGTATAATCTTGGAGAAGCAGAACTGGATGTGATCATAATTGAGTAAGCAGACACAAAATCAATTATGTAGTACACTGTTAGGAGAAAGTCTGGAACATAGAAGGGAAACTCTAAGGAGTGGGAAGCTGACCCTGTTTAGTCATTGGTGTTCAAGGGGAGGAGGTGTTGAAGTCAGGGGATTGTGAACCTCCTACTCCCTGGAGAAATGGACTTTGTTGTTGAGTAGGAATGACTCACGAAGTCACATGGTAGGCAAGATTGAACCCTTTTCCTAAGAGTCCACTTATCCACACCAGAGTTCCAGGCTCACCAACCAATCTTCCCTAGACAAACCTGGCTTCCCAATCATGCAGGTACCCAGAAGGGGCTAGGCAGGAAGTATGAACATTTCAGTGATCAGAAAGCAGTTCCCCACTCTAAACAATAAGCTGACATCAGGCTGCTATGTATGCAGCAGTCTTCTGTGAGCTTGATTGATGTGGGTCGGCCTCCCCAAGTCCAATCAGCTACAATGACATGGCAAAGGGCTAGACCCAAGACAACTGTACGTTTACCAACAAATTACCTTTTGTTAGGTAGTAACTCTGACCCAATCTATACCCCCTTTTGTACCTAAAATGCTTTCTGTGTGCCCAGACCTGTTCTAGGAGCTTGAAGGCAATAAAATAAGATCCTGCCAGTCGACTCAGAAGAATAAAACTTGACATGCAAAACCATTAGAGGACAATATACAGTAATAAGTAATTGAGTATTAGGTAGGGCTTATCAGACAGTATTTGCATGAAAGCTGAAAGAGAAGCACATCCCTTGGGGACTAGAGCTGTGATACTAGTAATCATAATATGTTTAATTTTATCACACTTCATCATCAATAAAGCAATTACACATATCTGATCTAATTTAATTCTCTCACTAACTAGTTGAAGCAAGTGCTATCATTCCCTCATTACAAAAAACCTGAAGACCAGAGAGCTTCAGTTACTTGGTCCAAGTCTTATAGCTAGCTAAAAGTCAAGCCACATCTCCTGATTCCAAAGTCAATGCTCCTACAATACCCAGCTGAGAACAGGAAAGTAAACGAGTGGATATTAAGGATCTTTAGTGAGCGGAGAAAGACATGATACCTGACATCAGGGGAGGCTTCCTGGAGGAAACAAGATTTGGGGGAGAGCCTGCAGGTGAGTGGGCGTTACAGAGAAGGAAGAGAACATATCCTGAGCAAGGTCAGACTCTCCCCCCGAGATGTCCTGAGGTGTCTCTGGGTCACACCCTTGCAAATCAAGACTAAAACATCAGTCTACGCCAGAGCTGGATCCAGAGCCTGGGGTTTGTAACATTGAAGAAAAAGAATACAAATCCCCTCAGGCTCCCTGGAATAGGTCTTACAAATCTTTAGCATCACATAAACCCTTCTTTGGTCATCACTCTGATATTCATAAGCCCCCAGATCCTATTCAGAACCCATCTGCTGATCAGCTTCCAAAACCAGGAAAGGCTCCTGCCCTTCCCTGGGACCTGATTTATAGAAAGGATCTGTATTAGTTTGGATTAGACTCAGCTGCCAGTGACAACAATAACAGCAACACCAAAACAGTAGCATAGATGAAAGAGAAGGTTATTTTTCCCAATATAAATGTAGACCGTTTAGGGTTTATATGGTAACTAGTGATCAAGATAAAAGAGACTCACCCTCCTTCTATCTTGTTGCTCCATTATTCTTAATACACAGCTTCTATCTCATGGTCCAACATGGCTGCTCAAGTCCAGCCATCATCTGTCTTCCAGCCAACATAAAAAAAGTAATTTCTGGAATGCGTGCATACTTTTCTCTTTAAGGACACTTCCTTGGAGTTACACACACTTCTTATGCTTGCAACCTATTGGTTAGAATTTATGAGATGGCCACACCACACTGCAAGGGAGACTGAGAATAAATATGGTCTTTATTCTGGATAGCCATGTAACTAGCAAAACATCAAGGGTTCTATTACTAAGGAAGAGGAGGAAATGTATGGTAAGAAACTACTTACCACAGAACTCAAGTTCCTTTGAGGAAGACTGTGGAACTCCCAGTGAAGTCACTAGAAATGGACATGGTAATGATTTTACAACCTGGAGGCAAGATCACAACCAGGCAAGAAGCAGTCTATTTCATTCACCCTATTTCAAGGCCGAATGAAAACCACCAGGGAGGAATACTGAGCATGTGCAGCTCTCACAGCCATTGGTATACTCAGCGGCCTTTGGAGGACTTAGCTCGGGTTCCTTGGGCAAACTTGGGTTTAACTCCCAGCTCCACCAGTCACGAAATACATGACATCAAGCAAGTTACTGAACTGCTACATTATCCAAAACTCTTCTGGTTGCAAGTGATAGAGGCCAATTCAAATTAGCTTACATTAAAAAGGGAATTTACTTGTCCCCCGACCCAGAAGTTTTAGAGGTTGTCCAGCTTTAGGCATGTCTGAATCCAACCACATGGCTCAGTCTCAGTCTTGGACTCTGCTTCTCTCTGGGACTGGCATCATTCCCAGGCAGGTTCTCTTTTCAAATGTTAGCAAGCCCACCAGCAGAGCTTATCATCTCCTTACTTAGCAACTCCAAAAGAAGGAGAGCCCCTTTCTAATTATCCCGACCAAAGACCCAAAGTCAACTCTGGTCCAGCAGAGGTGATTTATACATCTTTGAGCCAATCATGGTGTCTCTGACTGGCCTGGAGCTGGGTGGGGCAGGCCTACCTTAATCACAAGGGGGGACGAGAGTGGTTCTCCAAAGGAAACTGAGGATGCTATTAGAAGAACGGGGAGAGTTATGCTGGTTAGGCAGAAGGAACATGTCTTTGTCCATTTTGTGTTACTATAACAATACATGAGGCTAGGTGATTCATAAAGAAAAGAGGTTTATGTAGCTCATGGTTCTGCAGGCCGGGAAGTACAAGAAGCATAGCACCAGCATGGCTTGGCTTCTGGTGAGGGCTTTCATGCTGCACCACAATATGACAAAAGGTGGTGGGGGAAGTGGGCTCATGGGAAGAGGCAAAACCCGAGAGGTGCACTGGCTTTATAACAACCCACTCTCGTGGGAACATTCCCTCCAGAACTAGTCCAGCCTCCAAAGAGCGAGAACAGCTCCAAGCCATTCGTGAGGGATCCGTCCCCACAATCCAAACACCTCCCACTAGGCCCCACCTCCCAACACCACCACCTCAGGGATCAAACGTCAACATGATTTTTGGTGGGGACAAACTCAAACCATAACACAACAGAAGCTTATTTTTTTCATCCCTTAGTATAGTACTTACTTCATCAGACAATTATGAGAATGGAATGAGATACCACGCATGAACACATTTAGCATAGTGCCAGGCACATCACAGGAGCCTTGCAGGTACATGTGACTGGTTATAAGGGGCTATAACAGAGTGGGGAACCAGCACAAAAACTTCAGAGCAGAATGCCAGTAAAGTGTGTGGCCCAGAGCAGAGGCAGCGCGGAGAAGAGGGACAAACTGAAGTGTGTGGCAGGACAGAGGAGAGAAGTTCCAGAACAAGCGTGTGGCAGAGTCCCTGGAACAGGCCAAGCAGCTATAGCAGGTCAGAGTGAGACCTGGTGGGGAGACAGCCTAGGGGACAGGGGGTGAGGATGGCAATGTCAGGCAGGGACCTGGCAGGAATCACAACCCATGCAGAAGCATCTGACTGAAGAGTTTAGTGAACTATTCGGTTGGCGCAATTACTTTTGCACCAACCTAATACTTGCAGATGACTTACAGAGGCATGGTCAAGGTTAAGTGAACTCCTGCAAGGTGTGTGGGTCCCAGAGACCAGCAAGAGGGGGCCACAGTTTTTTTCATCCCCCAGGCTGAGGGGGCCAGGGGAGAAATTGTATTGCTGGAAGCCAGTGACATCTGGAGTCCCTGCATGAGGAGGGGCCGCCCAGCAGGAGCTAAAGTCACGGAAGGACATAGCCCCTGCCAGGCCCAGGCTCTTTCTCACCCATCTCAACCTCCTGCTGGTGCCTCCTCTTGGCCAACCCAGAGCACGAAGGAGCTGCATGATGCACTCTGCAGAGGTTGGCCTCCCAGGGCACAGAGCAAGCAGAGAAGGCAGACAGAGATCTGGAGGGCAAGTGGAATACCCAGCCAACCCAGCATCGACGGCTCCTGGGGACCCTAACTTTCTGGAATCTTCTGCCCCTAATATGGAGCTGCAGAGAAAGACGTGGTGGTGATCTTTCCTCCTACTCAAAATCTCCCAGCAGTGGGAGAGAGGCATGGCTTCCAGAGGGTCAAGAAGGCAGGAACTCCAAGCAGACTGTAATTTCTCATTGGCAAATACACTCCAGAAAACTGTCCCTGCCTACCCCAGCATGGCCAGCTCACCTTACAATTGCCCTCTCCTCATGGGCTCTACCCTAAGCCCTGAGTCAATGAGACCACGGTGGGCAGCGGGGGTGGGAGTTGCAGGGCCCAGGGTAGTCATGTCGTGTTTCTGGAGAAAGCCTCTGAGGACCTGCATGCCTGCAGAGCTGTGCCCCCGACCCTCGTCTCCCATCTCCTACACCTAGTCCACAAGGTTGGGCTTCTGTTTCCACCCCTGGTTTGTTCTCTAGTCCCCAGCAGGTGTGGGAAGCTCATCTAAGCTCCAGCCTGTTTGGCCTAACTCTCTGAGACCCCCACTTTCTGGACATGGTCCTGTCCCATTGTACAACAGTGCTTGGTACTTGTTTTTTGTTTTGTTTTGTTGTTTTGAGACGGAGTCTCGCTCTATTACCCAGGCTGGAGGGCAGTGGCGGGATCTCGGCTCACTGCAACCTCCGCCTCCCAGTTCTCCTGCCTCAGCCTCCCAAGTAGAGACAGCATTTCACCATGTTGGTCAGGCTGGTCTCGAACTCCTGACCGCAGGTGATCCACCCACCTCGGCCTCCCAAAGTGCTGGGATTACAGATATAAGCCACCGCACCTGGTACTTGTTTTTTTTTTTTGGAAGAGGCTTTAAGGTAACGGTTTAAAGAACAAACCCTGCAGCCAGTGGCTCCACCACTTACTGTGCACGCTTGGGTAAGTTAGTTGACCTCTCTTCTCCCTAGTTTCCTCATTCATAAAATGGGAACAATAAAAGTACCTGTCTTAGAAATTGATTGTGGTGATTAAATTAATTAATAGCTGGAAAATGCTTAGAACATGCTTCACACATTGTTAGCAACCAATAACTTTTAACTAATGTTATTACATTTTCAATGAATGAAAGTTGAGTTAGTTGTGGCAGCAATGAGGACTGAATTCGGGAAGCTGGTCTTGAATTATGAAGCTCCTCCTCCATGGGTGAAAAAAAATGACCAGTATGTCTTCTCAATTATATTCAACTTGGATTTGAGAGGATCTCTCTGGGAGGTTCGTCCTTTGATGACCCAAAGCCATGCTCCGCGTGCTTTCGTGATTATGCTCATTAACAGGACCAGGAGCAAAGTTATTCTTAGTATGCCTGAAGACAAATCAGAAAGTCCATAAGAACTAAAATTAATCTTCCAAAAGTCTCCATTGGTGATCAGCGTGTATTTGCACAGACTTTTTGAGGGTGATGAAGGCTCAGTATGTGTCGCATGCTCTGCTGAAACCAGCTTTCTGAAGGCTGAGGAATGTCTACAGAACTTGGGGAATTAGTTATTTTAAACCAGTGACAATAAACAATGCCCTCCCTCTCCCTCCTTCCAGGCTCCACCTTGCTGACAGTCCCATGTAGATGTCTCAGTTTTAAGATCAGGGAAGCCAAAGATGGGAGAAATTGAGGCTCCCTCGCCATGTCTTAAAATGTAAAGCAAAGAATGAGACAAATCACCTCTCCTTCAGATCATGGTGAGATTCAATAATTTTATTTATTTATTTAGAGATAGCGTCTCCCTTTGTTGCCCAGGCTGGAGTGCGGTGGCACAATCTCAGCTCACCGCAACCTCCGCCTCCTGGATTCAAGTGATTCTCCTGCCTCAGCCTCCTGAGTAGCTGGGATTACAGCTGTGCGCAACCATGCCTGGCTAATTTTTGTATTTTTAGTAGAGACGGGGTTTCACCATGTCGGCAGGCTGGTCTCAAGCTCCTGACCTCAAGCGATCTGCCCTCCTCAGCCTCCCAAAGTGCTGGGATTACAGATGTGAGCCACGCGCCTGGCCAATAATGATATTTAATTCACATAGACAGTTCACCCTCCAGGGCCCCACCCTCTATTTTTACTTTGAAAGATAAAATAGCAAGGATTTAAATTTGTGAGCAATGTCAGACATGGTGGTGTGCACCTTTGGTCCCAGCTACTTGGAAGGCTGAGGCGGGAGAATCGCTTGAGTCCAGGAGTTCTGGGCTGGAGTGCGGTATGTCAATTGGGTAGCCACACTAAGTTCGGCACCAACATTGCGACCTTCCAGGAGCAGGGGACCACCAGGCTGCCTAACGAGAAGTGAACCAGCCCAGGTTGGAAACAGAGCAGGTCAAAACTCTCATGCAGATCAATACTGGGATCACACTGGTGAGTAGCCACTGCACTCCAGCCTGGGCAACATATGAGATCCCATCTCTATTTAAATAAATAAAGTTGTGGGTATGCTTTGCTGATTCCTCTCTGGTGTCCTCCTGTTCCTCATTTTCAGCCTCCATGCCATCAGCAGCAGTGTAGGGTGCTCCTGAAGAGCCACATCAGGCTCTGAGGGTCTCTCCCACCATTTCCTTCTGTTCCTAGATCTCTAGCACCAGAGCTGATCCTAAAAGTCCCTGCTCATGTTCATCCATCCAACCAGAGGTAAAAGCTGAGTTCTAGAGGTGTTGGATCTGAAAGACACCTCAGATAGCATCTAGAACCATCACTTCAACTTACTGAAAAGGATGCTGCATCCAGAGAAGAGACAGAACTTAGACAAGATTATAGAGCTAGTAACTCTGAGATCCAGAATGTAATTTAGACCTCAAGACTTTCAAGTATGCATGCATGCATTCATTCTTCAACTAGGGTATTTGACAAGCATTTTTGAGTATCTGTGATGTGCCTAGCACTAGATCAGCAAGACAGACAGGGCCTACCCTCCCAGGGGACATAAGGCAGCAAATGGACCATTTCCACATAGATTTATAGCCCAGAGCTCTTTCCCTACACCTCACAGCTGGGATTTGAGCACAGAATCCGACCCTCCACATCTATAGAGGTACATCTGCAATTGAGATGCATATCACTTATAAGAATGATAAGAATAGCATGAAACCACTCACTTTAATCCATGTGACCTGTGATGACAAAAACCAAAATGAAAATGTACACACCAAAGCACCACCCTTCCACAGAATGGTTGTGTGCATAAAGAAAGAGCATGAACTTAGAAATCAGAAAGCCCTGGATTTGAAACTGATCTACTGTTAATAGTTACTAGCCGTGTGATGCTGTGTAAGGGACTTTGCCTCACTGGGCCTGTTTCCTCACCTATAAAAAGGAAGTGATAGTGCCATTTCATAGGGTTATTGCAGGATTAAATGAGGTAATGGACCAATGGATGCAATTCACACAACACAGTCCCTAACACATCACAATGCTCAAAACACATCAGCAACTTTTCTTCCTCTACCACCCCCTCTGCTATAGTTAGCACTGCAGTTCCATTGCTGGCCTCTTTGAGGAAATCATGGGCCAGGTGCAGTGGGAGGCAGAGGCAGGCAAATCTCTTGAGCCCAGGAGTTTGAAACCAGCCTGGGCAACCTGGCGAAACCTCATCTCTATCAAAAATACAAAATTAGCCAGGCATGGTGGGAAGATCGATTGAGCCCAGGAGGTCAAGGCTGCAGTGAACCATGATGACACCAGGCACTCCAGCTTGGGTGACAGAGTGATATCTGTTTGAAAAAAAAAAAAGAGAGAGAGAGAGAAATCATTGCATTTGGAAGACTTAGTAAAATGATTCACTTGAAAGGGTGATATGATTACAAACAAAGCCCCCAACCAGTTTTCCTTTTATTTCCTGGAATTTTTTTTTAAAGCAAATTTCTTTGAACACTTATTAATAAGTGTTAGAGTCTGCCCCCTAGTGGTCATGTCACACAGTGTGTGCTTACGCAGATGACAATTCAGCCCCCAAAACATTTCCCCCATCTGTGTTTGATTAACCTTCGACGGTGCCTCTTGGCCTAGTCACAACAGATTTTTATCTTAACAAAAAAAATTAAACAGGAACAATTGTGACTAAAGTTAACAAGATTGATTGTTTAGCATAGAGGTTAATCTTGGCTGCACATTAAAATCACACACACACACACACACACACACACACATCAATGCCTGGGCTCCACCCTAAGCCAGTTGAATCTGAATGTCTAGGGGAAAGGTCCGAGCATGAAGAGTTTTTAAAGCTCTGCAGGTGATTCTGATGAGTAGCCGGGACTCAGAATCGGAGATTTCAAAACTCTATCAGAACTTGACAAATGACAGCACAGGCCATCCCCTTGTAGGCAACTCTCCCAGAACCCTCTGTGCGCTCTGCAGAGATATTGCCCTTGATCAGAATGGTTTTGGTCCCCTCGGGGGAAGCTGCTTTCAGATCATGTAGCATATATTTTGGAGCATTCTCAATACTGGCAAATTTTTGTCTTTTGACAGTGGATTTGAGTTTGGATAAAAACCTTCAAATGATTCCAAAATCAAGCTCGCTGAATATGCTGGGCCATTTTGCAGGATAAACTGGGTAAGACCATTTTTGGTCAAACACAACATATGGCCAAGGGGATGGATCTGTCTCATGCGCCTCATAATTGACACAAAAAGCAATTCCAAAAGAGGGCCACAAACATTTTTATTAGTAACAGCTGTATTGGAGCCCACATGCTGCTCCCCAAAGCACTGTCATTAAAAGACAATGTTGATCTGGATGTGTGAGGGCTGGCGGGACTATTAAAAATCTGCCTCATTATGTACGGGTCAAACCCGAATTTAGAATTGAAAGGGGGAACAGTGGTGGGAGGGGTCAGAACCGAACAGCCCCTGGGCTTTATGGTCCTCTCTGTTCGTCACCCTACACTGTCAGAATCCAATCTGCCACACCTAAGAGGGACCTCATTCCAGGCTGGCAGAGTGACAGCCAACCCCAGGAGCTGCTGAGGATCTCTGTTCAGGGACACCAGACTTTTCTTCTCAGGAAACTCTGCAACCAGGTGAGATGATTCAATATTGCGTTGTGATTTTTGTTAGTCCTCTAAACCCTCATAATGAAATTCCCTCACATTCTATCAGATAAATCCTAACTGGTGAGAGCACAACACACTGTGAAACGCAAATAGTCAATCATAAATCAACCGGACTTTACTTCCAGCTCCAACATCTTGCAGTTATTTTCTTTCCCAGATGAGATTTTATTTTGCACTCATACCTCCCGAATCTGCTGTGGACATTAACCATTGCACCCCCCTGTCTGGAGTCTTCTGTCTGTAGGATGGAGTTTCCCAATGTGTATTTCAAGGAACACTGTTTGCTTGGTGCAAAAGTAATTACGGTTTTTGCCGTTACTTTTGTGACCACGGTCACTGTTGCTCCCGCCTAATAGTTTCATAGTATCCATTTGTTCATTCGTTTATCCAATAATGATTTGTTGAGCACCTAGTGTGTCCCAGACAGGGGTGGATCCAGGTTTTGTGAGGTCAGAAGCTTATAAAAATTCTGACAGTCCTTTTTAAGGAAAAGAACACAATTTGTGGATAAGAAATTAGGCACAGGGCCTTGGAAGGGGCCTGTGTAACTGAGGGGCCCCCAAAGCTTAAGTTCGATCACTTCATAGCACTTTCGCCTCTGGTTTCAGGCACTGTTCCGGGCTGTGGAGCTATAATTACAGATGAAACAGACAAAGACCTGCCCTTGTGAAGCTGACATTCTAAAGGGATAGAAATGGGAGCTGGAGATCAATAGAACTTAGAAGGTCCATGGTCATAGGTTTGGAAACTAAGGAGCTAAACAAAATTAAACAGGCTTCTTCATGTAAGGGCTTCTCAGAGCCATTCAAATGCTGATGCATTCCATGACTCTGTAAGAGGGGAACTGCAACACATCACTCCCCAAATTTATTTATCATAGAATTCTTCTTTTGTGAGGCATCCCCATGGACAGAATTCTGTGAGGGCCACTTGGGGAAATCCTGCTTTGTCGTGTAGTGAATTGCTTGGCACGTGGACATCATCTGTATGTCATCATCCATGAAACTGGGTCTCCTTCTTGTTTGGGGAAAAGCATTTGGTTTTTGTGCTAAAGAAATAATTTAAATCATTTTTCATTATTGTAGTTTTCTGACTCCTCTCCTACTGTTTTAGGCATTTTGAACACTTATCTCATCTCCTCTGCCTCTAACATTTCAGAATATAAGTCTCAAAATACATGTTTTAAAAGCCTTCCAATCAGGCCCTGGATTTTACATAGCATGGGTTCCTCTGAAAGTAACAAGCATTCACCTTATGAGGGATTTCCAAATTTAGAAATGCAAAATACCACGATACCTTGTGGCTTCAAAACCAGACGTTATTCTTAAGAATCACAGAAGAGTCAGCATTTGGGGTCCTCAATCTGCCTTCACACCTCCCTTTAACCCCTCCAACAGGGCGAGAAGCCTCTTGCGTGGGGCCTTGCTTTCCAGTGGTAAGAATTATATTTGTCTCAGTGCTGGTTTCAGAGACATCTGTCATGGCAGCCCATCCAGCTCTGTTCTCAGGGAGCTAACTTTAGCAGCAGATTCTGCATCTGCTGGCGGAGTTTGACACAGCATATGTTTGCCAAAGCAGCCCTTCCCAATGGCTGACTCTCTCTCGTGTGAGGACATTTAATATATCCTGAGAACTAATCATCCCCCTACTTTCCTAACGTGTAAGCTATTTTTAATTTCATCCAAGTTAACAAGCAGTCCTATCTGGAGCCCATCTTCTGACTTCAAAATAAATAAAAAAGATTTTCTATAACTCAGATTTCTCCTCTGGGCAGGCCAGCAAATTTATCCTCACCTTTCTCCAAATAAAGTCTTTCTTTCATAGGCTCCCTGACTCTCCCATTAACCTTTTAACCACTTGAGGAGATTAAGTACAAGGGAATGACCACTGTAGTGGTCTTCAAATATGTCCACAATTTCTTTAACACTTCTCTCTTCAAAAGGCGGAGTTTCATTACCTTCCCCTCACATGTGAGCTCGACTCAGTGATAAACTTCTAACAAACAGCGAAATGATGTGTTTGACTTCCAAGGCTGGTTTATAAAAAGCACTGTGGCCTCTTTGTTTTTCTCGGATCACTCACTCTGGGGACAGCCAGGTGCCATGTCATAAAGACACTGAGGCAGCTCTATGGAGAGATCCACAAGGTAAGAAACCAACACCTCCTGCCAACAGCCAGGAAGGAGCTAAGGATTTTGCCCACAGCCATGTGAGTGTGCCACCGTGGAAGTATATCCTCCAGCTCCAGTTATCCTTTGGGTGAATGCAGCCCTGACCACATCTTCACTTTGACCTCATAAGAGACTCTGAGACAGAATTGCCCCACTAAAGCCAGGTGCGGTGGCTCACGCCTGTAATCCCAGCACTTTGGGAGGCCAAGGCAGTGGATGACTTGAGGCCAGGAGTTCAAAACCAGCATGGCCAACATGAAATCCTATCTCTACTAAAATACAAAAATTAACCACGCATGGTGGTGTGCACCTGTAGCCCCAGCTGCTTGGGAGGCTGAGGCAGGAGAATTGCTTGAACCCAGGAGGCAGAGGCTGCAGTGAGCCAAGATCCCACCACTGCCCTCTAGCCTGGGTAACAGAGCGAGACTCCGTCTAAAAAAAAAATAAAAAATAAATAAATAAAAATAAAAACTCACAAAATACACTACAAAATAAAAGAATCACCCAACTAAGCTGCTCCTGAATTTCTGACCAACTGTAAGAGATAATAAATGCTTATTATCTTTTAAGCCACTAAGGTTTGAATTCACTTGTCATGCAGAAATAGATAACTAATACAACCATCTTATGGGATCTCATAGGATGGTCCGACTGCACACCCTGCAGCACTTGTCTCATCCATCTGCAGCAGCTGGATTGGATAGGTCTGGAGTGCAATTACTTGAGTAAAGAGAAGGGTGTCCATGGACTTCACCCTGTGGGTAAATTTCAATACTGTCATGAGAGGGGCCTGCTTTCAAGATTCCCAGGCCCCTGGTGGGACGGGAAGGTGGCACCCACAGCACTCCCAGTTTAATCCTGTCTCCTTCCTACACGCCAGGCAGCTGCCCCTGCACATCTTCAGGGGCCCTCTTCATGCCTCCCCAGGCCACCAGCTAAGCTGCTACCATTGCCCGCTGCTTGGCTACTGAGACTACTCCATGGGGCCCTGTCATTGTCACTGGATGCTGAGCTATCTGACAACTGTCCTCTTGTCTGTTTGTATCTCTTAGAGGGGCCCCAGTGCAGTGTTAGGGCTCCATGAACTTTATAGACACAGCCTTCCTTTCTGTGGGGAGGCTGCCACCACGAGGTACCACATACAGGTAGCAGCCAGCATGCCAGAGAAGAACCATCACTCCCTTTTGACCTCCAGAGCCCTATTGCAGAATTTAGCTAGACACACCTAACACTTTTGTTCTTCAGAGTAGATTCTCTCCCAGAGCCAGCAGCCTCCTTCTTCATTGCTTAGTAATCCCACCAGCAGCAGACACAAACAAGCCCACCAAGCATTCCTGTACAAATAAACGAATCCTAGTAATTTATCTTATTTATTTTCCTAAAAAGTTTCTTGGCCCCTATAACAATGAGATGACTCTTTCTCTGAGTGGGGAAGTTCTCAAGTTTTAATCTTAATAGCCCCATTTAAAATTTATTTCTAAGATAAGTATGTACATGTGTATATTGCACGGTGTTGCAGCTAAGCAGTGATTGGTCTCCAGATGGGCCCTTTTTGGAAGGAACTATGGCTATATTTATATATCACCAAAACCTCCAACTTTCAAAATCCTCACAAATGCATTGTGCAGCACACCAGCTCTTCAGGATGCTGGGGTTCTGTGGTCATTGGGAGAAATGCCAGAGTCCAATGTTTCTCTACTATTGGACTTCTCCAGGCCTTTAATATGGAATGTTCATCATGTGGCACCAAAATAAGGGTTTAGATTAGATGTGTAATGTTTCCCAAACTCACTTCATCACAAAGAGCTCATAGAAATAGTATTATATGGAGCATATTTTGTAAAATGCTGGGTGAGACCTGCCCCAATGAAAATGGAATGTAGCAAATTTGCTACCTGTCCCAGATCATTCAGCTTTGATCTGCTTCCAACAAGTCTTAGGAATGTACAGGGGAAATAGTTCCTTAAAGACGTAGATCTGGAATTCAAAGAACCTTTAAACCAAAATAAGCTGGTTAGCCCATTTTCTCCCCAAGGACAGAAAGAATAAGAGTGCTCAGTGGATATCCGTGGGTAGGTACGTCAAATCTGATTTTGCTCTCAGTCATTAAGCTAAGACCAAATGTCCCACTTCAAGCCCCACATTGAAAGCCTGGGATGCCTAGACAGAGAATCATCAGAGCCGAGGCCCCTACCCCAGCCCGCCTTTTCAAAAAGTCCCCGTAAAGACTCTGAAATGAAGGAAGGTGAGAGATGAGGGAGGGGGAGAGAGGGGAAAAAAAAACTTTATTCTTTCAACATTGACCCATTTTGTTCAGGTCTAACAACTCAAAAGCAGCAGAGTCATTGAAACACGATTGTAAAACTATAACACTCCTCAATTACTTCTTGTTGGCCAGACAAGCAAACCTATTATTTGACAATGCATCATGCTCCAAGATAGTAAACTTTATCATACAGAGGTCATGAGAAAAAGACCACAGGTACAGTTTGCTAACCTCCACTAGATAATTTTTCACAGTTATCATCCAAGCACTGTAAAAGCACAAAAGATATGTTATCTTCGGGCTCAGTTTATTATAACGTGTGGGTGAAACTCCCTATAAAACCACTTACTAGGTAACTGTTGCACGTTCTCCTGCACAGAAAGTCAAATCAGTAAAACATCTTTTTGACAGTGTCTTTTTAAGTGTCAGAAATAAAAGGACGTGCTCTTAAAGGAGAGGTAGCACATGATTTATCATCCCCCCTCACTTTCCCACACGTACACAAGAAGATCCCCATCGCCTCTCTGCATGCCAGAGACACTCAAAAGAATCCTTCTCAGTAGTCTCGTTTCTTTTACAGCTGAGTATTTCACGGCAGAATTGTTCCTGGATAAAGCTGCAAGTAACATTAACTCAAGATACTATAGGTGCCAGCCTCTCAAATACTAGTCATGGTATTTTTTTCCCTAGAGTCATAATATTGAATGAGACCCAGGAAATACAAATAAAAAGATGATGGACTTCCCCAGCAAATGCTCTCAAGAGTCACGGATTTAATATTACAGCCTGAGAGAGGTGGTCTAACTATAGCTCAAACCTTGGATTTTTCTAAGATCCTACCTCTCTCCCACAGTAATGGCTTCATGGTCCCTAGGGACAATTCAGGGTGAGGGAGGAAGTCCTGGGTGGTTAAACCGTAGGATACATAATGACATCCCAAGAAGCTCAGGGTTCACAATCCTATCCCCAAAAGGAAAGACAAGTTAAAGAATGTGAGATGGGGAATTCCTGCCAGAATGCAGTTCTCTTTAGAATTCACTTCTTCCAATAGTCCAACAAGTCTAGGAGCTTTTTATCCATTCAAAGCAAAGAAACAGCTTTCTAGACTGGAATACACAAAAGCAGTGATTTTTCAAAGGAAATCAACAATACTTTGGAGGGTTAGTTATGTCTCCCCACAAAAATCTGCTGAATAAATATTGAGGGGTTATTATGATTCCAATACAAAATAGAGGATTTGGAAGAATAAAGAGAAATGGGCATGCGATTGTACAGCATAGTGACTATAGTTAATAGCAATGTATTGTATTCTTGAAAATTGCTAAGACAGTAGATTTTAAGTGTTCTCACCACAAAAAAATGATAAGTATGTGAGGTAATGGATATGTTAATTAGCTCAATTAAGCTATGCCATGGTGTATACATACTTCAAAACAATATATTGTACACAATAAGTAGATAAAATTTTTATTTGTCAATATCTAAAAGTCAAAAATAAAAGCTCCCCAGCCAGGGATAAGAACTACTGGTATAGGTTTGATCTGAGGCAAAATGAATGGGGGGCAGACCCAAACTTAACAAAACAAAACACCTATTCCCAGAGTGGATCTCTTAAGGGTTTGCCAAATTGGTTTCCTACTATTCTTTAGAGCAGTGGTTTCCAAACTTCAGTGTGCATCAGAATCACACACACATACACAAGAAGGGAGGAAGGGAGGGAGGGAGGAAGGGAGAGTTGGAGGGAGGGAGGGAGGGAGGAAGGAAGGAAGGAAAGAAGGAAAGAAGGAAGGAAGGAAAAAAGGGAGGGAGAAAAGAAGCAGGGAAGGAAGGAAAAAAGGGAGGGAGGCAGAAAAGAAGGAAAGAAGGAAGAATGAAAGGAAGGAAGGGAGGGAGGCAGGGAGAAAAAAGGAAAGAATGGAATAGAAAAGAAAAAGAAATAGCCTATGCACTCCCTTTGCTTGTAAAGTTTACAGTTTGGTTGACAAGATAATACTTTTACACAGGGGATAAAGAACAACTAGCAAAATGCTAAACTGGTTGTCTTATAGTTAAAAAGTTTCCTCATTACCGACGTATGCTTGGGGACCAATAAGAGGGTGTACAAATTTTCTTTACCTGGAGCTTAGCTCAGAAGTCAACTCAAGGAACCCAAAATACAACCACAAACCTTTAACAGGTAAGCAAAGCCTCCTTTCCAAATCTTTTTCCCATATCTACCATGTTAAAGGCCTTTGAAATCTTTCTAGTGCATTCTTCATGTATTCAACCTTCAGTCTTTGAATAAACATTGGTGGGGCACTCTCTGTGGTCTAGGTACAAGGTCTTTATTTTATTAAAGACCCAGTCCATGCCTCCCAGGGCCACAGAGATAGCCCTGGGATCCATTCTAGGCCTAGCATCAATCGTCCATTGGGATTTCTAAGACAGACCAAGTGTGTCACAGAAAACTTCCGAAAAGGAAATGGTACCTGAGTTGAAGCATAAAGATTAGTGAGAGTTAGCCATTGGAAATGGGTACAGGAAGAAAAGCCAGCATGCACGAGGGCCAGGAGGATTGGGAAAGCATGGAGTGGCCACAGAGCTGCAAGTCACTTGATTTGCTTAGAGGAGAAGATATCAGAGATTTCAGAAAAAAGAATGGCTACATATCTGGGGAGGCTTTGTGAAGGAAGTGAGTTTTGGAGCTGAGCTTTGGCAAATGGGCAGGATTTCAGTTAAATGAAGTGAGAAGACAGGAAAGGGAGGCGGTGTTCTCCAGTTTCCTACATTGCCTGGCATGAACAGGTGCTCAAAAAACATTATTAAATGTTGAAAAGGTACCAAGGGAATATCAGAAAGCAGAAAATCCAGCTCAAGATATGTTCAGAACAGTGAATAACCTAGTTTGTTGGATGCATAGAATCTTTATGGAGAAGATATGGGAGATAATGTAGGCCAGAACCGAGGCCAGATTAAAGTCTTGACTGTCAGTTAAAGAACATGGGAATAATCTTCTAAGCAATGGAGAGCCATCAATGAATTTTGAGCAGGACAGTGGCAGGACCAAAGTGTGCTAGAGAGATCTTTTGGTAGGATAGAGGAAGGGAGGAATCAAAGTCTAGGGGCCAGTTAACATGCTAACAATAGGCCGGGCTCAGTGGCTCATGCCTGTAATCCTAGCACTTTGGGAAGCCAAGGTGGGCAGATCACTTGAGCTCAGAAGTTTGAGACCAGCCTGAACAACATGGCAAAACCTCATCTCTACAAAAAATAGCCGGGCGTGGTGCCTCGCGCCTATAGTCCCAGCTCCTTGCGGTGTTGAGGCGAGAGGATCACTTGAGCCCAGGAAATCAAGGCTGCAGTGAGCAGAGATCACGCCATTGTACTCCAGCATGGGCAACAGAGCAAAACACCATCTGAAAAACAAAACTGAAATTCAACTTTGTGCTACTTATAAGAGACATACTTAAGAAGAAATGACACAGAACAGTCAAAAATTAAATGAAAAAAAGCAATATCAGATGAACACTAATAAAATGGAAACTGATATGGCAAATTTAATAGCAGAAAGGAAAAAAAAGATGCTAATGATACAACCCAGAGTGACATAATTAGGTACCCAGCTAGGTGGGACCATAAGAAAGAAGGAGACTGTGGACTAACTAGTTACATGTAGAAAGAGGGGACTGCGGAGAGAGGAGTTACAATGCTCTGAAGGTTTTAGGCTCTGTATTCTAGGAATGTCTAAGGCTACATAAAACACCAATCACTAGTGGCTTACAACATCACTATTAGTGGCTTAAAACAACAATCACTATTTTGCTTATACATATGCAATGTGGTTAGGGCTCAGTAGGGAGGGCTCATCTGTGTTCCGTGCAGCACCAGCTGGGGCAACTGACTGAGGCGAGAGGGTCCACTTCCCAGATGGCTCAGTGGCTTGGCTGGCACCTTGGTGTTGGCTGTCTCTAGGAACTAAACTAAGGCTAAAGGGAGGGGACCCTCAGTTTCTCTCCACATGGTCATGTCTGTGGGCCTGGGTTTCCTCGCAGCATGGTGGCTGCATCACAAGGGAAAGTGTGGCAAAAGAGGCAGGCAGAACCTGTGTGTCTTTTATGAGCTGGCCTCAGGAGTCACACAGCATCACTCCACCACACTCGGTTAGTCAAAGTGGTTGCCAAGGCCCACCCAGTTCAAGGAGAAGGGGCGTCGACTTCACTTGTTCATGGGAGAGCAGGAAGGTTCTGGAAGAGCCCATGGGATAGGAAAGACTACGTATGTAATGTAATGGGTTGAACGGACTCCAGACACCACACACACACACACACACACATACACACACACACACACACACACACACACACACACACTTCATGTTACTGGGGACCTCAGAACGTGACCTTATTTGAAAAATGGGTCTTGCAGATGTATTTCAGTTAAGATGAGGTCATACTGCATTAGGATATGCCCTAAATCCAATGACTGGTGTCATAAAAAGAGGATTTGACATGCAGACACAGAGACACACACAGGGAAGAAGGCCATGTGAAGACTGAGGCAGAGACTGGAATGGTGCAGCCACGTGCCAAGGAAAGCCAGAAGTCACCAGAAGCTGGAAGAGGCATGAAAGGCTCCTCCCATAGTGCCTTTGGAGGGAGCATCACCCCCCCCCCCCCAACACTTTGATTTCAGAGTTGGGGCCCCCAGAACAATAAGAAAATACATTTCTGTCATTCTAAGTCACCAAGTTTATGGCAATTTGTTTCAGCAGCCCTAGGAAATTAACACAGCCCTTTTTGGAGAATGCCATCTGCCACGCTGGTTGACTTGAAGATTTGGGAGGATGGTCTTGAAATATAACAGCAGGAAGAGGAGCTGGCCTAGGCGGGCAGGTTCTAATGTCAAGATTAGCTCTGTGGAGTTCGTCGGGCGCCACAAACGCCAGGATCGTGCTGGTGTGAAATGTGAGACTGTTGCTTACAGGACTGGGCTGGGACTAAAGAGGCAGTTTTAAAATCCCGGCCATCGGCAAGAAGCTCCGCACAGAGTCAGACATCCTCTGTGTTGCCACCTCCCGTGGGGGCTGCATCAGGTGACCGCACATGTTTCTACGTTTTAATTATTTATGGTGTACAGTCTAAAGTGGCGTTCAACCAGCCTAATGACTTGGGGTGATTGAATCAAAGAGAAAGGAGAGTGGAGCTGTACATGGATAGTTTCTAATAGACTTCTCTAGAGTGCACAGCTGAAGGGAAGAGCCGCTCCCTCTGCTTCCTAATAGACTAACAAACCTCTCTAAATCTTCTTCGGAGACCCCAAAGGTACCCGCCAGTTGCTCTTTCGTTCGAGAGCCAAAATGAGTACAATAAGTTTTGTGGCTGGCACAGATGAAATTAGGAATTTGTTAGTGGAATGTTCTATACGCTGATTTTCCTGACAACCCTCTCATGGTCGTAGATAGCAGTCCCTGATCAACCGGAGGCCAATTAAAAGAGAGCAGCCGTTTCACTCATCCAAATATTTCCACTTCGCTCAAAATGGATTCCAAACAGTCCTGGGATTCTCAGGGATGCTTTCAATTCCTTTTCCTAGCTAGACCATCTTTTAGATTTTCTGCTTAAAACTCTCACCCTTCCTTGCAAAGCTTAAATGGAAATTAGACCTCAGTTTGGTTACCCACCGCCCCCCAACCCTCCTCCTCTCCACACCCCATGATAGGGTACTTATTAATTTAGATTTCCTGGGAACTCGGGTCCCTCCTGGCCAGGGCTAGTAAAGAAATCCTATTAAAGATAATGAATTTTTTTCCCTAAACTTTTTGGGCTGGTAGTTTTCCTGAAAGGTGTAGAGGGACAGAATTTTCTTTGCAAGGCACAAAGCTGCGACCACTGTGGATAAGTCCTTAGAGAACTCAACATGAGGAGAAGAAGATGGAGAAAGGAATCAGAAGGGAGTGTCCCTGAAGGATGGTGCAGGGGAGGCAAAAAAAAAAGGCAAAGAGGAGGGAGAGAAAGTGGTGAAGGAGAAAGAAAAACACAAAGATGCCTTGCTGCCACAAAACCACGGGCGGTTCCACAAGTGCTCCACAGGTTTTTGGGGTGGGCAACCAGAAAGCTGCACACAGAGCACCTGGGTGAGGTATTATTGGGAGTAGGAGAGGAGGGTCCATGGATTCCAGAAAGGCAGGGAGGGAGCAGACCATAAGCCAGCCCCAGAAAGGACCACTGCAGAGCCCAAAAGAGTTTCTGTCCTCACCTTCCTCCTCCCAAGGAAGGCAAATACCCTAGAAAACTTAGGGTATAGGGAAAGGAAAGGGTTCTCCACCTTTCTATACCAGTCTCTAAATCAAGGCCAATTTTTTATTTCTTGCTGGGGGAAGTGGTTTGCTGGCTAAACTTTGCCACAGCAATTTAAGCCCATAGTTTTTCTAAGTTATAGCAAATAATAAAATTCATAACACAGCTAACATTTAGTATTTAGTGTATACCAAGAATTGCATTAAGCTTCTTTAATTCTCACAAGCTTTCTGTGAGGTTGGTGCTGTTATTGTCATGCCCACTTTTAGGGGACAGAACTAAGACATAGACAGGTTGCAAAATTTGCCCAAAATCACTCAGAGCCAGGATTTGAACTAGGAAGTCCAACAGCAGAGCCAACCCTTTGAACACTTACTCTACTACACCATTGTATGGCCTAGTGTAATAAATAATCAGAGGTGTAACATACTGAATAAAATGAGCTAATTATGAGACTCTTCAATGAGAATGTCCAGACCGGCACATTGTGGAACAGAAGTTACTGTCATTCTAAGCCACCAAGTTTATGGCAATTTGTTTCATTAATAATCCATTTTAAATGGATTATATAATAGCATTTAAAACTGAAAAGACAGGCCGGGTGCGGTGGCTCACACCTGTAATCCCAGCACTTTGGGAGGCTGAGGTGGGTGGATCACAAGGTCAAGAGATCAAGACCATCCTGGCCAACATGGTGAAATCCCATCTCTACTAAAAATACAAAAATTAGCTGAGGCAGGAGAATCGCTTGAACCCAGGAGGCAGAGGTTGCAGTGAGCCGAGATCACACCACTACACTCCAGCCTGGTGACACAGCAAGACTCGGTCTCAAAAAAAAAAAAAACCTGAAAGGACTTTAGCAATCAATTGCCCCAGTTAGGGAAACTGAGGCAACAGGGAGGACTTGCCCAAGGTCACACAACTACTCTGGCAAAGCTGGGTTAGAATTAGAGCCTACTAACTCCTGGCTTGTTGCAGGGATGACTGATGTGTTAATATCACTTGGCTCCTAGAATTGACCAATGACACCATCAGCCCAGAAGACATATATGGAAGCATTCAGGTGTGCCCCCGCAGAGGGAGAGGAGTCTACAAGAAAGGGCTGGTCACAGAGGCTTGCAGAGCTATACTGCAGAGACAGCATCTTTGTTTTACCCTCACCTTCTGTGAATGTAGACCCCAAATCCCAGATCCGTCATTGGGAACACAGAGGGAAAGAAGCTGCTGATGAGCTGACCCTCCAGGGGCTGGAAAGTTTATCTGCACAAACGGGAAAGGAATTGGAGCTGCAAAGAGAGCTGAGCTGCATGAGGGCTTCTTATTTGTGTTAACAAAATGATCAAACCTTTCCTTGGATCCCTTTATGGCAGATTAAGAAGGCTTTGGGGGATCCTGGCATACCTGTCACTGAGCATTTGCATTTCACACTGCAAAAACCCTTTAGATTAATGATCTCCCTATCTGCAAGATATTCTTGTCTTAATAGTCAAGTTATGTGTAATGCCAATCCCACTAAGATTAAAGAGGAAAGAATTTCTGGTACGAAATTTTCTAATGACTGACAAAGACATAAAATCTTGCTGCAATAAATTAACACGTGTCTTTAATATGGACCTGCTGATTTACTCGAGGCAAAATTGCTCTGGAACCACACACCTGGGCATCATCGGGCCCCCCTTAGAAATGGTGGGTTTCATATTTATGCTCAGCTGCAGTGAACCCTGAGGACAACCATCTGGCGCTGCAAGTACCAATCGCCCTGAAGAGGAAAGTGGCATTTCTGTAATGCCGCAATCAGTAATCCTGCCAGCAGGGTGTGGTGGAGAAAGAAAAGGACAACCCCTTAGACCCATCATTACCACGTAGATACCCCACACTCCCCTTTACTGACCTCTAGGCACTAGACATTTTTACCCATTTTGCAGTTATTGCATGTCACGGAAAAGAGTGCCAAATTCTGTGCATGCTCTATTCCATAATGCCTCACAGCACAGCAGGAGGCCCCTAAGCACAAGGACTCTGACCCTACCCTGACTTGGTTCAAATCCCATTTCTGCCACTTATTATTCATGTGGTCTCAAACAATTGACCTCTTTATGCCTTAGCTTCCCCACCTGTTAAAAAATAAAAATAAAAAAAAGCAGTAGCAGCGGGGTGGGTGGATAACCATACCTATATAAGTCACTTAGAATATAGTTCCTGGCAGATAGGAGGACATCAGAGGGCAGGCATAGAACTGGACTCCCTCTTGTTACTAATTTTTCAGCCCAGGCCTGCATGCAGAGAAAGCGATTGACCTCAGTGCTCGCCAATAAGGTAGCGCTGTACGTGAGTGACTTTGAATACTATGAGCTAAACAAGCTGTCCCTCTACTGAGCATTGATTTAAATACTGAACCTAGCAAGGACAATGTGAGGCATTGCTTCACATCACTAATGAGTGAGTCTAGCCACCCGCTTGGCATTAGGATGCCCACAAAACTCGGAGGCTGAATCCTCACCAGACTCCTCTACGCCTCACTGTTTTCTGAGTTCCCCAGTGCTTGGTGGTGTAAGTTCCTGCAGACTCCGGTGTTCCAGAGTTTTGTTCCTTTTTTGGTTCCACCAAGAACTTTCCCTGATACTGAAAGTTTTCAGTAGTTGCAAAAGGACTTCTCTCCATCAGCTTTGTGAATATGGGTTTAACCCGTTCAACTTATAGCGTAAGACAGTGGCCCCCAAAGGCTAGGGTTTCAGATGCTAGGACCTGAAATGCACCCAAAGCCCAAGTCTCCATGTCTGAATTTACACCACCAGTTACCATGACTACAAGTATTTCTGCTTCCTACCCTACCCATTTCCCCCTGCTAGAGTCTGGCTGAACAGGGCACCTCTTCAGGACCAAAGGGCCCTGACATCCCGCTGCCTTCCTCTCACTGTAAAAATGGTAAAAATGTGTGGAGGGAGCCCTTAGCAGCTTGAGATTCGCAAGGTAAAAACGTAGTCCCATCTGTGTAAGATGATGACCAATGAGGCTTTCACCACAGTGCTTCACTGACCTGTCCACAGAACCTCTGGCGGGCAAGAAAGGATGGAGCACGTCTAGGACCGAGCATCCCTTATCAGTTGCCTTCTTATACACAACATCCTGAATGTCTGTCCATTAACAGTGAGTTGGGGCCAGACACGGTGGCTCACACTTGTAATCTCAGCACTTTGGAAGGCCGAGGTAGGCAGATCACTTGAGATCAGGAGTTCGAGACCAGCCTGGCTGATATGGTGATACCCTGTCTCTACTAAAAAAAAAAAAAAAAAGTGAGCTGAGATGGTGCCACTGCACTTCAGCTGGGTGACAGAGTAAGACTCCATCTCAAAAAAAAAAAAAAAAAGAATAAAGAATAAATGTTTAAGTGTGGAAGGGAATGCTGAGCTCCAGGTAAGAATCCAAGCCTGTTGACAACTGATTTCAACTTTGTGAGAGACCCTGAGCAGAGAACCCAGTACACTGTGCCCAGACCTCTAACCTACGGAAACTGTGAGATTACAACAGGGTGTTGTTTTCAGCCACAAAGTTCGTGGTAATTTGTTACATAGCCATAGAAAACTGATACACTCTCCTTGGCGCTTGCTCATATCACACCAGTTTTAAGGTAGGGCCGGCTATAGGTCTGTTTCTGTGTAGCTTGGTCATCTTTAGCCTTTTCCCTCAGATACTTCTCATATGTCTCTCCATTTTCAGCTTTGAATTGTCTTTCTACCAATATGCTCTCAGGTCTTGGCTCATTATCCTGCTTTGAAACAACCGTGAAATCCTCAGTTCATCCAGTGCTCCTCAGCCTCCCATCTGCTGGGACCTGCTAAGTTCTCTGTTTAATAGCCAATATGTTTGGCGTGTCCCCACCCAAATCTCATCTTGAATTGTAGTTCCCATAATGCCCACCTGTTATGGGAGGGACCCAGTGGGAGATAATTGAATCATGGTGGCGGTTTTCCCCAGACTGTTCTCATCGTAGTGAATAAGTCTCACAAGATCTGATGGTTTTATAAGGAGAAACCCCTGTTGCTTGGTTTTCATTTTTTCACCTCTGCCACCAGGTAAGACATGCCTTTTGCCTTCCACTATGATTGTGAGGCCTCCCCAGCCACGTGGAGCTGTGAGTCCATTAAACCTCTTTTGCTTTATAAATTACCCAGTCTCAGGTATGTCTTTATTAGCAGCATGAGAACAGAGTAATACACTAGCCCAGCATCTGCATGCAGCTCAGCACAGCTTTGCTTTTCTCTGCTTGTCTTCATCTACACCATGCTCCCAAGAAGTGCTCTTATGGATTGCCCAAGTCTGGAGATTGCAAAGTTCTCTCAGCTATACCCCTTAAGGATATCAAGGGGCTAGCATGCCTTGGAGTTCCACACAGGGGACGATCATTGGTAGAAATAGGAGCTGGGATTTCTCAATTAAAGTGAGATATGTGAATGACTGACGCCAATCATGAGGACAGTGAAAGTTCTTTAATGAACCAGTGGAATCTACATAATGAGGTTTTACTGTATTTGATTTAAATTGCAGAAACTTTCTCCATGACCCACACAAGTGTGTGATTAGTAGTTTCTAAATGAAAGAATGTGTGAATGAAGGAACCAAACACTTAATCAGCAATAGAATGATAGGCCAGTAAGAATGATACCTAATAAACATCAGCATCCATGGGTCTTTACTTCTTGATGAAATTCACCTATTTAAATACAATTGCCAAAGATATTAGTTGCTGTTTCTACCTAGTTATTTAAATAAAATGGCTTTTAAAAATAGCATTTAATTGAGAGGGAGGACACGCTAACTTCTCTCTGCGAATGCTCATAGAGAGAATAGCTAGCCAGTCCACAAGAGTGTAACTACGCCCCTAGAGGCACAGACACAGACATGGAGGAGGGGAGGAGGGTAAAGCACCCTACAGAAAATAATTGGCCAGCTGAATATTGTCCCTGCAAAATTCCAATCCACAAAGCGATAACGAGCAACTTGAGATTTATTTATAAATATTTTATCATTCTGAAAAATTTGAAACAATCTAAATACTCATCAATACAGGATCCATTAGATAAACTCAGGTACATTTGAATGAAGTAGTACACGGTCATTAAAAATAAGGATCTGTATTTATTGACATGAAAGGATTTTGTGACATATTGTTAAGTAAAAGGAAAGCAAATTAGAAAATGTTATTTACAGAATAAGCATAAGGAAAAAAAGAATAGATGGCTATGTAACAAAAATGCTAACTGTGGCCATCTCTGGAGAGTGGGACTTGTAGGTGGGGTGACCATACATCCTGGTCTGCCAGGTATAGTCTAATTTTAAGAACACTCTGGTTCATTCTGCAAAGTGTTCCTGTTTGTGTGATAAATTATATGGTCACCTTAGCTATTGGTAGTTTTACTTTATTCTTGTATTTTTACATTTTAGCATGTTTTCTTTTTAAAATCAATTAGGTAGGCATAAAAGTAATTGCGGTTTTCGCCATTACTTTTCATCTGCTGTCCAATGTTCTACCTCCGAGCTCTACCCCCTCCTTTTGCCATTACTTTTAATAGCTATTTTCATTTTTGAGGGGAGAGCACTTTATCATTTTCATTTCTCAGTCATTTAAATGGACTGTCTTCCAGGTTAATCCAAAGTATGTGTTTTGGCTAAATTCCATGGTGTCTTCTAAACACCAGGCACTGTGCTAGGTGCAGGGGATACAAGAATAAATTCAGCAGTCCCCGTTCTCCACAGCTGGAGGAGTAAGCACCATAGACCACCACGTGCCAGGCTAATCACTACATGAATTATCTCATTTGACCCTCACGACAACTCTATGAGGTGAGCACTATCATTATTTCCTTTCTATAAGTAACTATTAAAGAGGTTACACTACTTGCTCAAGGTTGCATAGCCAGAATTTAAATCCAAGCTGTCCGCTCATGTCTTAATTTGAGCATGCTGCCAGGGGGTGTAGACAGTGGGGAGTAATAGGTAAATGCAATACCTATTGTATTGTATCACAGAAAGTCCTATGATAAAAGTAGGCAATGAGTGCTATGAGATCACCCAGGCTGGACAGGTCACCCAGCCCAGGAAGGCAGAAGTTGGGGCTCTTGAAGGATGAGCAGAATGAGGATGTAGAGAGTGTGAGTTGGGGGAATGTGCCAGACGGAGGCAATAGAACGATATTGTTGGAGTCTTCAGGGAGTGGCAGGTAATAGGCGTTGGCAACCTGTAAAGTGCAAAGGGGGAACAGGGATACCAGGCTGGCCCATGGAGGGTTTGATGTGCCCACTAGGGAGTCTCGCCTGTGCCCGGGAGACAATGGGCCACTGGCAAAGAATGCCAGAGAGGGTCCTTCTTTTTTTTTAATTTTCAATTTTTTTTTTAATTTGTCATTGAGACAGGGTCTTGCCATGTTGCCCAGGCTGGTCTTGAATTCCTGGGCCCAAGCAATCCTCCTGACTCAGCCTCCCCAAGTGCTAGGATTACAGGTGTGAGCCACCACATCCAACCCTAAACAGGGCCCTTCTACAGCTGATGGTGGAGTCCATATGAAGGAACACTAGAGTGGCTGGACAGATCAGGGAGCCCCTACCACATAATCATAGGAGGATTTACTGTGACAATTCTGCAGCTGAAGTTTCAGGGACCACCACCAGTAGAGGCCCCTTCCAGGGTTTATTTCTAATTTTGTATCCATAGTTTTGTAGCCTTTCTCTTATAAGCCCCCCTCCCAAAACTGGTTAAGCTTCAGGCCCCCCAAATCTAGATCTGCCCCCTGTGAATAGTAATTGTTTTCTTGTGCCAGCTTCCAATTCCCAGCACTGTAGTAAAATTCATCTTCTTTAAATTCCTCTTTTGACTTTAGTTTCTCTTCCTCTTTTTTTTAAATAAATACCTTGTTTTTCTTAATATCCTAATCTATTCTTATCTTCTTGTTTTCATTTTGCCACCTAGTTACATTTGTTACTGTCAAACTTCTGCTGCTTTTCATACCATTTCTCTCTCTCTGCTGCACCTCATAATATTTTAAAGTGTAAATAACAACAGAGTCTGGTGAAATGGAAATAGAATAATGCTGTACAGACCCCATCCATCATGGAGCAGAGCCTTCTGCTGGCAAAGACTTCCCCTGCATGGCCCCCCTACCCCTATTGCTAAACCTCTGACCATCTTCTCCTCTCTCTGGGGTTCTCCCTTCCCCCTTACCTTCTGTCTCCAAATTTTCTGCTAATTTACCTTCCTTTTTTGCTAATTTACCTTACCACTCTTTTGTCTAGCCTCTGACAGGCCTGAGGTCACAGCCCCAGGTCTTTCCTTCAAAGTCAAGCTTTGTCTTCTCAATGTGATGCCCGCTAGGCACTAGCAAATAGGGTGATTACAACAGGGTCCCCAAAACATGGGGCCTTTGGAGAGTACCATGCGATGGGTGTTGAAGAAGGAAGCAGAAGGGGGCAATCGCTATGCGATATGCAGATGTGAGTCAATATGCAGATCTTGCCCCCGAAATCTGCTGCTCAAGCCGACCCTGTTGCTCATGCTCATTGTTGGAGGACACCAGTTCCGTTACTGTCTGTGTCCTTCCCACCCTCCCCAGACCCATACTTTCAGAGCCTTCTGGAAGCATCCTGACTTAAATATTTAACACCTATGACCATGCATCCAACTATGCAACCAATTAGGCATCCTCATCAGCAGATTAGTGAATGAGGTCACCTAACCCATATTTCAGAACATGAACCCCTTGAGGGCAGTAGCTGGTTAGTCCTCTTGGCTCTCTAGTACTGCCTCGCCTGGAACTCAGTAAGTATTTGTTGTATAAATGAAAATCCCCCAAGGAGATAACATGACCTCCAAATGTGCCTTTCACCTTCCTGGCTCACACATGTTGCCCACTTCCTGGATGGTCCTTCCATCTCCCTCTCCCTCTCCATCTCAGCCTTGCACAATGTGCCTTCCTGCTTCCACTGCTCTCTGCTCTCACCAGCTGAAAAAGCAGGGCCAAGAGTGGGAGAGACATGCACAGCATCGCCTAAGTAACAAGTTCTAGGCCACTGAGTCTCCCAGCAGGGTCAAACACGCTTCCATTTCTGAGCGCATTTTTCACCCTCCCAAGTCAAAGCAGCCAAATAAATGGCCACAGGCCCATACTGAGAATGTCAGATCCGTCAATAGCAATTAAGGGTCTCGCTTAAAAACCGGAAGGTTGGTCCACAGAACTGGCAGGATTCTTGCACGGGCTACTGAAGATCAATGTCAGCACATGTATCATGATGCCACATTGGTTGTAGTTAGAAAGATGTGTAAGCAGGGAGGTCTTGGGTCTCGCCCAGGAAAAGTCAGTGGCTAGGCTTTCAAGAGACCTCAGGGCTTGGATTGGCCTTGATGAATATATCACTGTCGAACATCAGATCTTCAACCTTGCAGTATCTGAAATGGACTTGCTCAACAAACCCAGAGATGATCAGACTTTCAATGGTAAACTCCAGCTAACTAAACTCACAAAAGACTGAAATATAAATCAGAATACCAGTTTGTTCTTTTTACATGGGTTATTTCTTTCCAGAAGCCAGAAAGTTTCAATTTCCCAACCCAAGCTCCACCCTTTTCCTGTGTCATGCTGAACTAATAATCTGAAGATTTCTTGGTGCAATAGAAGCAGAGCACAGGGAAATGGAAGGTCTTGAGCCTTATTTTGTCCTCAGCAGAAAATCCTTCTCAAGGGAAAAGAAGCCCCATCTTACTCTTCTCTACAGATACTAATTGACCAAGTTTTCTGGATTCATTTTTTCAGTGATGACCTCCTCCACTACCTACACATTCCTTTTTCTTTTTTGTAACAGCTTGATGGAGCTATAAGTCACATACCATATACTTCACCTATTTAAAGTATACAATTCAATACTTTTCAGTATATTTGCAGAGTTGTGCAGCTACCAGCACAATAAATTTTCAAACATTTTCATCACCTCAAAAAGAAACCCTGTGCCCTTTAGCTATCACCCCCAACTTTTTCCATCCACCTCCTCCCCCACCCCTAACCAACCAGTGATCTACTTTCTGCCCCTATCTATTTGCCTATTCAGGACATTTCATATAAATGCAGTCATATAATATGTGGTCTCTGTGCCTGGCTTCTTTCACTTAACACACTATTTTCAAGGTTCATCCATGTTGTAGCCTGAATCAGGATTTCATTCCTTTCTATAGCCGAATAATATTCCATTCTATATATATGCCGCATTTTGCTTATCCATTCATCAGTTGATAGAAATTTGGGTTGTTTCCACCTTTTACTTTTGGCTATTATGAATAATGCTGCTATACACATTCAGGTACAAGTTTTACATGGACATATGCTTTTATCTCTCAAGTATACTTCTAGGAGTAAAATTGCTGGGTCACATGGCAACTTTATGTTTAACTTTTTGAGGAACTGCCAAACTGTTTTCCAAAGTAGTTGCACCATTTTACATTCCTACCAGCAATGTATGCGGTTCTGATTTCTCCACATCCTTGTCAACACTTGATATTATCTAACTCTCTGATTATAGCCATACTGGGTATAAAATGCTCTCTCATGGTTTTGATTTTCATTTCCCTGATTTTGAGCATCTTTTCATGTGCTTATTGGCCATTTGTACATCTTTGAAGAAATGTCGATTCTGATCATTTTTTAACTGGGTTATTTTCTTTTTATTATTGAGTTGTGATAGTTCTTTATATGCTCTAAATACAAGCCACTTATCAGATATATATTATTTTTCACATGTGTTAATGGCACCGGATAACATATTAAGGCATTGTCTCCTCCCCCTTACCTGTATATTCTTGGTTTAAAACTCAAGTGTTTTTAGACTTTAATATTTCTGGCATTGAACTAAGTTTGTAAACAGTGTGTATGTGTTTCCTGCTCCTCCATACCTGTTATGGTTTGGCTGCATCCCCACCCAAATCTCATCTTGAATGTATTCCCCACAATCCCCACATGTTGTGGGAGAGACCCGGTGGGAGGTAATTGAATCATGGGGATGGTTCCCGCATGCTGTTCTCTTGATAGTGAGTGAGTTCTCATGAGATCTGATGGTTTTATAAGCACCTGGCATTCCCCCTGCTGGAACTTCTTCTTCCTGCCACCCTGTGAAGAAGGTGCCTTTCTTCCCCTTTGCCTTCCACCATGATTCTAAGTTTCCTGAGGCCTTCTCAGCCATGCAGAACTGTGAGTCAATTAAACCTCTTTCCTTTATAAATTACCCAGTCTCAGATATTTTCCTTATAGCAATGTGAGAATGAACTAATATAATACCCAAAAGCTGGAGAGAAGGCAATGGTGTACATTATGATGGTGATGACTTGTTAAAGAGCATCCTGAGGACACTCCCATGTAGTTATGGTATGTAAATAGACAAGAGAAGAACTGACGGGAAGAATAAAAAACTAGAGGAGGCAGCTGGGTATGGTGGCTCACGCCTATAATCCCAGAACTTTGGGAGGCCAAGGCGGGTGGATCACCTGAGGTCAAGAGTTCAAGACGACCATCATGGCCAACATGGTGAAACCCTGTCTCTACTAAAAATACAAAAATTAGCTGGGTGTGGTGGCACACACCTGTAATCCCAGCTTCTCGGGAGGCTGAGGCAGGATAATTGCTTGAACCCAGGAGGCAGAGGCTGCAATGAGCCAAGATCGCACCATTGCACTCCAGCTGGGCAACAAGAGCGAAACTGCGTCTCAAAAAAAAAAAAAAAAAAAAAAAAAAAAAACTAGAGGAGGCAACCACTATCTTTGGATGTGGACTTAGGACTGTTGAAAATGGTTTCTGCAAATATTTCTGAATACATAAAAACAATTAATGCTTTTCTTTGGCAAGCACGAGGAAGCTCCTAACTTAGGTGGCCCACTACCAAGGGTTCACCAAAGAGATCAGTGGCCCTTATCGTCCTAACTGACCAGAAATCAAACCACACGGAGTTAGCAAGTGACTACAGGATATAGGCTTTTTTCAGCATCTTCTTCTGCACTGGAAGAAGACGGAGGGTGCTCTCTGTAAACTCAAGGACAGATCTGCCAGGCCACATTAAAGAGCCATTTTTATAGCACAACTTGGACTTTTATCTTGTTAAGAGTCTTCTGGAAGTAGGTAATAAAACCCCCAGCCCCAACCTGGCTCAGACAGAAAAGGATGGGATAGCTATAACCATACAGAGATGCTGCCGAAACACCTGACCACTAGCCCCTGTGAGGCCTCAGCAATCCTCAGGACAGGGTGACCAGTCTCTATCTTACACTCATAGCCAGGGAGATAGGTCTTCCCATGGGTCAGTAATCATAAGTAATGTTTATTATTTATGATTAAATAACTTGCCCAAGGTCACATAGCTAGGAATTGATGGAGTCAGGACTCAAACCCAAGCATTTTGGCTTCAAAGCCCACACTCTTCACCACTGGCCTTTATTATACTTTGTTCCAGGGTTACAAACTAAGTGCATGAACTACACAACTGCCTAAAAATGCACATGAAGAGGGACTGAGTTGGAATTATAAATGAATTTATATTAGTCCTCATTTTAGATTCTTAAATCTGAGCAGGGCTGGGTGCAGTGGCTCATACCTATAATCCCAGCAGTCTGGGAGGCCAAGGCAGGAGGATCACTTGAGGTCAGGAATTCGAGACCAGCCTGACCAACATGGCGAAACCCTGTCTCTACCAAAAGTATAAAAAATCAGCCGGGTGTGGTGGCACACTCCTGTAATCCCAGCTACTTGGGAGGCTGAGGCAGGAGAATTGCTTGAACCCGGGAGGCGGAGGTTACAGTAAGCCAAGATCGTGCCATTGCATTCCAGCCTGGGCAACAGAGCAAGACTCCATCTCAAAAAAAAAAAAAAAAAACTGCTGAGCAGGACCTTCAAAATGATCAAGCCCAGTGGTTCTCAAAGTGCAATCCATGCATCCACAGACTCCACTTTGAGACCCCAAGACCTGATGGTACCCAAGACATTTTCAGGGGCATCTGAGAGGTCAAAAGTTACTTCATAATAATACTAAGACATTATTTGGCTTTTTCACTCTGATGACATTTTCACTAATGGTATGAAAACAATGGTGAACAAAATGGCTCATACTTTAGCATGAATCAAAGCAATGGCACCAAACCGTACCAGTGGTCATCATACTCTTTATTACATAGGAGCAGTTAAGAAGAAAACAGCCAGTGTCCCTGAAGAATGTCCTTGATGAAGCAATAAAATTTTTTAATTGTATTAAATCTCAACCCTTGAGTTAACATTTAGTAGGACAAAATGGGGAGAATACATAGAGCATCTGCCGTGTTCCAGGACAAAGATCCTGAGTGAAAGTACTTGTGCAGTTGTTGAGTTGAAAGCCGAACCAGCCATTTTTTTCAGGCAACTTTATTTTTATGTGAAAGAACAACTGACAGTCATTCTTCAGACTAGGGTATGAGGCAGAGATTTTCTCCAAAATAACTAAGTGGACCTGTTCCCTCAAGAAAACAATGGACAGTATTTGTTGCCAATGATAAAACTCAAGCTTTCAAATAAAATCTTGAAGTCTGGAAAAGTTGTCCTTGCCGTAATGAGCTTAACAGCTTCCCAATACTTAGCAACTTTCTGGAGAAGGTTTGTGGTGATAGTAACAAATGTGATTTTTAAATATTTTATATTTGGTATTGTATATATGCTATTGTATAATGGAATGTGTCCACAATTCCAATATTTGCATAACTCCATGAATTAATATTTTCCAAATGATGAACACATAATATTATAAAATCATGAATGGGGACTGGGTGCAGTGGCTCCAGCCTGTAATCCCAGCACTTTGGGAGGCCGAGGTGGGTGGATCATGGGGTCAGGAGATCGAGACCATCCTGGCTAACATGGTGAAACCCTGTCTCTACTAAAAATACAAAAAATTAGCTGGGTGTGGTGGCAAGTGCCTACAGTCCCAGCTACTCGGGAGGTTGAGGCAGGAGAATCGCTTGAGCCCGGGAGACAGAGGTTGCAGTTAGCCGAGATCATGCCATTGCATGCCAGCCTGGGTGACAGAGTGAGACTCCGTCTCAAAAACAACAACAACAAAAAAAAAATCATTAATGGCCAGGCACGCTGGCTCCTGCCTGTAATCCCAGCACTTTGGGAGGCTGAGGTAGGCAGATCACCTGAGGTCAGGAGTTTGAGACCAGCTTGGCCAACATGGTGAAACCCCATCTCTACTAAAAATACAAAAAAATGGCTGGGCATGATGGTGGGTGCCTGTAATCCCAGCTACTTGGGAGGCTGAGGCAGGAGAATCGCTTGAACCTGGGAGGTGGAGGTTGCAGAGACCCAAGATCATGTGATTACACTCCAGCCTGGACAACAAGAACAAAACTCTGTCTCAAAAAAAAAAAAAAAAGTCATGAATGAGTGAAAGATCCATTCAAAGAGTAGGATAGGCTGATGGGTTTCATGGAACAGAGACTGAAAAGTTCATTGATAACATTTCATATTCCACATTCTATAACCTTATTAAATTTTGATGTAGTATCAAATAAGTGCACCCACAATTACACAAAAAAACTATTTGAATTCTTCCTTTCCCAATTTTATTTTATTATTATTATTTTTTTTTTTTTTTGAGATGGAGTTTTGCTCTTGTCACCCAGGCTGGAGTGCAGTGATGCAATCTCGACTCACCACAACTTCCACCTTCTGGGTTCAAGCGATTCTCCTGCCTCAGCTTCCCAAGTGGCTAGGATTACAAGTGCCCACCACCACGCCCAGCTAATTTTTTTTTAGTAGAGATGGGGTTTTGCCATGTTGGCTAGGCTGGTCTCAAACTCCTGACCTCAGGTGATCCACCCACCTTGGCCTCCCAAAGTGCTGGGATTACAGGCATGAGCCACCATGCCCAGTCCCTTTCCCAATTTTATAGCTCTATAAAGCTGGATTTTCTTCATATACTTCAGCAAAACATCTCACAAGAGATTAAAAGCAGAAACAGATACGAGAATCTGGATGCCTTTTACAAAATGAGACATTAAAGATATTTGCAAACATATAAAACAATACCATTCTTCTCAATTTTATTTTTGAAAATAGTTACTTTTTGAAAAAAGTTATTTATATTAACATGTATTGTGGGGTTTTTTCGTTTGTTTGTTTGAGATGGAGTCTCGCTTTGTCACCCAGGATGGAGTGCAGTGGCTCGATCTTGGCTCACTGCAAGTTCCGCCTCCTAGGTTCATGCCATTTTCCTGCCTCAGCCTCCTGAGTAGCTGGGACTACAGGTGCCTGCCACCAGGCCCGGCTAATTTTTTGTATTTTTGGTAGAGACGGGGTTTCACCGCGTTAGCCAGGATGGTCTCTATCTCCTGACCTCGTGATCCGCCCATCTTGGCCTCCCAAAATGCTGGGATTACAGGCATGAGCCACCATGCCCGGCCACATCGTGTTTTTTTAAAAATTAATTAACATTTTTATGTATCCTTTATTGTGTCTAATATGATAAATAACAATGGAATAATTCACATAGATTAAAGCTTCTTTGAGTCTTCAATAATCTTTAAGAGTCCTGAGAACAAAAAGTTTGAGAACTCCTGATCTAGTTCAACATTTACCAAGAGTATTCTGGAAGTTAATGTTTTCTTTCCAAAAAAGGATTCTAAAGCCAAAATAAGTTTGAAAATTCCTTTGTTTAAAAAAATGTTATATATAGGCCAGGCAGGGTGGCTCACACCTGTAATCCCAGAACTTTGGGAGGCCAAGACGAGAGGATCACTTGAAGCCAAGAGTTCGAGACCAACCTGGTCAAGAGAGTGAGACCCCCAGGAGTTCGAGACTAGCAGCGCCAACGTGGCAAAACCATGTCTTTACTAAAAATGCAAAAAAATTAGCCAGGTGTGGTGGCGGGCACCTGTAATCCCAGCTACTCGGGAGGCTGAGGCAGGAGATTCGCTTGAATCTGGGAGGCAGAAGTTACAGTGAGCCAAGATCACGCCACTGCACTCCAGCCTGGGCAACAGAACAAGACTCCATTTCAAAAAAAAAAAAAGAAAAAAGATAGTGAGACCTCATATCATTAAAAAAATGAAGAAGAAGAAAAATGTTATATATATGTGTGTGTGTGTGTGTGTGTTCTATATACACACACACGCAACTGCACTTATTTGCTTCAAGACTCTGAGCCTATTATGTGCTAATGGACATTGTGATGCCCTACTGCGAGATGATGGCATGTAGATTTCCCCAAATGTACCTGACCTTTAGTTCTTCATTCATGGAATACCTATTAACATTTTAAAGACTAGTTTTTCAGCCAGGTGCAGTGGCTCACGCCTGTAATCCCAGCACTTTGGGAGGCCGAGGCAGGCAGATCACGAGGTCATGAGTTCGAGGCCAGCCTGGCCAACATAGTGAAACCCCGTCTCTACAAAAAATACAAAAATTACCCAGGTGTGATGGCACGTGCCTATAGTCCCAGCTATTCGGGAGGCTGAGGCAGGAGAATCGCTTGAACCCGGGAGGCGGAGGTTGCAGGGAGCTGAGATGGTGCCATTGCACTCCAGACTGGGTGACAGAGTGAGACTCCATCTCAAAAAAAAAAAAAAAAAAGACTAGCTTTTCTTGGACTGCATTTTGAGAAATGCTGATCTAGTACTACCTCCTCATTTTGCAGGGGAAACTGAGTCACAGAGAACTCTCAGAGAAATAGCGCCATAAATTATACTACTAATTGGTGGCTATACAGAGACTAGGAGTCAGGTGTTCAGACTGCCAGTCTAGCCGGACATGGTGGTCCCAGCTACTCGGGAGGCTGACGTCAGAGGATTACTTGAGCCTGGGAGGCAGAGGTTGCAGTAAGCCCAGATCAAGCCACTGCACTCCAGCCTGGGTAACAAAGTAAGATCCTATCAAAAAAAAAAAAAAAAAAGAAGGCAATAAGGGAAGGAAGGGAGGGAGGGAACAAAGAGACTATAGGCCGAGCATAGTGGCTCACCCCTGTAATCTCAGCACTTTGGGAGGCCAAGGCAGGCAGATTACCTGAGGTCAGGAGTTCGAGACCAGCCTGGCCAAAATGGCAAAACCCCATCTCTACTAAAAATATAAAAATTTGCCAGGCGTGGTGGGGCATGCCTGTAATCCCAGCTACTCAGGAGGCTGAGGCACAAGGATTGCTTGAACCTGGGAGGTGGAGGTTGGCGTGAGCCAAGATCACGCCACTGCACTCCAGCCTGGGCCACAGAGTGAGACTCTGTCTCAAAACAAAACAAAACAAAAACAGACTGCCAATCTAGCATTCTCTCATTCATTAGAACCTGGAAGCCTCCCCCATCCCCATCCTCACTGAAAGGGATTACAGCCCAAATTTCAGTTTATTTTCACCATCCAGGGCTTCTAATCTGTTACCTTTGAGAGATAATCCTATAAAATGCGGCAGAATGTAGATTCCAAAACCTGCAGAGATTACATTTTATGGGAGGGGAATTATCTCTGTGATCCAATTAACACAGCAAGCGACAGGGGAAAAACATAGGCTTTAGATTAGTGTTGGGGGGAGGAATCAGGACATTCTGCAAGTTAATTCATATTAACAGGTTCAAAAACCTCTGAAGTACATTTATAATTTCCTAAATCCTAATCATTAATCTGCATTGTGAACTGATAGCCTTTGGAAAGAATATTACAACTATGAATCATATGTTTCTTGTTTTGTTTTGTTTGAGACAGTTTCACTCTTGTTGCCCAGGCTGGAGTGCGGTGGCTCCATCTCGGCTCACTGCAATCTCCGCCTAACAGATTCAAGCGATTCTCCTGCCTCAGCCTGCCGAGTAGCTGGGATTACAGGCTCCCGCCACCATGCCCGGCTAATTTTTTTGTAATTTTAGTGGAGACGGAGTTTCATCTCGTTGGCCAGGCTGGTCTCAAACTCCTGACCTCAGGTGATCCACTTGCCTCAGCCTCCCGAAGTGTTGGGATTACAGGCGTGAGCCACCGTGCCCCGCCAAATCAAATGTTTTTAATGTTTGCAATTTTCTTTATGAATGTCCTAGTTTCCTTCGAAAGTTGAGTACATTTCTCCTCTCAAATGATGAGTTTATAATTCACATTTCCCTCTTCATCTTGGCTACCAGGAAGCTTTGAATCAGGTTAAACACACATCAAGATAATCAAATCAACATTTGGCAGGTGATTCCCAAATTCCTAGGTGTGGGAATTTATTTATGTCATATAGATTAGCTAAATAAACCTTCCCCTCTCAGTGGGTCACTTTTGTCATCTGTTGAGCCAAAATGAAATGGTCACTATCAAATTCCCTTTACAATCTTCCCAGGTCTCCAGGCAACTTCCTGTCCAAGTTCATGGTCGTAGCTGCTGAGAATCAAGGTGTCCATCAGACGGTTACTCTGCCTTCCCTTTCAGTATCTCCTATGCTAATATGATCAATAATTATGCAGAGGGCAATAATATTAAACTGCTTTTACCCCCTGAAGGAAATGCTTATGTGCTCAGGATTGCCTGCATTTTCTGAGTATATTCCAAAATCTCTGAAGATTTTATTCATGCAAGTTAAGTGTGACCTTCAACTAAACTCAAATCTATAATTTAAAGTGGCCTCTTTGACTCAAAATCCTCTCCATTTCAATGCCAAATGGATCATCAGCTGCTCTCCAAGTAATACTCGCTCCAGAGGAAGGTTCCAGCTACTGATCGACACACATTTTTGCATTTCTACTCACAGACTTAAGTTCTGCTCTCCAATATGTGACTGTAGCTTAATTGACGGAGGAATGCAAAAAGAGATTTGGAGGCGTCTGACTACTGTCGACTCACTGACTTCCCTCAGAGAATTCTTTCACTTGTCTTTTAAATTTTCCTTTCTTGTCAAAATTGCAGGTGCAGATAAATGCTGGAATCTTATTTCAATCAGAAAGTGCCAAGAACAAGAAAAGATGGAGAATTTTGATTGTCGTTGAGGACAGAGCCTCAAACAGCTGGAGGCCTTCCATTCTCTTTTAGCTTCCATCCATCTAAGAAAAAAAATGCACCAAGGATTTCACTCAATTTGTGCAGAAATATGAGGAAATTCACACTGAAATGAAGAACTGCATTCCCAAAATAGCGTTAACCTAGAACAGCACAGCACTGATGGGGGAATAAGAGACCTTGGATGTGGTGGGTCCAACCTTTGGTAAAAGGTCCAGGGGATGCCCCAGAAGGGATTCCTGTGTGACAGTTAGCTGATGATACATTGGCCTTTCCTTTCAGGGAAGCTTAGAGCCAGCTTAGGGATTCTCACCTCAGCCAGATTTTCTTTCTCCAGACAAATGTGTATTTCAGACAACTTCTAAGTAAATCTGGAAATGATTATGAAAAAGGAAAAATAAAATCCAACAAAAGCCTCTGACTTAGTTATCATTCAGAGTCTGTCCTCCAGGGTGGGTCTAACGATTTGTCCCAGGGTCCACCACAGAGCCTGCCCATGGACTTGCTGTGGTGGGTGTTTTAGGGATTTGAAAGGTTCTGTTTCCATGCTGTCTCCCAACTACTCTGGACCCAGGTCCTCAGCATCAGGGACTGTGTTTGATGGCTTATATATCTCCAGCCTCTGGCCCAACTGCTGGCATATAGTAGATGCTCAATAATGAACTGAAGGCTGGGCACAGTGGCTCACATCTGTAATCCCAGCACTTTGGGAGGCCGAGGCAGGAGGATGGCTTGAGCCCAGGAGCTTGAGACCAGCCTGGGCAACACAGGGAGACCCCATCCCCACACAAAAAAAATTTTTAATTAGCCATGCATGGGGGCCTGTGCCTGTAGTTCCAGCTACCTGGGTGGCTAAGGCAGGAGGATCAAGGCTGCCTCAAGCTGTGATCACACCACTGCACTCCAGCCTGGGTGACAGAGCAAGACCCTGTCTCAAAAAAAAAAAAAAAAAAAAAAAGAGTTGAAACGTAGCTCTTTGGTGAATATTTATTTATGTACAAAAACACTAGAATCGGCCAGGCGTGATGGCTCACACCTGTAATCCCAGCACTTTGGGAGACCGAGGAGGGCAGATCAAGAAGTCAGGAGATTGAGACCATTCTGGCTAACATGGTGAAACCCCATCTCTACTAAAATACAAAAAATTAGCCAGGCGTGGTGGGGGGCACCTGTAGTCCCAGCTACTCAGGAGGCTGAGGCAGGAGAATGGCGTGAACCTGGGAGGCAGAGACTGTAGTGAGCCGAAATCGCGCCACTGCACTCCAGCCTGGGTGACAGAGCGAGACTCTGTCTCAAAAACAAAACAACAACCACCACAAAAAAAACACCAGAATCTGTCCCCAGGCCAGACGTTAATCTTTCCCCATTTCTGGTCCTAATTTCCCCTCTTTCCCAGCTTTAGATATACTCTTAGGCATGTACGGTCTAATACGGTGGCCACCAGCCACGTGTGGCCACTGAGCACTGGAACTGTGGCTAGTCAGAATTGAGATGTGCTGAAATATACACAGAACCTCAAAGAGTTAGTGGAGGGAAAATGGAATATAAACTGTTTCATTAACAATATTAATACTAACTACATGTTGAAATGATTTTGGCTATATTGGGTTAAATAAAATATATTATAAAAATTAATTTCACCCATTTCCTTTTACTTTTTAAAAACGTAGCTTCGGGCCGGGCACAGTGGCTCACATCTATAATCCCAGCACTTTCAGAGGCCAAGGATGGAGGATTGCTTAAGCTCAGCAGTTGGACACCAGCCTGGGCAACAAAGTAAGATGTTGCCTCTACAAAAAACAAAAAATTAGCTGGGCATGGTGGTGCATGCCTGTGGTCCCAGCTGCAAAGGGAGGCTGAGGCAGGGGATTGCTTGAGCTCAGGAGGTCGAGACTGCAGTGAGCCATGATCATGCCACTGCATTCCAGCCTGGACAACAGGGTGAGACCCCACCTCAAAAAAAAAAAAAAAAGCTTCAGCCAGCATGGTGGCTCATGCCTGTAATCCAAGCACTTTGGGAGGCCAAGACAGGAGGATTGCTTGAGGCCAGGAGTTCAAGACCAGCCTTGGCAATGTAGCAAGACTACTTCTCTATACAAAAATAATAATAAACAAAATAAATAAAAATGTATCCTCTAGAAAAGTTTAAATAACCTAAGTACTTTGCATTGTATTTCTACTGGGCTGTGCTGGCTCAGACCTTACCTGGCTCCCATTCAGACCTGGCAGAGTCTACTGTGCCCCCCACTGACTTGACAAGCCTAGTGTCAGACCTGAGGTCCACAAACAGCTCCAGAAAGCCCCAGAAGCAAGTAGCAGAAGGCCACTCCAATCTTGCCGCCAGGCCACACCGTGCTCACGCAGGTCCCCATGCAGGACGTGCTTTGCTGCCCTCTGCTGGCCACGTCCCACTTCCCACAGTCCCCAGGCATTGGCCTCTCCTGCTGCACCCCAGGAGCTGTTCTCGCACTTTTCCTCTGCTTCCCTCTTCCCTCTTGATAGCAGTGTTTTTAAGAGAGAAGGTGGCAAGGAAAAGGGAGACTGCATCTTTTCAAAGGGAAAATGTGTTCTGGAAGAAGCAGTTTCTTTTTTAGATCATTATATATTTACTTCAAAAACGTAAAGGTATCCTGTAGTGTTCTTCACACTTCATTCATGACTTGTATCCTGTGGGGCATCCGTTAAATATACAAATTACCAGGCTTCTCTGCTGCAAATTCTGGGTCAGTAGGTAACAGTTGCAAGCCCAGGAATCTGTGTGTAACAAGCTCCACATTCTTGTCTCCCCTCCCCGGAGGAAGTTTGAGAAATACAGCTAGGAAGCTGTGCATCTTGAATGTGGAGATGCTCAACTGGACACCTGGGACCTTGTTAAATCCTGATTCTGATCCAGTAGGTCCAAGTTGAGGCCTGATAGCCCACACCTGTAACAGGCTTCCAGCTGCTGCTGCTGCTGGTGTTGCTGCTACTGCTGCCTAGGGCCACCCTTTGAGTAGCAGGGTTGTAGTTATTCGGGGTCCACACCCTCAGCTGTAGCCTTAACTAAGCACACCCTTGCTATTTAGAATCACTAAGCACTCTTGCTGCCCACCACTCCCGCCAAGGCTGCTCTAAAGAGCAAATTCGAATGATTTCTTTTGTCTGGAAAAGCAAGGATGCCCCCTTTTGACAGCTCAAAATATTTTCTGTAAAATGCCTGGAGAGGAATAGTAGATGTATTTTCTCCCAAAACAATGTTTTTTAAATCATTATTGGTAAGAAAGAATTCATTTCTCTAATAAACTGTGTAGCCCTGTGTGTTGAAACCATGTAGAGACCCTGGCCATTTACATTACAAATATGATAGGGAGTGACTGAGTGCCACTATCTAAGAGGGTGACCTCTGAAGATCGTCCTGAAGATGAACCACGCAGGGAGAGCTGGGGCTTGGGAAGTGAGAAGTTGCCTTTGAGACCTGTCCGTGGTGTCCAATCTTTAAACTCAAGCTTCTGTCTTTAATTTCCTAACCCTTTCCTGCACTGGTTTCCAGCAAACATTTTTACCTGCTGTCAGATCGAACAGTCCTGCTGGCTCAGGTTGTCACTGCTCCTAGCTGTGCCCTGTGATTCTCTGGAAGTTTGTGGGTAGAGACAGTGGATGGGGAGGGACTCTATTCTATCAGCTTTGGTTAAACTCTGCATTTGAAACTTTCTCTTTTTATTTTTTTATTTATTTTTATTTTATTTATTTATTTTTTTTTGAGGTGGAGCCTCGCTCTTTCACCCAGGCCGGACTGCAGTGGCGCGATCTCGGCTCACTGCAAGCTCCGCCTCCCGGGTTCACGCCATTCTCCTGCCTCAACCCCCCCCGAGTAACTGGGACTACAGGCGCCCGCTACCGCGCCCGGCTAATTTTTTTGTATTTTTAGTAGAGACGGGGTTTCACCATGTTAGCCAGGATGGTCTCGGTCTCCTGACCTCATGATCCGCCCGCCTCGGCCTCCCAAAGTGCTAGGATTACAGGCGTGAGCCACCACACCCGGCCTTTCTCTTTTTAAAGATGAACTTTGGATTTACCCAAGGTTATGCCTTAATTTCCCAAGACATCATGAGACTGCACCATAAACTGTGCAATTTCCAGACACCGATGAAATTGCATTCATGAAACAGAGCCCTTTGGCAGGGGGAATCTTAAATGATCAAAATGTAACATACGCGCGCTAGTGGATAAAAATTATCTGACCATTCTGTTTCTGGCTTAATTTCCAAGAGCTCAGAATATGAGTCTAACTTCTATCTACACAGCTTACATGATGGCAGATTGGTGCTGACGGAGTTGTTTGTTTTCTTTTGTCTTGTTTGAAGGCCAAGGATATAATACATTTTTACAGTTAATACCTTCCCATCCTCACCCCTGAATTTTCAAAATACTCCTTCGATAGTTAGCTATATAGCTGCCATTAAAGTCAAATTTCCTTAGATGAGGAAGTCACTGAATGCCTAATTACACATGCAATGCTGGAAAAAACATTAAGACTGCATTTACATTGCCAGCTTTCTTTTCCCATTACACAACAGAAGATTTATCCTTTCATCTTGTACATGAGCGTTGCTCTTGCAAGCTTGTGATTCCATGTAACATATATTAGTATATCATTCACTATTAGCACCAACCTTGACAATCTGGAAGTTATGCCTCTCTCAATGTTATATATAGTCTTTCTTCTGAGCTAGAAACAAACCAAACCAAAAATAATCACCAAATCCCACATCCTGGCTGTCACTTACCCAGACAGAGTGACATTGCAACATCCCAGGGCCCCACAGATCTCTTGTGAGCTGTGTGGATTCTTGCCATGGGCTGCACCCACATAACTATCAAATGCAGTTCACTGGCAGAAAGCCCATTTAAACCTTTATCCAGTGGTATGCTCGGGGTTTTTTCTGGACAGGTTTCTTCTGCCTGTGGAAATAAGTGAGTGCTCCGTGATCAGTCACTATGCAAGGATCAATCTAGGTCCTGCTGAAAGTGACCCAGGAACACGTGTAATGAATGTGTATGTACATCTGACTATGTTAATTTTCAAACGCTTAGACTTTGAAACATCCATGCAGTTTGAACAGAAGCAAAGCCCAATACCTACATTCTCAAACTCCAAGGTCAGAAAGTAACTAAAGAAAAACTGCAACCTTGAATTGGGCTGCTGCCAAGGCCTCAGGTGTGTGGGTGTCACCTGGTTTTCCCAGATGTCAACAGAGAGACAGGATTTGATAGATAGATAACTTAGTCCGCAACTCTTGGGAACTGCTACTGCAGTGCTTGGACTGCCTACCAATTCACATTGCTAGCAGGTTCCCAATAAACGCAGCTGACAGACTGTTGAGCTGTGAGGCAGGTCTACTGGGGGAACAATTTGCTGAGTGGCCCAGCAAACGTCATCATGTCACACGGAGCCTCAACAACTCATTTGGGGAGTGATCCAACTTCCAACTCTGTGCCTCCCGCGATTCTGCCAGGAGAAACCAAGTCATGACAATTCAGTGCCCTGAGCACTGGCATGAGAGGTCTGGGGCTGCAGACTGGGGCCTGAGAGTTCTCTGCTTCTCATAGCTGCTGTCACACATGGCCCCAGCTTTCACTTCCCAGGCTCCTCATGCGAGTCCTATGATTGTAAGAGTGGGAGTAAGAGCTGAAACCCCAGGAGAGTCTTCCTGGGATTCAAAGAGTAGGATGAATCCTCCTGTTGGGTGGCACCAGCCAGCACTGTCTCCTTAGAGCCTGGGCATCAGCTCATAGCCCCATTACAAGGAGAGATGCCCCAGAGACAGATTCACTAAGTCTCTGGGGTTCTTCTCAGGCCTGGGGCTGTGCCTCCCTAGAGTGACATTCATGACCCCTGCCCAGAAAGCCAATTTGAGGACCGCTATGTCACAAGAGTGACAAAGGCAAATAACATATCAATATTTTTGTGCAAATACAGTTGTTTCAACCTCCTGGACCTCCTGAAAAGGTCTTAGGAACTCCCAGAGGTCTGTGGACCACACTTGGACAATCCCTGACCTGTCTCATGATTCTGCTTTTTTTTTAGAGACGGAGTTTTGCTTTTGTTGCCCAAGCTGGAGTGCAATGGCACGATCTCAGCTCACCGCAATCTCCATCTCCTGGATTCAAGCAATTCTTCTGCCTCAGCCTCCCGAGTAGCTGGGATTACAGGCATGTACCACCACGCCCAGCTATGTTTTTGTATTTTTAGTAGAGATGGGGTTTCTCTATGTTGGTCAGGCTGATCTCGAACTCCTGATCTCATGTGATCCACCTGCCTCGGCCTCCTAAAGTGCTAGGATTACAGGAGTGAGACACCGTGCCCGGCCATGATTCTGCTTTTATCACCTTGTCTCGTGTATTTGTTTGTCTACTTGGCATCCCCGCCACCTGGCTATAAGCCCTATAAAAGCAATCACTTGGCCTTTTTCTCCCTTGTAACCACAGTTTCAGGAGTGAAAAAGAATGCTTGGAACATATATGTGCATAGTAAGTGTTTGTTACATGAATGAGTAAATGACTGGGGTAATGTAGCAAAATAGACCCTCCCAGGACCAGTGCCAGGATTTCTGTGATCACACAGGTAGAACACATTACATAGCACCTGCAGGGTACATGGTCTGCACTCAATACGTGTACTCTCCATCTTGGCTGAGAAGTTGTTTGCTGATGGACTGAATCCTCCCCGTCCTGACAGCCTTCATTGGCCAGGTCATGGCTAGGGATCTGGGTTCTTGCAGCCCCTTCTCAAGGAAAGATCCCAGAGAAATCCTGGCTGCTCCTCAAGCACAAGTACACCCCCGAAATAGGAGTGTGGCAGAAATTCCTCCTTCCCGCAGCTGGTGTCTCTCCAAACTCAACCAATGTCCAAGTCCCCCAGTGCTGACTGCAGTTGGCTCGAGTCAACGGCTGCTTAATCTGAATCTCAGTGTGAAGCCAAGAAGAGAATTAGTAGAGCCAGAAGATGAAGTCATTATGGTCTGGTCTTATACAAACTTTTTCAAAAGTCAGTTTTATGGGCTCTTTCCTGATTGGCATGTCCTTCCCAGTCTACACACATTTTCCCGACAGAATGTCCCTCTGCACTCCCTAAATCTACAATACAGGCAGGTCACCCTTCCTCTGTCTTACCCGCTCTGGCCAATTCACATCAGACAATGGTAAAAATAAAATAAAATACAGGGAGGACATGTACTCTGACCACAGAGCTCTCTTAGTCAGCAGGTGTGAGTTTCGCTTTATAAACTCAGGATACAAAAAAAATGCCACATTGATTTTCTAGGCACTCATCCTGTCTGGTGGGATATTCAGCACCAGGTGTCATGATGACACCTTTTCCTTGGCAATGGCCACGGTGGTCATTACTTGGAGGAGCCTTCTCCAGGGGAATGAAGACCTCAAGGAAGCAGGGAGCTATCTTGTTTGTTTCTTTTCTTTTCTTTTCTTTTCTTTTCCTTTCTTTTCTTTTGTTTTTGAGACAGAGTCTCGCTCTGTCACCCAGGATGGAGCGCAGTGGTGCAATCTCAGCTCACTGCAACCTCCGCCTCCTGGGTTCAAGTGATTCTCCTGCCTCAGCCTCCCTAGTAGCTGGGATTACAGGCACCCGCCACCAAGCTTGGCTAATTTTTGTATTTTTAGTAGAGACGGGGTTTCACCATGTTGGCCAGGCTGATCTCGAACTCCTGACCTCAAGTGATCCATCTGCTTCCGCCTCCCAAACTGCTGGGATTACAGGCGTGAGCCACTGCCCTCGGCCAGAAGCAGGCAGCTATCTAAGGAGATGGAGACTGATGAGGAAAGGAGCTTTTTTTAGGTGGGATAGCCAGAGAAGTCTTCTTTGAGGAGATGGCATTTAAGCAGATATGTGAATGACATAAAGATCTGCAAGGAAAGCATCAGGCAAAAGAAGAAACAAAAAGATCTGAGGAAGGGCAGAGCTGGGCATGTCAAGGAAAAGCACAAAGGCTGGTGTGACCAGAACGGTGTGAGAGTGAGGTTAAGAGGGAGGTGGGGACCTGTCTTTGTTAAGCCTTGTAGGCATTGGTAAGCAGGTGGTTTCATCCAGAGTGTGATGGATGCCATTGGATGGCTGTGAGTAGGGGTGACCTGGCTGACTTGCTCTTTGTAAAGAGCACTCTCAGCCAGGCACGGTGGCTCACGCCTGTGGTCCCAGATACTCAGAAGGCTGAGGCAGGAGGATTGAGCCCAGGAATTTGAGGCTGCAGTGAGCTTTGATTACACCACTGAACTCCAGCCCAGGCAACAGAGTGGGGCTCTGTCTCTAAAATGATAACTAACTAAAGAAATAAATAAATAACACTCTCACTGCTATGCAGAAAATAGACTGCAGGTATGGGAAAGGAGCAAGAATGATGGCAGAAAAATCAGAAGACAGGAGCCATGACAGGAGTCCAGGTAAGAGAGGGGTGACTTGGACTAGGGGAGCAGCAGAGGACATGGTGAGAAGAGAAGTCGTTTGACCAAGATTTGTTTTGGATTTCTTTTTGCTGGTTTTTTTTTTTTGGTGTTTTTTTTTTTTTAATTTTTTAGGGTCTCACTATGTTGCCCAGGCTGATCTTGAACTCCTGGACTCAAATGATCTGCCCACCTCAGCCTCCCAAAGTGCTGGGATTATGGACGTGAGTCATTGTGCCTGACCAACCAAGATATATTTTGGAGATGAAATTGGGTGATGTCATTGGATTAATGTAGGTGTCAGGGGAATAGCCTAACCAAAGATGACCTCTGGGTGTTCAACCCAAGCAAAATCTAGGTGAATCTTCGTAGTATATACTGAAATGGAGAAGACTGAGGTAGGAGATTTGAAGGATAAAAGCAAGTTCTATTTTGAAGAGATCCAATTTGAGACACTTATTCGACTTCCAATGGGAAGTCTCAGATAGATGGGTAAACATATGCAAGTATGAAGCTCCAGGGTGTTGCACAGGTTGGCGCTGAAGATATGTACCATTGCCTATGTTATCCAGGGGGATTGGTTCCAGGACCTCCTGGGGATACCAAAATCCACAGATGCTCAAGTTCCTGATACAAAATGGTGTAGTAGGCCAGGTGCAGTGGCTCATCACACCTGGTAATCCCAGCATTTTGGGAATCCGAGGTGGGAGAATCACTTGAGCCCAGGGGTTGGAGACCGGCCTGGGCAATATGGCGGAACTCCATCTCTGTGAAAAATATAAAAATTAGCCCAGTGTGGTGGCTCACGCCTGTAGTTCCAGCTACTCAGGAGGCTGAGGCAAGAGGATTGCTTAAGCCAGACATGTCAAAGCTGCAGTGAGCCATGATTGCACCACTGTTCTCCACCCTGGGTGACAGTCTCAAAAATAAACAAAAAAATGGTGTAGTATTTGCATATAACCAATGCATATTCTCCTGTGTAGTTTTTTTTTTTTTTTTTTTTTTGAGACAAAGTCTCACTCTGTCACCCAGGCTGGAGTATAGTGGTGCAAATCTCAGCTCACTGCAACCTCCACCTCCCGGGTTCAAGTTATTCTCCGGCCTCAGCCTCCCAAGTAGCTGAGACTATGTCTCAGTATGTCATCATGCCTGGCTAACTTTTGTATTTTTAGTAGAGACAGAGTTTTGCCATGTTGGCCAGGCTGGTCTTGAACGCCTGACCTCAAGCGATCCACCCGCCTCAGCCTCCCAGAGTGCTGGGATTACAGGGATGAGCCACTGCATCTGGCTTGTGTACTTTAAATCATAGCTAAATTACTGATATGGTACCTAATACAATGCAAATGCTATGTAAATAGATGTTATACTTTATCGTTTAATTGTCATTCTTGCTATAATGACAAGAAAAGTCTGTACATGTTCAGTACAAACACATTTTTTTTCTGAATATTTTTGACCCACAGTTGGTTGACTCCATATACGCAGAACCCACAGATATGGACAGCCAATAGATATTGGCAAATAGATGGTATTTAAACCCACATGACCGTATGTCACCCAAGAGAATGTAAGTAGAGAAGAAAGAAAAGAACTGAGCCCAAGGGCACACAACAGTTAGAGGTAAGAAAGAGATGCCAGAAAAAGATACCGAGACTTCAGGAAAGACAGAGAGGGCTTCAAGGAGAAGGGATTAATCGTATCAAATCCTACTGAGAATTTAAGTAAGATAAGGCTTGAGAATTGACCAGTGGATTAGGCAAAGTTTTGACCTTGATAACAACAGTTTCAGCAAAGTGGCAGGGATAAAAGTCTGGCTGAAGTGGGTTCAGAGTATAAAGACCTCTGGGCTGAATGTGGAGGACTGAACAGCTGCATTTCTTTCTTTCCTTCTTTTTTCCAGGAACACGTGCACTTTATTGAATGCCATTGTAGAAAAGTGTGTGAGAATAAAGGGCTGATACAGAACTCAGGCCCAGGGTGCAGGGCCCGCAATGGACAGCGAGTACCTGGGCGCTACTGCTGGCCTTGGAGATTCTTTATCATTTGAGAAATTGCTTGGAATATTATCATAGAACTACTGGTGAAAAGGATGATGAGTGTTGTGGTCACACGGATGCCCAGGATGAGGGTGCAAACGTTCAGGCACTTGGCAGTGGAGGCGTAGGCCTGGGCCCCAGTCAGGTCGCCAACCATCTTCCTGTCCCTAGACTTCACGGAGTAGGTGAATGCTATGAAGCCCAGATGGCATCAATTCATGAAGAGAGTGTTGAACAGGGACCAGACGACATGGCTGGGCACAGTGGTCTCACTGTGGATGTGGATCACGGTGGATGTCGGGGGAACAGGGTTGTGGGGCACCCTCAGCACAGCCACCTCATGCTCCTCCTTGAGCATTTCATAGTTGAGGGGGTGGCTGGTGTTGGCGGGAGTGAAGACGGTTTGGACAGCGTGGTTCATCGTGTCCAGGGAAGATCAGTTGTGGTCGGGATGGTGGGATGGTTCTCCAGCTGCATTTATTTCTGTTTCCCCTTGAATTCTCACTAAAATGACAACAAAGGGTTTAAAATGCATAAACCTATGGAACAGAGAAAACGAGAGCAGTGATAGGAGAATACGAGAGATGTCAATACAATTTTGGAATCTAGAAAGTAGATGGATGAGGCCGGGCACAGTGGCTCACGCCTGTAATCACAGCACTTTGGGAGGCTGAGGCGGGTGGATCTCCTGAGGTCAGGAGTTCAAGACCAGCCTGGCCAACAAGGTGAAACCCTGTCTCTACTAAAATACAAAAAATTAGCTGGGCATGGTGGTGTGTGTGCCTGTAGTCCCAGCTACTCAGGAGGCTGAGGCAGGAGTATCCCTCGAACCCGGGAGGCAGAGGTAGCAGTGAGCCAAGACTGTGTCATTGCACCCCAGCCAGTGTGACAGAGCGAAACTCTGTTTCAAAAAAGAAAAGAAAAGAAAAGTAGATGTATGAGTTGTAAGTGACTCCGAAGCCTGAAGAAAATTGAAAGTTGAGGATCTATAGTCTAGAGGAGCAAGAATTGGTCTCATTCATACCAAAGAACCTCAGGAAGTTTCAGGAGTTGAAGGTACCAAGTACTTGGGAAGGTGAGGTTGCTAGAAGATGAAAGCAGGAATGAGTGAAAATCTTCATAGGAAGAAAAAGACTCCTAGATCTTCTCCTCACCCCCACACAGCTGGGTGACTGCCCCTCTACCACCCAAACAAAAGACTAGAACCTCAGCCAGGCCTGGTGACTCATGCCTATAATCCCAGCACTTTGGGAGGCTGAGGTAGGTGGATCATTTGAGGTCATGAGTTCAAGACCAGCCTGGCCAACATGGTGAAACCCATTTCTACTAAAATATATCTGTTAAAAATTAGCTGCACATGGGTGTGTGTGCCTGTAATCCCAGCTTACTCGGGAGGCTGAGGCAGGAGAATAGGTTGAGCCTGGGAGGCGGAGGGTGCAGTGAGCAGAGATTGCAGCACTGCATTCCAGCCTGGGCAATACAGTGAGACTCAAGAAAGGAAGGAAGGAAGGAAGGAAGGAAGGAAGGAAGGAAGGAAGGAAGGAAGGAAGGACGGACAGGAGGGAGGGAGGGAAGGAAGGAAGGACGGACAGGAGGGAGGGAGGGAAGATTGGGAAGATGATAAGAAAAAACAGGGTAAAAAGACCAGTTTCTCATTGAAAGAAAGAGGAAGAAGAAAGAACGAACGAAAGAAAGAAGGAACGAAAGAAAGAAAGAAAAGAAAGAGAAAGAAAGAAGGAAAGAAAGAAAGAAGGAAAGAAAGAAAGAAAGAAAGAAAGAAAGAAAGAAAGAAAGAAAAAGAAAGAAGAGAAAAGAGAAAAGAAAAGAAAAGAAGAGAGAAATATTGGGAGGATGGTAAGAAGAAACAGAGGGTAAAAAGACCAATTCCTTATGCCCCACAACAGGAAGTCAATATATAATACACAAAACCAAAAAATCAAGAAGTAGCAGTACATATGTTATTTGGGGAAAAAAAATAGAGTTAAAGAAAACCTGAAGAAACAGTTTAAAAATGGAAAGAAGTTGCTTTTGGGGGGAAGAAATTGGATACTCCTTTTTATTCTAAGCCTTGTAAAACTGTTCGATTTTAATTTTTTTACATATTTATAACTAGTTACATGACGTTTTAAAACAATACATGTACAGCTTTGATAAAATAAATTTTAATGTTTAAAAAATAAAGAGAAAGTAAGAGATGAGAGAGAGAAGACAAGTAAAGATGCAACAGGTCTATTGAAAAGTCTGGACTTGGTATAGACAGCAAACAGCTTTAATTTTCTTCCATTGTTGCTTTCAATCACTTTCCAATTGAATTTCATTTTCCTGTTACTTAATGAAATATTGAGCTGATTTCCTAACTTTCTGGTGACTTTCGACTACTAACTCTATCCCATTTTAAGTGCTAATCTCAATAATTTTAATCTCGCTCCCACCCACTCCCACAAGGCAACTGGCTTTTGGAGTTGGAGTGTAGACCCGGAGGAGTCTGTTCTTTTCAACTCCTGCTGCCAGTTTCCTGAGGTGGGATACCTGACCTTGGCTCAGACCTCTTCCAACCCCTCAGCTTCCCCTCCCGCTTCTTCCCTGACAGTCCTGGTCAGTGAGCTCAAAACCTTTCCCTGGGTTTCCTTGAATCACAAAAACGTAACACTCCCAACAGGGAGGACAAGCTGCCTGCTGCAGCCTCCGCTCTGCCTGACCGCCCCCCAGCTCCCCTGTCCCCCTCTCAGATGGGCAGAGGGAGACAGATGCCCAGCTGGAGAAAGGACATCATCTCCTCCACTCGCAGTCACAGGTGGATCTCTGGGACCCCCCACTTGCTTTACAGGAGGAGAACGAAGGGCACAGCTCTCCCCACTAGGCTGACAGCCAGTGTGATCCCTCTATTTTTTTCTTTTTAATATAAACTAAGGAGTGATAGGAAAAGTGAAGTGACAGCTGGGGGAAACAGAGACAGTTAAACCATCTTTTTTTTTTTTTTTTTTTTTTTTTGAGACAGAGTCTCGCTCTGTCGCCCAGGTCGGAGTGCAGTGGCGCGATCTCTGCTCACTGCAAGCTCCGCTTCCCGGTTTCACGCCATTCTCCTGCCTCAGCCTCCCGAGTAGCTGGAACTACAGGTGCCCACCACCACGCCCGGCTAATTCTTTTGTATTTTTAGGAGAGACGAGGTTTCACTGTGTTAGCCAGGATGGTCTCGATCTCCTGACCTCGTGATCCGCCCGTCTCTGCCTCCCAAAGTGCTGGGATTACAGGCGAGAGCCACCGCGCCCGGCCTAAACCATCTCTTAATACACTTCTTTGTCTCCAACTTTGGCCCTCATCATCAGTTCCAGGACCACAGAGAAAGTCCCACCCAATATGTCATTTCAGAATTTTTTGGAGTGTTGCTGTTGAGAGAAGCAGAGACATGGTTGCTGGAGAAGGATATGGGATCAGAGAGGCATTTCCTTAGTTTATTCCTTTCTCTTTCTTTCTTTTTACTTCTTCCTTCTTTTTTTCCTTCCTTTCTTTTTTTTAGGCTGCAATGTAGTGGCACAATCATACCTCATTGCAGCTTCGGGTGAGCACCAGCACACCTAGCTTTTTTTTTTTTTTTTTTTTTTTCATTACTTTTGTAGAGACCTAGTCTGACTATGTTGCCCAAGCTGGTCTCAAACTCCTGGCCTCAAGTGATTTTCCCATCTTGGCCTCCCAAAGGGCTGGGATTACAGGCATGAGCCACCATGCTGGGCCCAGGGAGGTATTTTCTTAACTGGGAAGTATTGCCACATATTTGTACACTGATGGGAATAACCCAGTAGCGGGGGGCAGACAATGACACAGAGCAAGGGGATGATTGCAGGAGCAAGTCCTTAAGCAGGCAAGAAGGGGTGGACCAGGGAATACACAGTGCCAGTGATAGGAGCAAGGATGGGACATTCATCGCAACTCTCCAGGAGGCAGAGCATAGGCGGCTACAAATGAAGGTACATTTGAAGATTCTGAATCATTCTCTGCTGATTGTTTTTATTTCTTCCGTGAAAAAAGGAGCCACAAGCCAAGTGTAGTGGCACACACCTGTAGTCCCAGCTATTTGGGAAGCTGAGGCAGGAGGGTGTCTCGAACCCAGGAGTTCCAGGTTACAGTGAGCTATGATTGCACCACCGCACTCCAGCCTGGGCAACAGAGTGAGACTCCATCTCAAAAAATAAAAATAAAAAATCATGCCCGTAATCCCAGCAGTTTGGGAGGCAGAGGCGGGTGGATCACTTGAGGTCAGGAGTTCAAGACCAGCCTGGCCAACATGGCAAAACCACATCTCTACTAAAAATACAAAAATCAACTGGGTGTGGTGGCACACGTCTATAACCCCAGCTACTCAGGAGGCTGAAGCAGAGAATTGCTTGACTTGGGAAGGCAGAGTTTGCAGTGAGCTGAGATGGTGCCATTGCACTCCAGCCTGGGCAACACAGCAAGACTCCATTTTGAACTCCTCACCTCGGCTTCCCAAAGTGCTGGGATTACAGGTGTGAGACAACACACCCTGCCGAGACTCTGTCTCAAAAAAATAAAATCATAAAAGACAAAAATTTTTAAAAAAACTTTAAAAATAAAATAAAATAAAAATAAAAAGAGACAACAGGAGCCAGGCCAACAGCTAAGAGTGAGAAGGAGAGAGGTGATATTGAAAGGTTGATGACAGAGGAAAAAGCTATAAGGTAGTCATTTCAAAGGGGGAGAGCAACTTGACCATGGCAATAAGCTGGACAACTGGACGAGGCTGTGGGCTCCTGACATTCACCATCCTATGTGGGCTTTTTTCCGCCACAGCTAGCTGCTCAGGTGCAGGCAGGGAATGGAGGGTGAGGGGTGCTAAGTTCATCAGAGTTGGGGTTTTGCCAGGGAAGTGTGGATGGAAAGAGAGGCAGGTGAATTGAATGTCATATCAAGGTGTGATGTCAGGGATGAACCACGGAATCCAAACTGATCAAGGTGGGAAGAAGGGAGACAAGGAGGTCATAGAAAAGCGAGTAATTGAGGGGAGGTCGGTGGACTGGGGTCCCAGTGGGAAGAATGCTGGAGCATGTCAAGAGACTGAACATTTGGGAGTTTTCCTGGGATTTCCTCCATATCATGAAACACTTGTTCCCACTGTTCTTGCTGTAATTCCCTAGCATTGCCTCACTTACCATCTTTCTGTGGGTCCTCTTTATGTTAGGTTAGTAGCCTCTGCCACCTCAGATGTATGCCTGCCTCAACCTCTCTGATACATGAGATTCACAGCTTCCCCAGACCTACCTCACTTTCATTAGGGAGGAAACCTATTTTCTTTCCTCATTATCCATTTTATTTTTATTTTTCTTTAAGATGGAGTCTTGCTCTGTCTCCCAGGCTGGAGTGCAGTGGGGCAATCTCGGCTCACTGCAAACTCCGCCTCCCGGGTTCAAGCCATTCTCCTGTTTTGGCCTCCCAAGTAGCTGGGACTACAGGCGTGCACCATCGCGCCTGGCTAATTTTTGTATTTTTAGTAGAAACGGGGTTTCACCATGTTGGCCAGGCTGGTTTGAACTCCTGACCTCAGGTGATCCACCCGCCTCAGCCTCCCAAAGTGCTGGGATTACAGGCATCAGCCACCACACCTGGCCTCATTATCCATTTTCTTCCCCTCTCTTGGTTCTCTTTCTCCCTAACATCCACCTCTCTCTCCGTGGGCCACCCAGAGGCCTCATAGAAGCTTTCTTTCTCCAACCAACCCATTGACTCCTCTTCCTGTGGTGCCTCCCACACCACCATGGTTGTGTCCTAGTTTTTCTATTGACTTCTTTTCAAATTTTTGTTCATCAGATCAGAACGAGAAGTGGTTGCAGATAAAGTTTACAGGAGAAGGGTGTGACCACCATCCTCTTTACAGGAAATAACTGGCAGTCGTAGAGAATTAATCCAGTCTGCAGCTGGGCGCGGTGGCTCATGCCTGTAATCCCAGCACTTTGGGAGGCCAAGGCGGGCAGATCACGAGGTCAGGAGATCAAAACCATCCTGGCTAACATGGTGAAACCCTGTCTCTACTAAAAAAATACAAATATTACCTGGGTGTGGTGGTGAGCGCCTGTAGTCCCAGCTACTCGGGAGGCTGAGGCAGGAGAATGGCGTGAACCTAGGAGGCAGAGCTTGCAGTGAGCTGAGATCATGCCATTGCACTCCAGCCTGGGCGACAGAGCCAGACTCCATCTCAAAAAAAAAAAAAAAAAAAGAGAGAGAGAGAATTAATACACTCTGCAATACCTCATGTAGTCGGAGAGAGAGAGCATTGTCTGCGTGTATCTCCCATGGTAGTAGAATTCCCCAGGGCCTGGCTTGCTTGGCAAGGGGCTAATGCAGGGCAGTAGCCGACAATAGCTGGCTCTGGGTGTCCACTTAAAAGCCCCAAAACTCATAAGGAATCATGGGTTATTAATATGGCAAGAGGACGAGAGAGATTTGTTTCTGCACACACCTGAGAGCCCCCTGGCTTCAAGTTTTCCAAATTTGCTTTAAAATAATTGTTCTGTTTCCTATAGTAGCAACAGTTTTATGGTAGCAAAGATGGTTCACTGGATCTGCTATGGTTAGACTGTGTCCCCTCCAAAATGCAGCTGTTGAAACTTAATGGTGGATATGGTTTGGCTCTGTGTCCCCATCCAAATCTCATGTCAAATTGTAATTCCCCATGTTGGGGAGGGACCTGGTGGAAGGTGATTGAATCATGGGGGAGGATTTTCCCCTTGCTTTTCTTATGATAGTAAGTGAGTTCTCATGAGCTCTGGTTGTTTAAAAGTGTGTTGCACATCCCCCCCTTACTCTCTCTCTCCTGTTGCCATCTAAAGACATGCTTGCTTCCCCTTTTCCCTTCCACCATGATTGTAAGTTCCCTGAAGCCTCCCCAGCCATGCTGCCTATACAGCCTGTGAAACTGTGAGCCAATTAAACCTCTTTTCTTTATAAATTACCCAGGCTCAGGTAGTTCTTTATGGCAGTGTGAGAATGGACTAATACAATGGCCAATTGATAGTATTAAGAGGTGGGGCCTTTAAGAGGTGAGTAGGCCATGGGGGCTTCTTCCTCATGAATAGGATTAAGGCCTTTGTAAAGGAAGCCTCACACAGCATTCCTCCCCTCCATAGCATACAGCAACAAGGTGCCATCTTGGAATCAAAAAGCAGCCTTCACCAACCAAACCTGCTGGTACCTTGATCTTCGACTTCCCAGCTGTGAAAACTGTGAGAAATAAGTTTGTGTTCTTTATAAATTACCCAGTCTCAGGTATTGTGTTATAGCAACACAAACAGCTAAGACAACATCTCAAAATTTATTCTCTTCTTTTTAAATAATAGCACCCCTAATTTTTAACTCGACACATGGGTATCCAAAATAAAAACCAGACTCATTTGTAGCTAGGTGTGGCCATAAATCTAAATCCTGAGCACAATGGGTTGTGATTTCTGGTCATACCCTTAAAAGTATCTGGTCATACCTTAAAAGTCATCCCTTCACCCTTTTTCTTGCCTCTACCCCTCTGCTTGGAATGGCAAAGAAACAGGGCAGAAGGAGCCAAGGTCTCTGCATGATCTTGTGGATCAGAGCCACTATACCTGCCCTGGGCCATCTTCACAAGACAGAAATAAGCTTCCATCTGGTTCAGCACACTGTTACTTTGGGGCTCTGTTACCTTCACCTGAGATTGTATCCTAACTAATACCTTCATCCCTCTCTTTCTTTAGCTATGTAGGTGACAGACGTACAAAATGCCTAATGCATGCTTTGCTCTTTCCATCCTTCATTCCATTCTTGAATCCATCATTGATAAGATTGTTACTTTGGTGATTTTCTTCTTAATAATAGAGCATTTAAAATTTATATCAGGCTGAGCACGGTGGCTCACACCTGTAATCCCAACACTTTGGGTGGCCAAGGCAGGCAGATCACCTGAGGTCAGGAGTTTGAGACCAGCCTGGGCAACGTGGTGAAACCCCGTCTGTACTAAAAATACAAAAATTAGCCGGGCATAATGGCGGGCGCCTGTAATCCCAGCTACTCGGGAGGTTGAGGCAGGAGACTCACTTGAAACTGGGAGGTGGAGGTGCAGTAAGCCAAGATCTCACCATTGCACTCCAGCCTGGGCGACAGAACAAGACTCTGTCTCTTAAAAAAAAAAAAAAACATTATAACAAAGGTAAGTCTGAATCTTCTTTCTGAATTTCTGGAGTCTATAGTTGCAATGGCTAGATCCTATTCCCAAGCTTATGGTGATAAATGAATGTCTTTGGGTAAGTTAGATAGCAAATACTGGAGTAATTGAACAATAATTTTTGAATAGCAGTCTTTAAACAGAACTAGTAGTATTTAATTCTGAGTATTCCAATAGAAATGGTTTCCTTTACAGTATGCCATCTTGCCCTTTCCCCATTTGTATTGTTATTGCTAAACCACCCCCATTTTAATTATCATTTAATTATCTTCATCTACAGTTGAGTGCCCCCCTTCTGTTGGAAAGTTTATTTTATACAAACCAAACCTTGGGTAATTACCTATCAAAAGCAGATTTATCTAAATTCCCACTGAAACTAGATGAAGCAGTTCCCTTAAGTCATAAAATCATTCAAAATTAGATCCAGGAAAAAGGACGGCATTGAATTTGAATTTATAGAATACCAACAACATTATAAGTACCATCGGGAATCAATGCCTATTCATATTTCCTGCTAGGGGAGTATAGAGTCTTAGTTCTAAATTCATCCTCCAGAATGTAAATTGTGGCAGGTACTGTAGGTGGAATCATTCACCATCTTTTCCGAGCCCACATTATCTTGCCTTTATCTACTATACAGACTGGGGAGGCCAGGCACGATGGCTCACGCCTGTAATCCCAACAGTTTGGGAGGCTGAGGTGGATGCATCATGAGGTCAGGGGTTCACGACCAGCCTGCCCAACATAGTGAAACTCCGTCTCTACTAAAAATACAATAATTAGCCGGGTGTGGTGGCACACACCTGTAGTCCCAGCTACTTGGGAGGCTGAGGCAAGAGAATTGCTTGAACCCAGGAGGCAGAGGTTGCAGTGAGCAGAGACCACACCATTGCACTCCAGCATGGGCAACAGAGCAAGACTCCATCTCAAAGAAAAAAAAAAAAAGACTGGGGAAAAAATTAAAACCTCATTTTTCTCAGCCCCACCCCATTCCCTTGCAGTAAGGATACACCATGTGACACAGTTCCTGTCAGTGAGACACATGTACAAATCCCCTATTTAAAAACACAAACTAGCCGGCTGTGGTGGCTCACCTCTGTACTCCCAGCACTTTGGGAGGCCAACGTGCGTAGATCACTTGAGGACAGGAGTTCAAGACCAGCCTGGCCAATATGGTGAAACCTTGTCTCTACTAAAAATACAAAAATTAGCTGGGTGTAGTGGCATGCACTTGTAATCCCAGCTACTCAAAAGGCTGAGGCAAGAGAATCGCCTGAACCTGGGAGATGGAGGTTGCAGTGAGCCGAGAATGCACCACTGCACTTCAGCCTGTGCCGCAGAGTCAGGCTCCATCTCAAAAACATAAAAACACGAATTATCAACATTTCCACTTCTAGGTATATTCCCAAAAAAATTGAAAGCAGGGACTCAAACAAATACTTGTTCACCAATATTCATTGCAGCATTACTCACAATAGCCAAAAGGTGGAAACACCCCGTGTAGATGAATGGATAAACAAAATGTGGTATATATACACCTATGATGGAATATTATTTAACCATAAACAGGAAAGAAATTCTGCTACATGCTACAATAGGGATAAACTTTAGAAACAATTATGCTAAGTGAAATAAGCCCGACACAGAAGGACAAATACTGCATTATTCCAATTACACGAGGCACCAAGAATAAGCAAATACATAGAGACAGAAAGTAGAAGAGCGGTTACCAGGGGCTGGGAGGAAGGAGGAATGGGAAGTTGTTGAATGTGTATGGAGTTTCTGTTTGCAATGATGAACCAGTTCTGGAATAGACAGTGCTGGTGGCTGCACAACATTGTGAATGTGTATAACGCCACTCAATCATACACTCAAAATGGTTACAGTAGTAAACATTTTGTTATGTAAGTTTTACTACAAAAAAATACAAATTTTTAAATCCTTATGCCTATTTTCTACCTAACAAATTGTTAGTCTGGGTCTCTCAATCCTGTATTTTGTATAAAGATTCCATATGTTACTGACTTTAAATAGGATTCTAGCTTACTACTGAAGGTGTTTTGAAGGCAGTTCATTTTACCTGAGGCTAACTAGAAGTAAAACCAATAATAAATAACAACTGACCAGGCGTGGTGGCTCACGCCTATAATCCCAGCACTTTGGGAGGCCAAGGCGGATGGATCATTTGAGGTCAGGAGTTCAAGACCAGCCTGACCAACATGGTGAAACCCCGTCTCTACTAAACATACCAAAAAAAATTAGCCGGGCGTGGTGGCAGGTGCCTGTAATCCCAGCTACTCATCAGGCTGAGGCAGGAGAATCGCTTGAACCCAGGAGGCAGACGTTGCAGTGAGCCAAGATCACGCCATGGCACTCCAGCCTGGGCAACAAGAGTGAAACGCCATCTCAAATAAATAAATACAGAGGTCTGTGGCTCCCTAAATATCTGCTTTGCTTCTCCATCTTGAAGACATGGAGAACATAAGGGATTGGAGAGAAAGAGGAGGAAATATGTGCAACCTTCCATTTTGTGCTGACCAAGGCAGGAGCACCCACAGGAGGCAGGAGATGCCTGTGGCAGATGATCAGGAAGGAGAGATATTCTTTCCAGAAGCTTAAGGTGTTCCTCCATTGGGAGGCTTCTTACCACAAGATTTAACCTGCCTAGTTGGGAATCACGTTGATGACACGCGGTGCTAACCAGGAGTAGAAGCAGCTTCTCCTCCCCACCCCACCCTACCCCCAACTCCTCTGGACTCTGGGCCCCTGCTTGACACAAGGTTTTTACTTGGTAATAATAATTAACTAACATTTATGGAGTGCTTCCTTTGCCAGGCACTGCTATAAGCATTCAATACATATTACCTTATTTGAATCTTACAAGATTCTTATAAGGTAGATATTATTATTATTATTTCCATTTTATAAATGAGGAAATGGGAGCAAAAAAGTTCATCTGTCCAAGGTTGCAGATTACAAGTGGCAGAGCCAGGATTCAAACCCAGACAGTCTGACCCCAGTTCCCTCTTACTTAAGCATTACTTTGTGCTGCTTCTTATTATCTTACAGATAATTTTCTTCTCTGAGTAGTATCTCAGTTCCCAGCTGTGTTTTAACTTCAAAATATTTTTAGCTAGTATCCTCTCTGCCATCGTCATAGGTTTACAGAGAAACAAAAATAATGTCTGTGTGTGTGTGATTATACAAATCAAATAACTTCTATTTCATAATTATATTAATTAGGGTAACATTAGCAGCTGTTATGGATACAACCCCAAAGTTTCATTTGCCTAACACAATGAAAGACTAGTTCTTGCTAAAGTGCAAAATAGGTGTTCCTAATCAGAGGATGACTCTCTCCTGACAGGCTTCCATCTTATGGCTTCCCCTTCTAGGAAAATCAGAGATTCTAAGGACGCCATGCTCTTCCGCATCAAGCAGGAAAGAGAAAGAACTGGAGGCTCATCTGTAAAAGATTATTACGGTCCAGGCCTGGAAGAGGCACACATCACGAGTTCACATCCCACTGGCCAGAACTCAGCTGCTTGGGAAGCTGAGGTGGGAGGATCACATGGCCACACCTAGCTGCAAAGAAAGCTGGCAAATCTCAGCCGGGCACGGTGGCTCACGCCTGTAATTCCAGCACTTTGAAATGCTAGATAACTAATCAGAGGTTAGGTAAAATGGACCACCAACAAGTGAAGACTTTCCCTAAAACGCCTCTCAAATTCATCTATCATTACGTACCCTTGTGCCTATTTTATTTTATTTTGTTTTGTGTTACGGTCTCATTCTGTTGCCCAAGCTGGAGTGCAGTGGCATGATCTCGGCTCACTGCAACCTCTGCCTCACGGGTTCAAGTGATTCTCCTGCCTCAGCCTCCCTAGTAGCTGGGATTACTGGTGTGCACCACCACACCCAGCTAATTTTGGTATTTTTGGTACAGATGGGGTTTCACCATGTAGAGCAGGCTGGTCTGGAACTCCTGACCTCAAGTGATCTGCCTGCCTCGGCCTCCCAAAGTGCTGGGATTACAGGCATGAGCCATGGTGCCTGGCCCTTTATGCCTTTTTTAACTTTACAGATTAAAAAACCACAAGTATGGCTGGGCTTGGTGGCTCACTTCTATAATCCCAGCACTTTGCAAGGGCGGCAGATTGCCTGAGTCCAGGAGTTCGAGACCAGCCTGGGCAACATGGTGAAACCCCGTCTCTGCAAAAAATACAAAAATTACCCGCCTGTAGTACCAGCTGCTCGGGAGGCTGAGGTGGGAGGATCACTTGAGCCTGGGAAGTCAAGGCTGCAGTGAGCCGTGATCATGCCACTGTACTCCAACATGGCTGACAGAACGAGGCCCTGTCTCAAAATAAATAAATTAATAAATAAATAAATGGAAAATGCAAAGCCACAAGTAATATGACACTTTGAAGCTTTCACTGATTACTCCCATAGAGAGGTATCAGCTAAGGTCCGGAAGATTTAACCAAGCACAGCCTCCCCAGCTATCAACACTTTTGAGAAGTGTTTTGATACTTTTTGATAACGTTTGTGGGCAAACATTATCTTATGATAGATAACATCACAATCTCAAGGAGCAAGAAATGGGGCTATTATTTTAGCCCCTTTTCTGTTTAACCTGTACTTTAATAGACAGATACGACTTTTAGGTCACCTGAATGCATGTCTATATGTCACACTAGATAAAGAGGGGATGATAATGGGGCTTCTGTATCAAAACTAGGAATAACCCCAAAAAGCAATTGGTCTAAACGTCTATGACCAGAAGAAAACGCATTTCCCGTAATGAAGTAAGATGATAGTTAAGATATGTTAAGGCATGGCTTTTAAAACATATTAGCAGCATATGATGACTTTTAAAAAGAAAAAACCCATTCCTTAAAGACCTAGCACGAAATATACATAAAGTGACTTAATACTTGCCAAAAACATCTCTTGCAACTATGCCCAAAATATGTACATATTTAAGTAAAGGCCAACAGGCAACATTCAAAAACAAAAAGAGTAACTGCTATGCTCAGGCAACATAATTATGAGTGGCTTATTTTCTCCTTTCAACATTTTCTCTAATATTTTTACATCTTATTGTTAACCATTTGTTTCTAATTTATTGCAAAAGAACAAAGAAAAAGAAGAATCCTTTCTTGTTCTTAACACAGCTATAAGAAGCCTTCCACTCTTCAGTAGGAGACAGTCACTATTTTCATCAAGATTGGCAGAATAAGTAGTTCTAAAGTGAAATGTAGAATTTTTCAAAATTATAGTCCCCTGATCAAGACTGGGGGAAATTAATTTTTTAAAGCATGAGAAAAGAACACTTTCCTAGAGGATACACAAGCACTGGTCAGTCTTTTCCTAACACTGAGGATGCCCAAAGGCTGTTACTCTGACCAGCACTTTCATTATTAAGAAGCTGAGAGGTGAGGCTACTCTTTGACTTAGAGAATATTTTATTGGCAGAAGCTCCAAAGAGATCCTTTCTTTAAATATTCACTGTGTTCAGCGTACCCTATTACCTCAGGGATTTACTGAGAAATCCAAGAAAGTCTGTTTTGCATCCTTAGGCAAAGGTTAGCTATTTCAGGGGGTTGGTGTATGTGATGTGTTTTCTTATGGACACCATAATTCTGTCCCTGAAAACCCCTTTTTTCTACAAGGCCTTTTAAACTTCCTGAATATCTTTGAGATTCTTAAGCTCATCAATGAGTATCAAAAAGTGCTACCTGTGTCCAAACCCACAATTTCTCACCTTCATTAAAATATCTGCCTTCATTGCCCTATTAGATCCCAGAGAATCTTTGTCTCACTTACTTGGATATCACTTAAAAATCCAAGAAGATATAGGGACATTTGAAGCTTCCCTGAGAAGTTGAGTTAGAAATTCAGGGCTCTCTCCTTTTTTTTTTTTTTGAGACTGAGTCTCACTCTGTCACCCAGGCTGGAGTGCAGTGGCGTGATCTCAGCTCACTGCAGGCGCCCACCACCTCGCCCGGCTAATTTTTTGTATTTTTAGTAGAAATGGGGTTTCATCGCGTTAGCCAGGATGGTCTCAATCTCCTGACCTCGTGATCCACCCGCCTCGGCCTCCCAAAGTGCTGGGATTACAGGCGTGAGCCACCACGCCCGGCCTGCTCTCTCCTTTATTCTTTTTTTTTTTTTAAGACAGAGTCTTGCTCTGTTGCCCAGTCTGGAGTGCAGTGGCATGATCTCTGCTCAGTGCAACCTCCGCCTCCCAGATTCAAGCGACTCTCCTGCCTCAGCCTCCTGAGTAGCTGGGATTACAGGCGTGCACCACTACACCCGGGTAATTTTTGTATTTTTGATAGAGTTAGGGTTTTACCATGTTGGCCAGGCTGGTGAAATCTGCCTGCCCCAGCCTCCCAAAGTGCTAGGATTACAGGCATGAGCAACTGCGCCCGGCCTGAATGTCTTTAATAAATGTAACGCCACTATAAACACCAACTATGTGGCCAGGCTATGTATGCACTTACTTTTGAAAAGAGCTTTCCCAGGAGGGAGCTGTTTTGTTCTCATTGAGTAGAACAGAGTTCTTCCAGGAAGAAGACAGAGTTTAGAGAATGAAAGCTGAAATGTTAAAAAATTTCTACTAAATCGGATAATCTTCAACTAGGAAACAATAAAATATACAAAAGTCATATGCAGATACTTAAGTTATAAAGTGAACCATTAATATTTTGCCAGCTATACCTAATGACATATTTGGATTATCAATTACTTTCCATTCAAATTGTAAATCTTTTTCTAAGAATGAAAGAACTAAAAACATGAGAGAATCTGGCCATCTCTAACAGGAACAGATTATGATACTTAACTCCAAACTTGTGTTAGATAACTTTGATCTACACGGGACACCTGGGATGTAGAATATATTTCATATTTTGTTATTAATGATCATCCAGAGATGTCCTAGAAATTTTTTTCTAGTATCTATGCCTTGTTATTCAGACTAATACAATCCAAGATTGTTCTAAAGATGTTTAATTTCAGTAAACCAGGTATTTATACAAGATTTTCCTCATTCAATCCAAATATGTACATATTTTTACTGTAAACTGGGATAAAAGCAGGTTTAGCCACTTTAGTTTGAACTTTACTCTGCTTTTCACTAAAATAATGGAGCTGTATAGTAAAATTGTACTATTTCTCATCAGTATTATCATTTGTTACTAACGAGAAGTTCTTTAATATCAAATGTGTTTTGGAAGAAGAGGGGCCAGTTTTTTTGTTGTTGTTTTTGTTTTTTGTTTTTTGTTTTTTTTTTATTTTGAGACGGAGTCTCGCCCTGTCTCCCAGGCCCAGGCCGGAGTGCAGTGGCGCTATCTCAGCTCACTGCAAGCTCCCCCTCCCAGGTTCACGCCATTCTCCTGCCTCAGCCTCCCGAGTAGCTGGGACTACAGGCGCCCACCACCGCGCCTGGCTAATTTTTTGTGTTTTTAGTAGAGACGGGGTTTCACCGCGTTAGCCAGGATGGTCTCGATCTCCTGACCTCATGATCTGCCTGCCTTGGCCTCCCAAAGTGCTGGGATTACAGGCGTGAGCCACCGCGCCCGGCCTAAGGGGCCAGTATTTTAAAGATAACTTTTTAAAGGGACATTGAATCTAACTCAAATTGAAATTTCTAAACTTATTCTTTCCTTTCCCTACCCAGAAATATCCCCTAGAGATCAAACCCATTCATAATAAGAAAAATGCAAATTACAATCACACTGCTATGCTGAAATATAAATTTTTACCTATAAAATGTACAAAGATAAACAGCTTTGGTCATATACTGTGTTACAAGTATGGGAAACCAGGCACTGTTATATTTTACTTAACAGGAGAGGAAATTGATATAACCTCTATAAAGAACAATTAGACAATAGATAAGTATTCTTTTTCCTCTGCAAATCTTTTATTTTTTTTGTTTTATTATTATTATTATTATACTTTAAGTTTTAGGGTACATATGTGCACAATGTGCAGGTTTGTTACATATGTATACATGTGCCATGTTGGTGTGCTGCACCCATTAACTCGTCATTTAGCATTAGGTATATCTCCTAATTAAATGCAGAAACCATTTGGCTGAGAAATTGAACTTCCAGGGACTTATCATACAGATATGCTTGCACACATGCAAAATGACATATGCACAAGGCAATTCATTGAAGCACTGTTTGAAATAGCAAAGGATTGGAACAACCCAAACACAATGGAATACTGTACCACCACTGAAAAAAAAAAAAAAAAAAAAAAAAAAAGCCATAAATCTGTATATAAAAATTTGGGCCAGGCGTGGTGGCTCATGTCTGTAATCCCAACACTTTGGGAGGCCGAGGCAGGTGGATCACCTGAGGTCAGGAGTTCAAGACCAGCCTGACCGACATGGCAAAACCCTGTCTCTACTAAAAATACAAAATTAGCCAGGCGTGGTGGCGCACGCCTGTAATCCCAGCCACTCGGGAGGCTGAAGCAGGAAAATTGCTTGAACCCAGGAGGTGGAGGTTGCAGTGAGCTGAGATTGCGCCACTGCACTCCAGCCTGGGCAACAAGAGGGAAACTCGGTCTCAAAAAAGAAAAGAAAAAGAAAAAAAAGAATTTGGTAGGACCTCTAAGCAAGGTGCAAAAGAATGTATACAGCATGGTAGCATTTGTGTAAGAGACAAAAATGGTATGTATGTCGTGCCTCTGTAATGCGTCAACTTGACTAGCCTGAACTACATTTCCCAGAATTCCTTTCCCAATTTGTTTCCAGTTAAGGTGGGCCTCAAGAGACACTTCTGCATGAGGTTTCAGAGGCAGAAGTGAAACAAAGCCATTTTAATTTTTATGCGGAAAAGGTGGAAGCAGGCACTTTTGTAGTTCACACACAATGTTGTGTATCTGTTGGCTCATCTCTTTGGCATGGAGAGCATCAGCTGACCTGCAACTACTTCACCTTCCCCTGGATTCTTCTTCAGCAAGCGTCTCCAACTCTGGGCTCAGATGTGTGCTTTGTGTTTTGTTTTGTTTTGTTTTTTGTTTTTGAGACAGAGTCTTGCTCTGTCACCCAGGCTGGAGTGCAGTGGCACAATCTCGGCTCACTACAACCTCCACCTCCCAGATTCAAGCGATTCTCCTGCCTCAGCCTCCTGAGTAGCTGGGATTACAGGTGCCCACCACCACGCCCGGCTAATTTTTGTATTTTTAGTAGAGACAGGGTTTCACCATGTTGGCCAGGCTGGTCTTGAACTCCTGACCTCATGTGATCTGTCTGCCTCAGCCTCCCAAAGTGATGGGATTACAGGAGTGAGCCACCGCACCCAGCCAGATAGAGGTTTTGTATGAGGGATTGGCTCACTTGAGTATGGAGCAGTCCCATGATCCACAGTCTGCAAGCTGGAGGCCCAGGAAAGTTGGTGGTGTAGTTTCAGTCCAAGCTCCAAAGCCTGAGAACCAGGGGCCAATGGTGTAAGCCCCAGTCTGAGTTTGAAGACCTGAGAACCAAGATATAGATATATAGAGAGAGATAGATAGATGATAGATAGATAGATCCTATTGGTTCTGTTTTTCTGAAGAACCCTAACTAATACTTAGGATTTCTCTGTCTAGAATCAGCCTAGGCAAACATAAAAGAGAACAAAGCTGATAACGTTGGTTCTCATGTGTCCTTTGTCCTTTGCTCTTTCTACCACTCTCTGTCAAAGGACCTCATTTGTTGGGACACTTAAGATGTATAGTACTAAAAGGCACTGGGATGCCCTAAGAGAACTAGTCCCTCTTAAGGCCTTTATGTAATCAGCCTATATAATCAGCTGTGTAATCCGCATCAAGTAGACTCTATCAAAGGTAGCTCATCTCTCAATGGTTTGTTCAGTCCAGCTGAGATCAACCAACCTGCATATAATCAGAGTTCCTTGAGGGTTCAGGACTTTGGAAATAATACAGTTTCAAGAACCAAAATAAGACTTGTGGTAAAGATGATTATCGTTAATAACTGTATAACTCTTAACAATTTTCAAACTACTTCTATATGCATTGGCTCATTTATGATTTATATATTAATAGCAAATATTAATTACTGTATATCCACATTGTACAAAAATTTCAGCATACTCTAGTCACTCCTGAAGGACCATCATTAATTCCACTTTACAAATGAAGAAATTGAGGTTTAAAGACATTGAGACTCACCCAATATATTCGAGTAAGTATCACAATTAAGACTTGAGCCCAGCTGGGGATGGTGGCTCACACCTGTAATCCCAGCACTTTGGGAGGTCGAGGCAGGTGGATCACCTGATATCGGGAGTTCGAGACCAGTCTGACCAATGTGGAGAAACCCTGTCTCTACTAAGAATACAAAAAGTAGCCAGGTGTGGTGGCGCATACCTGTAATCCCAGCTACTTAGGAGGCTGAGGCAGAAGAATGGCTTGAACCCAGGAGGCAAAGTTTGTGGCGAGCCGAGGTCCTGCAACTGCACTCCAGCCTGGACAACAAGAGCAAAACAAGAAAAAAAAAAAGAAATATATATATATATATATATAAACATGAGTAAATCTATCTATGTACTGTTTCTCCTTGTGCAATTTATAATAATGCAGTATAACATGTAGCTAACATAATGGGGCTTTTTTTTTTTTTTTTGAGACAGACTCTTGCTCTGTCATCCAGGCTGGAGTGCAGTGGCCCCATCTCGGCTCTCTGCAACCTCCGCCTCCCAGGTTCAAGCAATTCTCCTGCCTCAGCCTCCTGAGTAGCTGGGATTACAGGCGCGCACAACCACGCCCGGCTAATTTTTGTATTTTTAGTAGAGATGGGGTTTCATCATGTTGTCCAGGCTGGTCTTGAACTCCTGAACTCAAGTGATCCGCCTGCCTCAGCCTCCCAAAGTGCTGGAATCACAGGCATGAGCCACCGTGCCCAGCCTTAATATATATTTTTAAGCAGTTTTTGGTTCACAGCAAAATTAAGAGAAAGGTCCAGATTACAAGCGTGAGTCACCACACCTGGCCCAGGTTATGTTTTTCTTGAGTATTATTACCTTCCTTTAGTTTAAACCTTCCTATGTCATTCTGTTATAGATGTACCTATTGTAAGAAGCATAATCAAATCTGGTAGCTACTTGTCTTTCGATGTATGAATTTAATTTACTTATATTTGTTGTTTCAGTAATCTATATAGACTTATTTCTACCATCATTTTTTTTCTTTACTATTTGCAATTCTTTTTGTCAGTTTTTTCTCTTTTCTTCCCTGTCTTCTGTTGCACTGATAAATTTTTACAACTTTACTTCACTTTCAAAATCTGTATTTTGTTTTTGTTTTTGTTTTTGTTTTTGAAACAGAGTCTCACTCTGTTGCCTAGGATGGAGTGCAGTGCAATCTCCACCTCCAGGGGCTCAAGCAATCCGCCTACCTCAGCCTCCCAAGTACGAGTGACCACAGGCACTCACCACCACGCCTGGCTGATTTTTGTATCTTTTTATAGAGATGGAATTCTGCCATTTTGCCCACGCTGGTCTTGAACTCCTGGGCTCAAGTGATCCTCCTGCCTTGGCCTCCCACAGTGCTGGGATTACAGGTGTGAGCCACATTGCCTGGTCAAATATTTAGCCTATATTCTTCACCATAAGTTTTCAATAACATCTAAAATTACTTCCTATTTGTATCCTCTTACTGATTATAAAAAGCACATAAAGGCTGGGCACAGTGCTTCACACTTGTAATTCCAGCACTTTAGGAGGCTGAGGCAGGTGAATCACCTGAGGTCAGGAGTTCAAGACCAGCCTGGCCAACATGATGAAACCCCACCTCTACTAAAAATACAAAATTTGCAGAGCATGCTGGCAGGTGCCTGTAGTCTCAGCTAGTTGGGAGGCTGAGGCAGGAGAATCGCTTGAACCCAGGAAGCAGAGGTTACAGTGAACCGAAATGACGCCACTGCACTCCAGCGTGGGTGACAAGAGCGAAACTCTGTCTCAAAAAAAAAAAAGAAAGTTGGCAAAATGTTAATTATTGCTAAAGCAGGGTAATGACTACAGTATTTTACAGGACTTAGAATAAACTATCTATTGAACATACACACAATCTTTTGTTTTGTTTTTGAGATGAAGTCTCCCTGTTGCCCAAGCTGGAGTGCAATGGCATGATCTTGACTCACTGCAACCTCCGCTTCCCGAGTTCAAGCGATTCTCCTGCCTCAGCCTCCCGAGTAGCTGGGACTACAGGCATGCGCCACTATGCCCGGCTAATTTTTGTATTTTTAGTAGAGACGAGGTTTCACCATGTTGTTCAGGCTGGTCTCGAACTCCTGACCTCGTGAGCCGCCCACCCTGGCCTCCCAAAGTGCTGGGATTACAGGCGTGAGCCACCACGCCTGGCCCTTTTTTGTTGTTTTTTAAGAGACTGGGTCTCACTCTGTCGACCAGGCCGGAGCACACCAGCACAATCATAGTTCACTGTAACCTGGAACTCCTGGCCTCAAGCAATCCTCCCACCTCAGCCTCCTAGAGTATTAGGATTACAGGCATGAGTCACTGCACTCAGCCATGATCTTTTTATTGAGGGGAGTTATTATTTTTATTGTTTTATAAAAACATACAAAAATGTGTTTTATGGGGGACTGTTCAGCCACATAAATACCTATCCTGATATATTTCATCTGCACCTGTGCTTAGTCTTTCAGTCAGTTGGTTGCTTATGTTTGTATGCCATGCTTTCCCTCTGGGTGCACTTTTCTTCTTGAGGAGATTCTTAACCATCTCTTCACTGAGAGCCTGTGACAAGTTTTACTTTTATTTTTGAATGATAGTTTAACGGGGCATACAATTCTAGGTTGATGGTTGTTTTTTTTTTCTCAACAAACACTTTCATAATTTTACGTCTTTGTCTTCCGGCATCTATCATTGTTGATGAGAAGCCAGCTGTCAATGTAGTTGTCATTCCTGTGTAGATAATTGGTTTTCTTCCTCCTTCTGGTCACTTCTAAGATTTTTATTTTTATTTTTTCTGAGACGGAGTTTCACTCTTGTTGTCCAGGCTAGAGTGCAATGGAGTGATCTTGGCTCATTGCAACCTCTGCTTCCCGGGTTCAAGAGATTCTCCTGCCTCAGCCTCCCAAGTAGCTGGGATTACAGGCGCGTGCCACCACATCTGGCTAATTTTTTTTGTATTTTTAATAGAGATGGGGTTTTGCCATGTTAGCCAGGCTGGTCTCAAACTCCTGACCTCAGGTGATCTGCCCTCCTTGGCCTCCCAAAGTGCTGGGATTATAAGCGTGAGCCACCGCTCCTGGCCAGCTTCGAAGATTTTTCTATTTATCTCTGATGTAGTGTCACAATGTGGCCAGTGCGTGGGCTTATTTTCATATATTCTGCTTGGTATTTGGGATGCACTTTCATTTCAGGATGCATATTATTTAATTCTAGATTTTTTTCAATGCTAGAATTTTAAAATGTTTAATTTCCTCAGTTCTCCTTTCCAATCTACTAATATTCTAATCCTTTCTGATCTGAGTTTGTCCCAGCTATTGACTTCTCTTTCAAGAGCTGCATTTTTATTTCCATTTGTTTTCCTTATATGGATAGTATCCTTTAATTTTTCCTTTTGAGAATGTGACATTGAAGTTGAGAAAGTAGAAGCCATGGGAACCGGCAGGTCTGGAGTATTCCTGGCAGAGAGGATACCTTTAGGACTGTCTGCTCCTGTACCAGCATTTACTTTCAACTTGACCTATAAGCACAGCTTGATTAGCCAGCACATTGACCAAATCTAGAGGCTTCTGGTGCTCTATCCATGCACTTATTACCTAGGTTCAGGGTTGTAAGTAATGTGATCCATAGACCTTCTGAGTAGCTGACGGGGTCTTGGTCTCATTAAGTGAGCATATACTAACTGACAGAATCTCTACCTTTATTAGGCCAGTTTAGCCATATTGTATCCCAGAGATAAACACAGCATGAGCTGACTGAGCAAGACTGCATGGTTTTAGTTGGAATGAACAACAAAAGGCAAATTTTTATATTTACTTATTGTTCCTTTTTTTATTGACCTATAAATGTCCACGTGTTCCAGCACCATTTGTTTTGTTGTTGTTGTTTTGTTTTGTTTTGCTTTGCTTTTAACAGATAGAGTCCCATGATGTTGCCCAGGCTGGTCTGGAACTCTTGGGCTCAAATGACCCTCCCACCTCAGCCTACCAAGTAGCTGGGACTATAGCGACACACCACCACACCTGGCTTAAATTTTATTTTTAGTGTCAAATATGCACTTTATGGAAACCAATAAAATAATTCTATACATATAAACAAAACAGTTAAATATCACTTAGCATGATCTTGATTGTATATAAAAGAGCGAACTTGGGCATTAAAATCACATGGCAGTGCTCACAAAGGTATTATATGGATGATTTGGATGCTCCAAACTGTACTAATGTTGGTTTTTTGGGGTTTGTTTTGTTTTGTTTTGTTTTGTTTTGTTTTGTTTTGAGGCAGGGTCTTGCTCTATCACCCAGGTTGGAGTGCAGTGGCATTATCATAGCTCAACTGCAGCCTTGAACTCTTGGTCTCAAACAATCCTCTCACCTCAGCCACCTGAGTAGCTGGGACTGCAGGTGCATGCCACCACAACAAGCTAAATAGTTTCTTTTTTAGAATATTTAATTTGCAACCAAAAAAAGTTTAATCTTGGCTAGAATTTGAAGATACCCAGTTGTAGAATTATTGCTCCCACTCCCTATAGATGACTGAGTAGCTGGCTGAGTCTTGGCCTCATTAAGTGCATGTATACTGACAGACAGAATCTTTACCTCCAGTTGGGTGGCAGTGGCAGTAGGCAATTCTAGTGTTCTTTTCCTCATGCCTCGTCACCTTCAATACCAGAGTCAATCCCACTGATGCCTCTTCTCTCCCTCTTCCCTTCCTCCTTCTCAACAATTACCATTCTTACAATTGCCCATTTTGTGCCACAGGACAGTACTATACTTTCTGACTGAGAAATTAACATATCCACATTTCTTGTATTATCTAATAAAGTGAGCTTTACTATCAGTCTGTCAGACCACTCGGGTGCTGACACACAGCACAGGTAGGTAAGGCGATCCCCTTGGCACAACCACACAGTTTGCTCACACATAGCACAATGGGCCCACTGGCTGTATGCGTGCCATCCACCAACCTTGAAGTCATGCTGAATGTTTTTCTTTTATAAACTTAATAGTGTTGGCTTTGTCTAGCATTCGTCATCCTCATTTTTCACAGTGCTTCTAAATTAAGAAATATTTAGATCAAAAGAAGCTGACTAATCTACATTGAGCTTTAAATTTTTAACTCATTTCTGAAATTCCCTGACAAAGTAAAACAATGTTAAGTTTTTCACATTGCAGAAAAACTCTCATACTTTGGGGCTTGGCTAATTCTAGTAAGTCTCTTTTTGGATGAAGTAGTTCAAGCACAGAAGCTGTCTTCATGAAAAGAGAAAACTCTCTCCAGTTCCTCCTTAGAAAGAGGTCAGTGCCTTGATGATGTTCTCTTCTAGAGAATAATGTACTATGTTTTCCAACAAAGAACCTGCTGTTTCCAATTCAATATTACCTGTCTAAATTCACTACCCAATGCTGGTAGAGAAAGAATGTTTAGTACAAAAGAAATCTATGGTCTTAGAAACCAACAGATAAAATCAGTTAATATGAAATCAAATTCAAGTTTTTAAAAAATATTTATTCCATTTAGAAGCAAAGTATGGGTACAGATAATTTCAATAAAATTAATTTTTAAATAAATACAGGCTGGGCGCGGTGGCTCATGCCTGTAATCCCACCACTTCGGCAAGCCAAGGCAGGCGGATCATTTGAGGCCAGGAGTTCAAGACCAGCCACTGCCAACATGGCGAAACCCCATCACTACTAAAAATACAAAAATAAGCTGGGTGTGGTGGTGTGCACCAGTAGTCCCAGCTACTCGGGAGACTGAGGCAGGAGAATCAATCACTTGAGCCTGGGAGGCAGAGGTTGCAGTGAGCAGAGATAGTGCCACTGCACGCCAACCTGAGCGACAGAGCGAGACTCCATCTCAAATAAATAAATAAATAAATAAATAAATAAATAAACACAATCTGTTAAGATGGGATGAAAGTTATCAAAACTGAATTTCCCATGGCTTTTGAGGTTTCCCATGGTCTTCAAGAACTGGTATGATCTGGCCCTTGGGGTGTCCTCCAGCCACAACCCAGGCCTTATGCCATTTGCTAATTTCGTTTTCCAGGTATGTCAGCCTTCCATCAGCTCCTAGATGAGCTGTTCCTACCACAGGTCCTTTGTATCTATTGTTTTGCCTGCCTGGGATATTCTTCTGCCTCTTCTCATTTAAATGTCACCTCTTTAAAGAAACCTTCCCTGAGTGCCCTATGCAAGTAGGTCAGCCTCCTTAGTCCTTGTCACCACACTCTGCCTATTTCCTGCCATAACATTAATCAGAGTCTTACTTTCTTATTGACCGGTTATTGATCATCTGTTCCCCATACAAGAATGTAAACACCATGAAGACAGGAATCTGATTTGTTTTGCTCTCCTAGACTTTATGTGCCTGGTGCAGAAGTCTACCAGCCAGCGATGTCTTCCTGATACAGCTGCCTCTGATTTAGAAAAAATCATTAATGTGATTCAAACAGTAAAAGCCAAGACACCTCGATGGATTTCATGCAGAATTATCCACATAACAGAATTTAGGATATTCCCTAAAAGCCACAAACCCTAGCTAGTCTTGAGGTTTGAAATTTTGAGTTCAGTTCTGAAATGTTTGTATTATGGTTAATTCTGCACAATGGCCACTAGAGGGGGTCATAGCCAAATACTATACTCTGAAATTTCAGATTTTTCAGAGTTAGAATTTTTTGAAGTTCTGCAGCCCAACCCTACTTTCAGCTTCCCTGACAGATGTCCATCCCACTTCTTTAAAAACAAACAATATATGATGAAGTCACTACCTCGTGGGACAGACTATTCTTCAGCAGGGCAGCACGTTACTTAGAAAGTGCTCTTTCTCCTTGACCTATCTGTAACTGCCCCTCCTTGCCTAAAACCATTAAGAGACCCAACACTAGGCCAGGAGCGGTGGCTCATGCCTGTAGTCCGAGCGCTTTGGGAGGCCGAAATGGGCGGATCACTCGAGGCCAGGAGTTGGAGCCCAGCCTGGCCAACATGGTGAAACCCTGTCTCTACTGAAACTACAAAAAAATTAACCAGGCGTGTTGGCCAGAGCCTGTGGCCACAGCTACTTGGGAGGCTGAGGCACAAGAATCGCTTCAGCCTGGGAGATGGAGATTACAGTGAGCCGAGATCTTGTCACTGCACTCCAGCCTGTGGGACAGAGGGAGACTGTCTCAAAAATAAAAATAAGTCAACACTTAGAAGCAGATCTTAAGATGAGGGGGGAAAGCCAGGCACGGTGGCTCACACCTGTAATCCCAACACTTTGGAAGACTGAGGCAGGCAGATCACTTGAGGCCGGGAGTTCGAGACCAGCTTGGCCAACGTGGCGAAAGCCCGTCTATACTAAAAATAGACAAATTACCCAGGTGCCTGTAATCCCAGCTACACAGGAGGCTGAGGCAGGAAAATCGCTTGAACCTGGGAGGCGGTGGTTGTAGTGAGCCGAGATTATACCACTGCACTCCAGCCTGGGGGATAGAATGAGACTTCATAGCAAAAAAAAAAAAAGAAAAAAAAAAGAAAAAAAAGAAAATAAGAGAAAAAAGAAAAGAAACCAATGCTACTTTGGGTTCTAAGCTGAGCCATGCTGTCTAGAATATCATTTAGAGTCTTGGCCAGTCTATGCCAGCATGCTTCCCACCCTTCCCATCCTCAGCCACTGCTCCAGATGGAAGGTCCCTGTGTTTTCTCTCCATTGACCCACTGGCCCACTGCTCGCACAGTAAACCTACCTCCAACATTGTCAGCACCCCTCCCATAGGAAACTGCTTAGTTTCTTGCCATGACTGAAAGCTGGCTGTCCTGAAGAAGGTCTGGCTCCCCTGCCTTTGTCTCCAGGAAAGGTGGCAGGTTCTCCCAAGGCCCCAATATCCTAAGCAGGATTAGCATTTGCCCAGCTGCCAGCACCGCTCTCAAGGCATCACTTCTGCTGGGAGATTTGTGTCATTCTGGTGCTCCACCACCCCTTGTTTACCTACTGGTCAAGCCAGCACAGAAGACTTTGGGTTCTCATGTCAATCCAGTACCACCCTATTCTGTGCGGATAACTTGTCCATTCCACTCACCCCTTCATTGCGCCCACAACTGGGATCTCACATTGGACCTCACATGGGCCCTAGTAATTGTCTCTCCAGTTTACTCAGTCCCCATTCCCCATACTATCTCCTGCCTCTCACTAAGCTTCCACTGCATTTGCTCCTCACAGCTCAGCCTTCCACTTCTTTTCCTATCCAACCTACACTCCCACTATTATTTTTCTGAGCTCCTCAATATCCTTACCCACTTATCTTTCTTCCCTGTTGCCCAGTCAAAACCCCAACTGTATAAATCCAACCATTGTCCCTTTTTGTTGCTCCTACACTAAACACTGCTAGTGAAGATAACAATAGCAAATATTTATTGATAACTACTTTACAAGATAGCACTATTATTATCAGTAGATAATGAATGAGAAAAACAAGGTCCTGAGGGAATTAGTAAATTGCCCTAGGTTACACAGGGAGTAAGCCACACAATCTGGCTTAATTAAATGTGTTGAAAACATGTAAAGGCATGGTGGCTCATGCCTGTAATTCCAGCACTTTGGGAGGCCAAAATGGGCAGATCACTTGAGGCCAGGAGTTCAAGACCAGCCTGGCCAACATGGCAAAACCCCATCACTACTAAAAATATAAAAATTAGCTAGGCATGGTGGCATGCACCCAGCTACTCGGGAGGCTGAGGCAGGAAAGTCACTTGAACCCGGGAGGTGAAGGTTGCAGTGAGCCGGGGCAACAGAGCAAGACTCCGTCTCAAAAAAAAAAAAAAAAGATATAGATGATGAGAACATATTTAGCAAGCTTGATCTAGTGGACAAATATAGAACACCGTCTCCAATAAGTAGACAAGCACGCATGCATTTACAAAGATTGACAGTGAACTAGGTAAGTAGTACTGAAAATTTTTGGTCTCTGAACCCCTGAACATACTTAAATATTATATGTATAAGTTATATTTACACACTTAAAATTACTGAGGACTCAATGAGCTTGTGTTTATTCGGGTTATATTTACCAATATTTACTATATTAGAAATTAAAACTGAAAGATGTTTTATCTATGAACATATTAAATAAATTTAAAAATAACAATAGGCCAGGTGGCTCATGTCTATAATCCCAACACTTTGGGAGGCCAAGGTAGGAGGATCATTTGAGGCCAGAAGTTCAAGACCAGCATGGGAACGTAGTAAGACCCTGTCTCTACAAAAAATAGAAAATATAAAATAAAATAACAATAATTAAAAACCCATTACATGTTCTCATAAACAAAATTTTTGTGGAAAAAAAATGCCATTTTAAAAAAAAAGGGATGGGGGAGAAAATGGCATTGTTTTACATTTTGACAAATCTTTTTAACATCTGGCTGAATAGAAAAGAGCTGGATTCTCATAGCGTCTGCATTCAGTCTGTCGGGATGTGTTGTTTTGGTTGAAGTCCATAAAGAACACCCAGCTTCACATATGAGAGAAAGAAAGGCAGCCCCAGATGCCCAGCCAGGCCTTGGTTCTTCCAGGAGCTGGCCTGGCACACAGCTGGACTTCATAGTTTCCTGCTGAACGTAATGTCACAGAACATCCACATCAGACAAGGCCACCCTGTGACTGTGATGAACCAAACAAAAACAGAACCAGGAACTTGTCCGAAATGACCAAACATCCTCCTTTTCCAGTCAATCTGAGTCACTGCTCACAGCTACAGCGTGGCTCCACTGAGCCCTTCTCTTCTCCTTTCCTGCAGCTGCTGTGGTGGAGTGCCACAGACCTGATGGCTTCAAACAGAATATAGCCTCTCTCAGTCCTGGAGTCTAGAAGTCCGAAGTGAAGGGATAGGTGGGGCCATGCTCCCTCTGAAGGCTCCCGGGAGAATCCTTCCCTGCTGCTTCCAGCTTCTGGTGGCTCCAGGCGTTCCTTGGTTGGACAACTTCAATCTCTGCCTCCACCTTCCCATGGCCTTCTCTGTACCTGTCTCAAATCTGCCTCTGCTTTTCTCTTCCCCTAGGTAATCCAGGTAATCCAGGATGATCTCCTCTTGAGATCCTTAATTACATCTACAAAGATTCTTTTCCAAATAAGCTCACATTTACAGGTTCTGGGGGTTGGGATGTAGACATACCTTTTGGGGGGGCCACCATTCAACCCACTATACCTTCCCATAAATAAGATTTATTAAACCTTTGCAGCCATCACCAAAGGTGGAGCAGCCAAAATGAAGTACAATCCCTTTGTGACTTCTGACCGAAGCAAGAACTGCAAAAGGCATTTCAATGCACCTTCCCACACTCGCAGAAAGATTATGTCTTCCCCTCTTTCCAAAGAGCTGAGACAAAAGTACAATGTTCGATCGAAGACCATCCAAAAGGATGACGAAGTTCAGGTTGCGCGAGGACACTGTAAGGGTCAGCAAATTGGCCAAATAATCCAGGTTTACAGGAAGAAATATGCCATCTACATTGAACGGGTGCAGTGGGAAAAGGCTAACAGCATAGCTGTCCCTGTGGGCATTCACCCAGCAAGGTGGTTATCACTAGACTAAAACTTGACAAAGGCCACAAAAAGATCCTTGAACGGAAAGCCAAATCTCGCCAAGTAGGAAAGGAAAATGGCAAATACAAGAAAGAAACAATAGGGAAGGTGCAGGAATAAAATAATCTTTTTTATTTTCTGAGACGGAGTCTCGCTCTGTCACCCAGGCTGGAGTGCAGTGGCGCGATCTCGGCTCACTGCAAGCTCCGCCTCCTGGGTTCACGCCATTCTCCTGCCTCAGCCTCCCGAGTAGCTGGGACTACAGGCGCCCGCCACCACGCCCGGCTAATTTTTTGTATTTTTTAGTAGAGACGGGGTTTCACCATGTTAGCCAGGATGGTCTCGATCTCCTCTCCTCGTGATTGGCCCACCTCAGCCTCCCAAAGTGCTGGGATTATAGGCGTGAAAGATTTGTTTTTGTTGCTATTATTATTTTACCTTTTTTTTTTTTTTTGAGACGCAGTTTCGCTCTTGTTGCCCAGGCTAGAGTGCAGTGGCTCGATTTTGGCTCACCGCAACCTCCACCTTCCAGGTTCAAGTGATTCTCCTGCCTCAGCCTCCCGAGTAGCTGGGATTACAGGCATGAGCCACCATGCCCAGCTAATTTTGTATTTTTAGTAGAGATGGGGTTTCTCCATGTTGGTCAGGCTGGTCTTGAACTCCCGACCTCAGGTGATCCACCCACCTTGGCCTCCCAAAGTGCTGGGATTACAGGCATGAGCCACCACGCCTGGCCTTTTTTTTTTTTTTTTTTTTTTTTAACCTTTGCCTAGATGTCAGAGGATGTATGAGAATGCCTGGGCGCTTAGGCAGAAGTTTGCTGCAGGGACAGGGCCCTCATGGAGAACCTCTGCTAGGGTAGCACAGAAGAGAAATGTGGGATCAGAGCCCCCACACAGAGTCCCTACTGGGGGCACCACCTAGTGGAGCTGTGAGAAGAAGGCCACCATCCTTCAGACCCCAGAATGTTAGATCTACTAACAGCTTGCACCGTGCACCTGGAAAAGCCGCAGACACTCAATGCCAGCCAGTGAAAGCCGCCAGGAGAGGGGCTATACCTGCAAAGCCACAGGGGTGGAGCTGTCCAAGGCCGTGGGAGCCCACCTCTTGCATCAGCATGACCTGGATAGGAGACATGGAGTCAAAGGAGATCATTTTGGAATTTTAAGATTTGACTGCCCTGCTGGATTTCAGACTTGCATGGGGCCTGTAGTCCCTCTGTTTTGACTAATTTACTCCATTCAAAATGGCTATATTTACCCAATTCGTGTACCCCCATTGTATCTAGGAAGTAACTAACTTGCTTTTGATTTTACAGCCTCATATGTGGAAGGGACTTGCCTTGTCTCAGATGAGATTTTGGACTGTGGACTTTTGAGTTAATGCTGAAATGAGTTAAGACTTTAGGGACAGCCGGGTGCGGTGGCTCAAGCCTGTAATCCCAGCACTTTGGGAGGCTGAGGCGGGCAGATCACGAGGTTAGGAAATCGAGACCAACCCAGCTAACATAGTGAAACCCCGTCTCTACTAAAAATACAAAAACTTAGCCAGATGTGGTGGTGGGCGCCTGTAGTCCCAGCTACTCAGGAGGCTGAGGCAGGAGAATGGCATGAACCCGGAAGGCAGAGCTTGCAGTGAGCTGAGATTGCGCCACTGCACTCCAGCCTGGGTGACAGAGCGAGACTCCATCTCAAAAAAAAAAAAAGACTTTAGGGGACTGTTGAGAAGGCATGATTGGTTTTGAAATGTGAAGGCAAGAGATTTGAGAGAGGCCAGGGGCAGAATGATATGGTTTGGCTCTCTCTCACACCCATAGCTCCCGTAATTCCCACATGTTGTGACAGGGACCTGGTGGGAGATAACTGAATCATGGGAGCAGGTCTTTCTTGCGCTGTTCTCATGATAGTGAATAAGTCTCATGAGATCTGACGGTTTTAAAAATGGGAGTTTCCCTGCACAAGCTCTCTCTCTCTCTTTGCCTGCTGCCATCCAAGTAAGATGTGACTTGGTCCTCCTTGCCTTCTGCCATGATTGTGAGGCCTCCCCAGCCATGTGGAACTATAAGTCCATTAAACCTCTTTCTTTTGTAAATTGCCCAGTCTCAGGTATGTCTTTATCAGCAGCGTGAAAACAGACTAGTACAGATCAGGAGTTCAAGCCCATTCTGGCCAACGTGGTGAAACCTTTTCTCTCCTAAAAAATACAAAAGTTAGCCAGGCATGGTGGTGCATGCCTGTAATCCCAGCTACTTGGGAGGTTGAGGCATGAGAATCACTTGAACCTAGGAGACAGAAGTTGCAGTGAGCCAAGATTGTATCACTGCACTCCAACCTGGATGACAGAGCAAGGCTCTGCTCAAAAAATAATATTGATAACAAATAATTAACAGATAGTCCCCTTGCCTCTCACAAGTTAGACAGAACTGCCCAGAATGCCCTGCTGAAGAGTTGTAACAGATAACCCTGTTCCTCCTTAACCTCTCTGTGCTTCATTTGCTCACCTGTAAAATAGTGATCATAGTAGTACCTATCTTGTGGCGATGTAGAGAGGATTAAATAAACTAATTAAGAGGGCCAGGCACAGTGGCTCATGCCTATAATCCCAGCACTTTGAGAGGCTGAGGTGGGCAGATCACTTGAAGTCAGGAGTTCGAAACCAGCTTGAACAACATGGTAAAACCCTGTCTCTACTAAAAAAAAAAAAAAAAATTGCCAGGCATTGTGGCAGGTGCCTGTAATCCCAGCTACTCGGTTGGCTGAGGCAGGAGAATCGCTTGCACCCAGGAGGCAGAGGTTGTAGTGAGCTGAGATCGCACCACTGCACTCCAGCCTGGGTGACAAAGCAAGACTCTGTCTCAAAAAAAAAAAAAAAAGAAGCCAATTAAGGTGGAAGCACTTAGAACAGTGTTTGCACATAGTAGGCCTTCAGAAGTGCCCTAGCCTATGGCTTGCAGTTATTAGGGAGATCAGCCTTTCAGCAGGGCATGGAAGAGAAGGCTTTCTACCAATCCCACCCAGAAACCGGAAACAATTTGCCAACAGGGTAGTTTCTCCTCACTATTAAAGACTGATGAAAGGGGGTATATTAGTCTGTTCTCATGCTGCTAATAAAGACATATGTGAGACTGGGTAATGTATAAAGGAAAGAGGCTTAATTGACTAACAGTTCAGGCGGCGCGGAGGCTCATGCCTGTAATCCCAACACTTTTGGAGGCCCAGGCAGGTGGATCACCTGAGGTCAGGAGTTCAAGACCAGCCAGAATAATATGGTGAAACCCTGTCTCTACTAAAAATACAAAAATTAGCCAGGCGTGGTGGCGGGCACCTGTAGTCCTGGCTACTCAGGAGGCTGAGACAGGAAAATTGCTTGAACCCAGGAGGCGGAGGTTGCAGATATCACACCACTGCACTCCAGCCTGGGTGACAGAGCGAGACTCCATCTCAAAATAATAATAATAGGCCGGGCATGGTGGCTCACACCTGTAATCCCAGCACTTTGGGAGGCCGAGGTGGGTGGATCACAAGGTCAGGAGTTTGAGACCAGCCTGGCTAACATGGTGAAACCACGTCTCTACTAAAAAAAAAAAAAAAAATACAAAAATTAGCCAGGTGTGGTGGCGCTTGCCTGTAATCCCAGCTACTCGGGAGGCTGAGGCAGGAGAATCGCCTGAACCCGGGAGGCGGAGTTGCAGTGAGCCAAGATGGCGCCATTGCGCTCCAGCCTGGGCGACAGAGCAAGACTCTGTTTCAAAAAGAAATAATAATAATAATAATAATAATAATAATAATAATCGACTCACAGTTCAGCATGACTGGCAAGGCCTCAGGAAATTTACAGTCATGGTGGAAGGGGAAGCAAATATGTCTTTCTTCACATGGCGGCAGGAGAGAAAACAAATGCCCAGCAAAGGGGGAAGCCCCTTATAAAAACACCAGATCTCGTGAGATCTAACTCACTATGGCAAGAACAGGATGGGAGAAACCACCCCCATGATTCAATTACCTCCCAATGGGTCCCTCCCATGACTCATGGAGATTATGGGAACTACAGTTCAAAATGAGATTTGGGTGGGGACACAGCCAAACCATATCAAGGGGTATCAGAAAGAAAGTGAGCCGGAGATCACCCACTGGCCTGCAACTGCATCCATCCATGTTTTATTTGCTCTGATTTCCATCACCTGCTGGCCCCCAAGGCATTTGAGTTTGTGACATATGATATCTTGCTAATCATCTTCATTATGGAATTCTCCACCACTTCAGTCAGAGAGTAATGGTTTAATAGCTGAGAGAGAGCAATCCTCTCAGACGTAAAGGAATAAAGAAAAGACTTTAGCATTTTCCATCACTGTATGATAAGTCACTTATTTCAAGGTTTCATACATGGAACCTCAAGGCTAAGTGGACAGGGGCCTGGGAGTGGATTTTAGGGGTTTTCATAGGTACTTTTGTTAGAGTAGACAGCGAGTCAGACATGAGTAGGGTAAGAGAGCCCCCCACACAAACACACTCACATACACCAGGAATGTCAGGCAACCATCAGGTGATGGTCAGGTGGTTGTTAAACAGTTTCTCTAAAATTGTTCACAGCCAATACCAGGGAAAGGCAGTCTTCCAATAGATAAAAACACCTGAAACTGGCGATCAGCAGCTTCCCGATAAGATCTTAGGAGTTGGGCAAGTAGGCTCAAGCACGAGCATTAAGAGTCAAAATGACGGAGTTTAACATACATGGCCACCTTCTAGGGACATTCGACTGGTAAGGGAAGAACACCTCAAGTGAGCATGCGCACAACTCCAGTAAACACACCATGCGTGCTCACCTCCCAAGTGCTAGCAGGCTTACCGCACATAAGCACAGCCCACCCCAAGGGAAGAATCAGGGGAGAAGGGATGCAAGCCCCCAGAAATATGCCAGCATATAAAACCCCAAGTCAAAAGGTCAAACCACACACTTGCCTTTGAAGTCGCCTGCTTCCCAGTGTACTTTCCTTTCCTTCATTCCTGCTCTAAAGCTTTTTAATAAACTTTCACTCCTGCTCTAAAATTTGCCTCGGTCTCTCCTTCTGCCTTACACCCTTCAGTTAAATTCTTTCTTCTAAGGAGGCAAGAATTGAGGTTGCTGCAGACTTGTACGGATTCGCCACTGGTAACATGTTTTGGTGCTGTGTGACTCGGATACTTTCCACCGCTAACATACTTCCCTTACTAGTCTAACATTCCTAGAGGAAGGTCATGTAGAAGGTCATATACCAGTTAAACTCCACCACTTTGTCTCTTTTTTTAATTATTTTTATTTATTTATTTATTTATTTTTATTTATTTTTTTTTTTTTGAGACAGTGTGTTGCTCTGTTGCCCAGGCTGGAGTGCAGTGGCAAAATCTCGGCTCACTGCAACCTCCACCTCCTGGGTTCAAGCAGTTCTCCTGCCTCAGCCTCCTGAGTAGCTGGGATTACAGGCATGCACCACCACACCCAGCTAATTTTTTTTGTATTTTTAGTAGAGACGGGGTTTCCCCATATTGGCCAGGCTGGTCTCGAACTCCCGACCTTGTGATCTGCACACCTCGGCCTCCGAAAGTGCTGGGATTACAGGTGTGAGCCACCGCATCCGGCCCATTTTGTCTCTTAATGAGCATGCTTGAACCCAATTGCCCAACTCCTGAGATCTTATTGGGAAGCTGCTGATCACCAGTTTCAGGTGTTTTTATCTATTGAGAGACTGCCTTTCCCTGGCTCTGGCTGTGACCAATTATTATTTTAGAGATACCATTTAATAACCACCTGAACATCACCTGATTGATGGCTGCCTGACATTCCTAGTGGTGGTTTGAGGAGGGGGGCTCTCCTACCCTGCTCACGTCTGACTCAATACCTACTGTGATACTTAGGGTTATCTGTTGTGCTGGATGTCTTTGGTGTGTCCACTTGATGCTCTCTCCACCTTACCCACCATGCCCTGTGCCTGGGACTACATCAGCAACAGGCTGACTTGCTCTCTGCCTTCGAGTTGGGTTCAGTTAAAGGTGGGGGCTGCTGGTAGGAGATGGAAGAACAAGGTCAGGGTGCTTGTTTCCCATCAGGTCACTTCAAACGTCTATACTCTGTCAGGTGACCTTGCCCACACAGTTTTCTCTGACTCTGCGTTCCTGTAACCAGTTCCTCTCATGGCCTCTGCAGGCCTAGGAATGGAAACAGAACGTGCTATGACAAGTCTTGAGTGTTGCCCAATCCATTGTGGACGTAAACCTCACAGCAATAGCTTCATAGAGTCCCCTTTTAAACTCTCCTTAAATATCTTCATTTGGCAATGCCATCTATTTCCTAGCACTCTACCTGATGAATATATATGTGCTTTTCACATAACTCCGTTTTGAACCTAACATCTGGGTAAAGTACAACTCTCTGTACCAAGAGCCAAGGTCAATAAGACTAGTAGTTTCAAACTTCAGTCTGAAAACTCTCAAGTGTGCAAAAAATACAACTTCTTCTACTTTTCTTTTCCTTCTTTTTTTTTTTTTGTTTGAGACAGAGTCTCGCTCTGTTGCCCAGGCTGGAATGCAGTGGCACAGTCTTGGCATCTTGGGTCACTGTAACCTCTGCCTCCTAGGTTCAAACAGTTCTCCTGCCTCAGCCTCCTGAGTAGCTGGGACTATAGGTGCACGCTGCCATGCCCGGCTAATCTTTTTGTATTTTAGTAGAAACAGGGTTTCATCATGCTGCCCAGGATGATCTCGAACTCCTGAGCTAAGGTAAACCACCCACTTCAGCCTCCCAAAGTGCTGGAATTACAGGCCTGAGCCACCGCACCTGGACCAACTTTTTCTACTTTTCTATAACCCAACTTAATTTCTCTTTCAGCCCCAATCCTCCAGGGTGATAGAAACATAAGTTAAATCAGCACAGGTAGCTCCCTGACAATTAAAATACAATTAATAGCTGGGCGCGGTGGCTCACACCTGTAAACCCAGCACTTTGGGAAGCCAAAGCAGACAGATCACCTGAGGTCAGGAGTTCAAGACCAGCCTGACACACATGGAGAAACCCTGTCTCTACTAAAAATACGAAATAAGCCGGGCATGGTGGCACATGCCTGTAATCCCAGCTACTTGGGAGGCTGAGGCAGGAGAATCACCTGAACCCTGGAGGCAGAGGTTGTGGTGAGCCAAGATCGCACCATTGCACTCCAGCCTCCTGGGCAACAAGAGCGGAACTCTGTCTCAAAATAAATAAATAAATAAATAAATAAATAAATAAATAAATAAATAAAATTTTAAAAAATTAATTAAAAAATTAAAACAAAAAAATACAATTCATAGGCATGAGAATAGAATGGGCCAGGCACAGTGGCTCACACCTGTAATCCCAGCACTTTGGGAGGCCAAGGCGAGTGGATCACAAGGTCAGGAGATCGAGACCATCCTGGCTAACACGGTGAAACCCCGTCTCTACTAAAAATACAAAAAATTAGCCATACCTGGTGGCGGGCGCCTGTAATCCCAGCTGCTTGGAAGGCTGAGGCAGGAGAATGGCGTGAACCCAGGAGGCGGAGCTTGCAGTGAGCCAAGATCGCGCAGAGTGAGACTCCATCTCAAAAAAAAAAATAAAAAATAAGAATAGAATGACACACGGGGAACTTAGGAGCCAAGAGGAGGGACACCTAACCCAACCTCAAGGGAGAAAAAAAAGAAATGTCAGGGAACTTCCTGGAGAGTGTGATGTGTTTGAGATGAGACAAAACAATGAATCAAGTTAGCCAGACGAAGAAAGGAAATGGCATGCTAGTACAGGCAACAGCCTGAACAAAGGCACAGAGGCAAGAAATAGCACAACATGTAGGAGACTTTAGCAGCACATATACTAAAATTGGAACAATACAGAGAAAATTAGCGTGCCCTACACAAAGATGACATGTAAATTCATGAAGCATTCCAAAGCAAACAAATAATAAAAATATTTTTAAAAAAATAAATTCAGGCCGGGTGCAGAGGCTCACACCTGTAATCCCAACACTTTGGGAGGCTGAGGTGGGCAGATCACCTGAAGTCGGGAGTTTGAGACCAGCCTGACCAACATGGAGAAACCCCATCTCTACTAAAAATACAAAATTAGCGGGCTATGGTGGCACATGCCTGTAATCCCAGCTACTTGGGAGGCTGAGGCAGGAGAATGGCTTGAACCTGGGAGACAGAGGTTGCAGTGAGCTGAGATCGCGCCACTGCACTCCAGCCTGGGCAACAAGAGCGAAACTCCATCTCAAAAATAAATAAATAATAAAATAAAATAAAATAAATTCAGGGCCCAGCGCGGTGGCTCACACCTGTATTCCCAGCACTTTGGGAGGCCAAGGCAGGTGGATCACTTGAGGCCAGGAGTTCGAGAGCAGCCTGGCCAACGTGGTGAAACCTCACCTCTACTAAAAAATACAAAAATTAGCCAGGCGTGGTGGTGCATACCTGTAATCCCAGCTACTCGGGAGGATGAGACAGGGAGAATTGCTTGAACCCAGGAGGCAGAGGTTGCAGTGAGCCAAGATCATGCCACTGAACTCCAGCCTGGGCAACAGAGCGAGATATTTCTCTAAAAATAAAAATAAATAATAAATAAATAAATTCAGGCTTGGCATAGTGGCTCACGCCTGTAATCCCAGCACTTTGGGATACCGAGCTGGGAGGATCACTTGAAGTCAGGAGTTTGAGACCAGCCTGGCCAACATGGCGACACCCCATCTCCACTAAAAGTACAAAAATTAGCTGGGTATGGTGGCGGGCACCTATAATCCCAGCTCCTTAGGAGGCTGAGACATAAGAATCTCTTGAACCTGGGAGGCAGAGGTTGCAGTGAGCCAAGATCATGCCACTGAACTCCAGCCTGGGCAACAGAGTGAGACTCCAACTCAAAAAAAAAAAAGTTCAATGTTGTGGGAGTATAAGGTTCAAGCCGGGAGAGGTGAGAGGCAAGGACTCTGTTTATAACAGGGGAAGGACTTTGAACTCTGTCTTACAGGTCAGTGGTCTACAAGGAGGGGTAATACACACCCCATGTACAGAAGAAATTTCAGTGGAATACAGGAAGAAAATGTTACAGCTTCTATCTTGTGCTTTAACTTAAAAAAATTTTATGTATGTTTTGTAAGGTATTTGTCCCCTCCAAAACTTGTGTTAGGATTTAATCCCTGCCAGAGATGGCAGCTCATTCCTGTTATCCCAGCATTTTGGGAAGCCAAGGCAGGAGGACTGCTTGAGCCTAGGAGTTTAAGAATAGCCTGGGCAACATAGTGAGACCCCATCTTAGAAAAAGAAAAAGAAGAAATTTAATCCCCAATGTGGCAATATTAAGAGATGGGCCTTTAAAAGATGATGACTTACTGGGCTCGATGGCTCACGCCTGTAATCCTAGCGCTTTGTGAGGCCGAGGCAGGTGGATCACCTGAGGTCAGGAGTTCAAGACCAGCCTTGCCAACATGGCGAAACCCCGTCTCTACTAAAAATACAAAAATTAGCCGGGCATGGTGGTGCATGCCTGTAATCCCAGCTACTTGGAAGGCTGAGGCGGGAGGATCACTTGAGCCTGGGAGGTGGAGGTTGCAGTGAACCGAGATTGTGCCACTGCACTCCAGCCTGGGTGACAGTGAGATCCTGTCTCAAAAAAAAAAAAAAATCCTTTTCTTTACAAATTACCCACCTTCAGGTATTCTGTTATAAGCAACATAAAACAGACTAAGATAATATATTAATAATACCCTACTGCAGATACATAATATATTACTGCAGTAGGGTATTACCGCAGTATATTATTTTATATTATATAATAAACAAATACATTAGGCATATATTAAAATGAGTTAAGCCAGAATCAGCCAATTGACTTTGGTTTTGACCAAGAGCTTGCTATAAACATCATTTCTGATGTCCCTAAATCTGAGTAACTCTATGAAAGAATAGCTTACTATCTTTTTTTTTTTTTTTTTTTATGAGATGGATTCTCACTCCGTCGCCCAGGCTAGAGAGTGCAGTGGCACAATCTCAGCTCACTGCAGCCTCCGTCTCCCGGGTTCAGCCGATTCTCCTGCCTCAGCCTCCTGAGCAGCTGGGATTACAGGCGTGAGCCACCATACTGGCTAATTTTTTGTATTTTTAGTGGAGAAGGGGTTTCTCCATGTTGGCCAGGCTGGTCTCAAACTCCTGACCTCAAGTGATCCACCTGCCTTGGCCTCCCAAAAGTGCTGGGATTACAGGCATGAGACACTTCACCTGGTCGTGGCTTACTATCTAATCATGTAACAGGAAAAATTATATAAAGCATGTGATTTGGTCTCATTATTAGTATTAGAATATTTGTTTTCCAAAATGGTGAATTTTCTTAAATGTAATTTGGAGTAAATGTTCTTTCTGTATTTTTTATTTGTTTGTTTGAGACGGGGTCTTGCTCCATAGCCCAGGCTGGAATGCAGCGGTGCGATCTCAGCTCCCTGCAACCTCCCATTCCAGGATTCAAGCAATTCTCCTGCCTCAGCCTCCCAAGTAGCTATGACCGCAGGCGCCTGACGCCACTCCCAGCTGATATTTGTAGTTGTACTAGAGATGGGGTTGTACCACACTGGCCAGGCTGGTCAGGAACTCCTGACCTCAAATGATCCACTCACTTCAGCCTCCCAAAGTGCTGGGATTACAGGTTTGAGCCAAAGTACCAAGAAGGCAAAAGAAAAAAAAATTAAAGACCAATATATTACAACAGATCACTTAGGCACAAAAAGCCGCAACAAAATATTAGCAAATCTAATCAAACAATGCATGAAAATGGTAATGGTTTGTTTATGGTATAATATGCCATAACCAAGTGGGATTTATTCTACGTATGCAAGGCTGGTTCAATATTTCAAAAAATAATCAGTGTAATCCACCACATCCATAAGCTAAAGAAAAATCATATAATCATGTCAATTGAAGAAAAAGGATTTAGCAAAATGTTCCAGCTACTACAGAGGCTAAGGCAGGAGGACTGCTTGAGCCCAGGAAATTGAAGCTTCAGTGAGCTATGATCACACCACTGCACTCCAGCCTGGGTGACAGAGTAAGACCCTGTCTCAAAATAAAATAAGATAAAATAAAATTAAAAAGTCTCAGCACACCAGGAATGAAAGGAATTCCCCAACTTGATAAAAAGCATTGTTCCATGGCCAGCAGATCTATGTAAATCTGCCCCAAAGTCTGAGGAAGCTGAGAGGCTGAAGAAAGAGGCAGACAAATCCAGCTTCTTAGAAAAAACATTAATAGAGACTTACTAACAGAAGTTATATCTGTGTCTCGGGTTGCAGCGATGACAAGATGCTGAATGCTGCACCCTTACTCCCGAGACTCAGGGCATTTTTTTTTTTTTTTTTCTGAGACGGAGTCTCACTCTGTCACCCAGGCCTGAGTGCAGTGGCACAATCTCAGCTCACTGCAACCTCTGCCTCCCGGGTTCAAGCAATTCTCCTGCCTCAGCCTCCTGAGTAGCTAGGATCATAGGTGTGTGCCACCACGCCCGGCTGATTTTCTTTTTTCTGTTTTTTGTTTTTTTTTTGAGATGGAGTTTCGCTCTTGTTGCCCATGTTGAAATGCAATGGGGTGATCTCGGCTCACCGTAACCTCCGCCTCCCAGGCTCAAGCGATTCTCCTGCTTCAGCCTCCTGAGTAGTTGGGCTTACAGGCATGCACCACCATGCCCAGCTAATTTTTTGTATTTTTAGTTGAGACAGGGCTTCTCATGTTGGTCAAGCTGGTCTCAAACTCCCGACCTCAGGTGATCGACCTGCCTCGGCCTCCCAAAGTGCTGGGATTACAGACGTGAGCCACCACACCTGGCAATTTTTGTATTTTTAGTAGAAATGGAGTTTCACCATGTTGGCCAGGCTGATCTCAAACCCCTGACCTCAGGTGATCTGGCAGCCTCAGCCTCCCAAAGTGCTAGGATTACAGGCGTGAGCCACCATGCCCGGCCGACTCAGGGCTTTTATATCATATAGGAGGGGTGGTTCAGAAGGGATGTGTAGGACAATTGAAGTACCATAACATCAAAGTTGTTTGATCTAAGGGCAGAATTTATGGTATGTACCTGCTCTTACAAAAGGAACAATAGATAAACTGGAAATCATAGAGGACTTTCCAGAACATGGATTAATCAAAAGCCAACATGGTAGATTTGTTTCCAAAATGAATGTAGGCTTACAAAAAAAACCTTACAACTAACATCATACTTTTAATGGTGAAAGACTGAATGTTTTCCCGCTAAAATAGGATGTCCTCTCACAACTCTCATTCAACATAGTACTGAAAGTGCAATAAGAAAAAAAAGAAAAGAAAAGAAAAGAAAGAGAGGGAGAAAGAAAGAAAGAAAGACGTAAGTAAGTATAAAACTGTCCCAATTTGCAGATGATATGATTGTCTATCCAGAAAATTCCAAGGAATCTGCCAAAGAAATTCCTAGAACCAATAAATGGGTCACAGATGCAAAACCAACACAGAAAAATCAATTGCATTTCTATATGTTAATAATAAACATGTGGAAACTGAAATTAAAAACACAATACTATATACAATCACTCCAAAGAAAATTAAATACTTAGGTATAAACTTATAAAACATGTACAGGGCTGGGCTCAGTGGCTCACACCTGTAATCTCAGCTCTTTTGGAGGCCAAGACCTGTGGATCACTTGAGATCATGAGTGCAAGACCAGCCTGGCTATAGTAAAACTCCATCTCTACTAAAAATGAGCCAGGAGTGGTGGCACATACCTGTATTCCCAGCTACTTGGGTGGCTGAGGCAGAAGAATCACTTGAACCCAGGAAGCAGAGTAGCTGCAGCGAGCCAAGATCATGCCACTGAACTCCAGCCTGGGCAACAGAGTGAGACTCTGTCCCAAAAAAGTATATAAATAGATAAAATAAAACAGTACAGGATCTGTATCCTACAAATTACAAAATGCTGTTGAAGAAATTCTGAAAGACCTAAATAAATTGAGAGACATACCATGTTCATGGATTGGAAGACTCAAAATAACAAAGATGTTAGTTCCCTCCAAAATTTATCCACAGGTTTTATGCAATTCCTATAAGAATCCTAAAAAGGTTTCTTGCAGACATAGACAAGCTTATTCGAACATTTATATGGAAAGGCACAGGTCCTAGAATAGCTCAAACAATCTTGAAAAAGAAGAAACAGAAAAGAATCACTCTACCAAATATTAAGTCTTACTATTTAGCTGCAGTAATCAAATGAGTGATATTGGTGAAGGAACAGAGAATCCAGAAATAGACCCACACAAATGTGGCAAATTGATTTTTGACAACAGTATGAAAGCAATTCAATGGAGGAAGGATAGCCTTTTTAACAAATGATGCTGGAGCATTGAACATGCATAGGCAAATAATGAACCTCAACCTAAACGTCATATCTTCTATAAAATTTCACAAAAATAAATCATAGACTTAAATGTAAAATGTAAAACTATAAAACTTTTAAAAAAAAGTAAGAGAAAGTCTTTGGGATCTCAGGCTAGACAAAGGATTCTTACACTTAACACCAAAAGCATGATGGAAAAATTGACAACTTGGCCCTCATCAAAATTAAAATATTTTTTGCTTTATGAAAGACACTGTTAAGAGAATATAAGTAAAAGCTACAGACTGTAGGGGGAAATATTGGCAAAGTTTACATCAGACAAAGGACTAATATCTAAAATATATTTTTAAAAACCCCTCAAAACTCGAAAGTAAAAATACAAACCAATTACGTGGGCACAAGATATAAACAGACATTTCATCAAAGAAACTATTCAGAAGGCAAAAAGGCACATGAATAGATGTCCAACACCACTGGCCATTAAACATACGCAAATTAAAACCACAGTGGAATATCCCTTCACATCTATCAGAATGGCCAAAATAAAATATAGTGACATCGCCAAATGCTGGTGAGGATTTTGAGAAACTAGATCATTCATACACTGCTGGTGGGTATGTAAAATAATACAACCACTCTGGAAAACAGTCTGAAAAAAATTTTTTTTTAAATTAGAGATGGGGGTCTCACTATCTTGACCACACTGCTCTTCAATTCCTGACCTCAAGCAATCCTCCCATCTTGGCCTCCCAAAATGCCAGATTCAGCTGATTGCAGCGGCTCATGCCTGTAATCCCAGCACTTTGGGAGGCCAAGGCAGTTGGATCACGAGGTCAGGAGATCGAGACCAGCCTGGCCAACATGGTGAAACCCCGTCTCTACTAAAAATACAATAAATTAGCTGGGCGTGGTGGCACGCACCTGTAGTCCCAGCTACTCGGGAGGCTGAGGCAGGAGACTTGCTTGAACCCAGGAGGCAGAGGTTGCAGTGAGCCGAGATCATGCCACTCACACTCCAGCCTGGGTGACAGAGCAAGACTCTGTCTTAAACAAACAAACAAAAAAAGCCAGGATTAAAGGCATGAGCCACCACACCAGACAAGCTTTTTTTTTTTTTTTTTTCTCTTGAGATTAAATTTCCCTCTGTTGCCCAGGCTGGAGTGAAGTGGAGTGACCTTGGCTCACTGCAACCTCTGCCACACTGGGTCAAGCAATTCTCCTGCCTCAGCCTCCCAAGTAGCTGGAACAACCTGCGTGTGCCACCATGCAATTTCTTGTCGGCCTGCAACAAACAATTTTTTCCATAACAACATGCAACTACCATTTGACCCAGCAACTAACTGCCTTCCCCTCCTGGAATTTTTTTTTTTTTTTTTGAGATGGAGTCTGGAGCGGCTTCTTAGGCTCAAGTCCAGTGGCACGATCTCAGCTCAATGAATGCAACCTCCACCTCCGGGGTTCAAGCGATTCTAGTACGTCAGCCTCTCAAGTAGCTGGGATTATAGACTCGCACCACCATGCCCAGCTAATTTTTGTATTTTCAGTAGAGACAGGGTTTCACCATGTTGGTCAGACTGGTCTTGAACTCCTGACCTCAAATGATCTACTCTGCCTCCCAAAGTGCTGGGATTACAGGTGTGAGCCACCACGCCGGCCCCTCCCGAACTTTTATCCCAGAGAAAAGAAAACAAATGTTCTGACGAGATGGCTCACACCTATAATCCTAGCACTTTGGGAGGCCGAGGCAGCAGGATTGAGCCCAGGAATTTAAGATCACCCTGGACAATATGGTGACATCTTGTCTCTACAAAAAACACAGACAATTAGCCCGGCGTGGTGGTGTGTGCCTGGCTGAGGCAGTAAGGATTACTTGAGCCCAGGAAGTTGAGGCTGCAGTAAATTGTGATCATCCCATTGCACTCCAGCCTGGCTAACAGAGCCAGACCCTGTCTCAAAAAAACAAAAAGACAGCACTTTGGGAGGCTGAGGCAGCCAGATCACTTGAGGTCAGGAGTTTGAAACCAGACTGGCCAATATGGCGAAACCCCGCCTCTACCAAAAATAAAAAATTAGCTGGGCATGGTGGTGGGCGCCTATAATCCTAGCTACTCGGGAGGCTGATGCAACAGGATGACTTGAGCCCAGGAGTTCGAGACCAGCCTAGGCAACATGGCAAAACCCCGTCTCTCCAAAACGTCAGGTGTGGTGGCGTGCACCTGTATTCCCAGCTATTCAGGAGGCTGAGGTAGGAGAATCTCTTTAGCCTGGGAGGTCAAGGCCACAGTGAGCTGAGATCGAGCCACTGCACTCCAGACTGGGCGATAAGGGACAGACCCTGTTTTGAAGAAAAAGAATGACTCTCTTAAGCGACTAGGGATCCCAGCTGAAAGTGAGAATATAAAATTTCATATCTTAAAGTATACATTAAATATGATTTCTTTTTTTTCTTTTTCTTTTTTTTTTTCTTTGAGACAGAGTCTCAGTGTGTTGCTCAGGCTAGAACAGAGATCTTGGCTTACTGCAACCTCCGCCTCCCAGGTTCAAGCGAGTCTCCTGCCTCAGCCTCCCGAGTAGCTGGAACTAAAGGCGCACACCACCACGCCTGGCTAATTTTTGTACTTTTAGTAGAGACAGGGATTCACCATGTTGGCCAGGCTGGTCTCAAACTCCTGACCTCAAGTGATCTGCCCACCTCGGCCTCCCAAAGTGCTGGGATTACAGGTGTGAGCCAGCAGGCCCGGCATTAAATATGATTTCATAAATTTAATGTGAAAGAGGATTGCATATTAATATTGCATAAATTTATTAAGGTTATCTTGACAATTTCCTTTATTCTTGGCTAAATTCTAAAAGTTGCCTATCTATGGTCAGATGGTTTGGTACAAGAACAAGAACCAGAAACACAGAGTCTCATTCCTGGCTCTAATTTCACAGAGAACCACAAAACCCTTAATTTCTTCAATGCTTGCTTTTTCATTTACAAAGTATCACTGATAATTATAATCTGCAAAGTACTTTCCTCAGGAGAGAGTCATGATTTGAGTGCAATTAGCTGCTAATTTTTCAAACATAAAATTCTATTTGGTTTTCACCTAATAGTAGAAACACAGTGTCCAAACTAATTGTTTCCTAAAAGTGATTATTTCCTTAGAGTCATCAATTCATTTTGAGGTGACTTCATGAAATGGTGATTAAATTGAAACTAATTCAGATAAATATAATATCATTTAACATTAGTCATCACAACAGCTCAACATTCTCTAAATAGGAAGGTTGTACATCATGGACGTGGGGAGAAATATAAACAACAAAAAGACATGTCAATTCTTACATAAAACTCTAGTTTCAATAGTTATTGATACAGGTGGCTCATGCCTGTAATCCTAGCACTTTGGGAGGCCGAGGTGGACAGATCACCTGAGGTTAGGGGTTTGAGACCAGCCAGGTATGTGGCACACGCCTGTAATCCCAGCTACTCAGGAGGCTGAGGCAGGAGAATCGCTTGAACCCAGGAGGCAGAGGTTGCAGTGAGCCGAGATCACACCACTGCACTCCAGCCTGGGGGACAGATTGAGACTCCGTCTAAAAAAAAAAAAATTATTGGTATCCATTCCTCCTGTAAGTTTTCTCAGAAAACAGCCAAGATAATTATATAATTATATATAGTCTCACACCTCTACTATGCTCTGCAAAATAAAAAAACTGAAACAAACAAAAAAAAGAATTATATATAGTCCCAGCATTAAACTAACGAATTCATGACAACGAATACCACTGGAAATAATAAGATTCTGCCTTGGGATGTTAGTGTTAGACTTTAACGTTGAAGACAAGACTTGGAGCTATACTTTTATTTATTTATTTATTTATTTATTTATTTATTTATTTATTTATTTATCTATCTAGAGATGGAGTCTTACTCCGTTGCCCAGGCTGGAGTGCAGTGGCACCATCTAGGCTCACTGCAACCTCCACCCCCTGGGTTCAAGCAATTCTCCTGCCTCGGCTGAGAGACTGTAGCTGGGACTACAGTTGCACACCACCATGCCCAAGTAATTTTTGTATGTTTAGTAGAGACGGGGTTTCACCATGTTGGCCAGACTGATCTCAAACTCCTGACCTCAGGTGATCCACCCGCCTCACCCAAAGTACTGGGATTACAGGCATGAGCCACTGCGCCCGGCCAGAGACATATTTTCATCTAAATGGGACCGACTAGGGGTATCCGGGTAGACACTGTGTCCAAACAAGATGCTCTTGCGTGCTCATTGGTAAGCCCTTTTCACCACCTCTTCAGAATGTCTCTCAGATCTCAGATTGTTCTTTAGTAACTAGAAGATGAGAGAGAAAAAACAATTCATATATTCATCATCTCTCCTCACAGAGAAACAATGACTTTTATAATACAGTAATTTTTTAAATGTTATCCCCCTTCCTATTTTAATATGAGTCTTTAGTTTAAATAGGCAGACTCGGCCGGGCGTGGTGGCTCACACCTGTAGTCCCAGCACTTTGGGAGGCCGAGGTGGGCGGATCACGAGGTCAGGAGATCGAGACCATCCTGGCTAACATGGTGAAACCCTGGCTCTACTAAAAATACAAAAAATTAGCTAGGCATGGTGGCGGGCACCTGTAGTCCCAGCTACTCGGGAGGCTGAGGCAGGAGAATGGCATGAACCTGGGAGGTGGAGCTTGCAGTGAGCCGAGATTGTGCCACTGCACTCCAGCCTGGGCGACACAGCCAGACTCCTCTCAAAAAATAAAAAATAAAAAAAATAGGCAGACTCATAAAATGATAATAGTAATAAAATCATGAAATATGCCTGTAGTAGCAGAAATGAAAGAAGCTAATGCTTAGAACATACCTGGATAAAATTCTACAGTCACTGTGCTGAGTTGAGGAGCAATAGCTAATAAAATCTTTGGATTTTTTGAGAAAACTTTTATTGGAGTGTAATATATATACAGAAAAGTATACAAATCCTAAATATAGAGATCAATAAATAATAAAAAGGTGTCTACATCTATGGAAACAACAGTCAGGTCAAGAAATAGTAGAAATAGTAATCAGGCCAAAGCAGGATGATTACTTGAGCCCAGGATTTCAAGACCAGCCTGGGCAACACAGGGAGACCCCATATCTACAAAAAATTATTTTTAAAAAAATCAGGCATGGTGGTTTATGCCTGTAATCTCAACACAGGCAGGCTGAGGTGGGAGGATTGCTTGAGCTCAGGAGTTTGAGACCACCCAGGGCAACAGAGTGAGACCCCATCTCCATAAAAAATAAATTTAAAACAATTAGCTGGTCATGGTGGCATGTGTCTGTAGTCTCAGCTACTTGGGAGGCTATGGCAGGAGGCTCACTTGAACCGAGGAACTAGAGGCTGCAGTAAGCTGTGTTCATGTCATTGCACTCCAGCCTGGGCAACAGAGTGAGATCTTGTTTCTAAATAAATAATAAAAAATCATAAAGACAAAAAGTGAAACTGACTGCTAGGGGTTAGCGGGAAGGGGCAATGGTAATTATTATTTAATGTGTGACCGAGTAAGACTGTCTTTAAAAAATAGAAGGAAAAAAAGCAATAGTAGTCTATGAAAAAACTAATTCAAGGTACAAATAGATCAGAATAGTAGTTGAGGTTTGGAATTATCATCTGGGAGGGGGACACAGCTACTGGGGAATGAAATATTCCATATCTGGATCTAGGTATTTAACATTCATTATGAATGTTTTCCATATGTTAAAATGCCATACATTTAAGATTTGTACATTTTCTCTGGTTATAATTCAATTAAAAAGTAAAAATTTTTTAAGAATTAGTTTTGCCTGCTTTTGAAGTATATGTAAACGGACTCATATTCGTGTGTTCTTTTGTGTCTTGCTCAACATTATGTTTGAGAAATTCATCCACGTGGTTGTATATAGTTGCAGTTCATTCATTTTTATTGCCAGTAGTGTTCAGTTCTATAAATATGCCACATTTTACTTATCCATTCTATTTTTGGGTTGTATCCAGTTTGGGGCTGATGTGAATTATATTCCTGTATATGTCTTTTGGTGCATCTGTGTGCATATTTCTGCAGGACATATATTTAGTAGTAAAATTGCTGTGTCTTAGGGTACGTGTGTGTTCAATTGAGTATACTAACAGCTTTCCAAAGTGATCATACCAATTTATTTATTTATTTTTTTTTACAGATGGGGTCTCACTCTGTCACCCAGGCTGGAGTACAGTGGCATGATCATAGCTTACTGCAACTTTGACCTCCTGGGTTCAAGCAGTCTGCGCACCTCAGCTGGGATCTCAGCTCACTGCAAGCTTGGCCTTTCGGGTTCAAATGATTCTTGTGCTTCAACCTCCCAAGTAGCTGGGATTACAGAAGTGCACCACCGCACCCAACTAATTTTTGTATTTTTAGTACAGATGAGGTTTCACCATGTTGGTCAGGCTAGTCTTGTACTTCTGACCTCAAGTATCCAGCTGCCTTGGCCTCCCAACGTGCTGGGATTACAGGCGTGTGCCACCCCACCTGGCCCCTCTGTTTATACATTTGAGTAAATTGCCGACATGATGCCACTTTACCTCTAAATAACTTTGTAAAAACAATGATATTCCCTTACATAATCACAATACAGTTATGAAAATCATGAAATTAACACTGACACAGTACTATAATCTGTGTACTTTATCTAAATTTCATTAGTTATCTCACTAATGTCCCCTGTAGCAAAATAAAAAAAGTTTTTTAAAACCTTGGTCCAGAATTCAATCCAGCATCCCATATTGCACTTAGTTGTCATGCGTCAAAAGAAAAACCAAGCCCAGTACAATGATGTGAGGTGGGAGGATTGCTTGAGGCCAGGAATTCAAGACCAGCCTGGGTGACAGGTGGAGACCCCATTTCTACAAAAAATAAAAACCGTTATTTTTTGGCCTTTAATCTCACAATCAACAGAGAAGACTTCTGAGACCCTTGGCCACCAAAATGTGTGGGGATTTTATCCCACTAAGCAATCCTTCAGTGGATTCTCCATCAGGGTGTCCCGTAATTCAGTTCAATTCTGAGCCATACATTGCATGCCTGTACCAAAATATCTCATGTACTCCAGAAATACATACACCTACTATGTACCCACAAGAACGATAAGTAAATGAATGAATGAGTGAATGAAAATTCTGACGCTATCCTTAGGCCACTGGTACTTCTGACTGGCTAGAAACCAGGGTTCCTGCGACCTCCTCCTTGGGTTTGACTAATTTGCTAAGACAGTTCACAGAATTCAGGGAAACACATTGCCAGTTTATTATAAAAGATATCATAGGCCGGGCGTGGCGGCTCATGCCTGTAGTCCTGTTACCGGTTGAGGGTGTCCAGGTTCTTGGCGTCTTGAACAAAGAATTGGACAAAATGCACAAACAAAGCAAGTAAAGAATGAAGCAACAAAAGCAGAGATTTCTCGAAAATGAAAGTATACTCCAGAGGGTGAAAGCAGGCCTGAGCATAGGGGGTCAAGAGCCTCGTTACAGAATTTTCTGGGGTTTAAATACCTTCTAGAGGTTTCCATTGGTTACTTGACGTACACCCTATGTAAATGAAGAGGATGAAGTAAAGTTACAAAATCATTTACTCACTGTACAGCCTATGTAAATGAGAAGGATATTTCCTGTCATAGATGAGATGTTTCCATTTGATTTAGTTCTCGGAAGTCCTTAGGTTCCCTGCCTCCAGGTCCTATTATCCTGCCTAATCCTAGCAGTTTGGGAGGCCAAGACAGGTGGATTACTGAGGCCAGGAGTTGGAGACCAGTCTGGCCAACGTGGTGAAATCCCTTCTCTACTAAAAATACAAAAATTTTTTGTACGTCCGCCATGAGACGGGCATGGTGGCTCACACCTGTAATCCCAGCTACTTGGAAGGCTGAGGTGGGAGAATCACTTGAACCTGGGATGTGGGGGTTGCAGTGAGCCAAGATCATGCCACTGCACTCCAGCCTAGGCAACAGATCAAGACTCTATCTTTTTTTTGAGACAGTTTCGCTCTTGTTGCCCAGGCTGGAGTGCAATGGTGCAATCTTGGCTCACCGCAACCTCTGCCTTCCAGGTTCAAGGCTTCCAAAGTGCTGGGATTACAGGCGTTTTGTGTGTTTTTTTTTTTTTTTTTTTTGAGACAGAGTCCTGCCCTGTCGCCCAGTCTGGGGTGCAATGGCGTGATGCAACCTCCACCTCCTGGGTTCAAGCGATTCTCCTGCCTCTGCCTCCTGAGTAGCTGAGATTACAGGTGCGCGCCACGATGCCCAGATAATTTTTGTATTTTTAGTAGAGATGGGTTTCACCATGTTGGCCAAGCTGGTCTCAAACTTCCGGGCTCAAGTGATATGCCCGCCTTGGCCTCCCAAAGTGCTGGGATTATAGGTGTCAGCCACCACGCCCTGCCTTTTTTTTTTTTTAAGACAGGGTCTTGGCCAGGCGTGGTGGCTCACACCTATAATCCCAGCACTTTGGGAGGCCAAGGCAGGCGAATCATGAGGTCAGGAGTTCGAGACCAGCCTGGCCAACATGGTGAAACCCCGTCTCTACTAAAAATACAAAAATTAGCTGGGCGTGGTGGCAGGCGCCTGTAATCCCAGCTACTCACGAGGCTGAGGCAGGAGAATTGCTTGAACTCATGAGGCAGAGGTTGCAGTGAGCTGAGATCGCACCACTGCACTCCAGCCAGGGCAACAGAGTGAGACTCCGTCTCAAAAAAAAAAAAAAAAAAAAAAGACAGGGTCTTTGCCAGGCACAGTGGCTTGGGCCTGTAATCCCAACACTTTGGGAGGCCAAGGTGGGTGGATTACATGAGGTCAGGAGTTCAAGGCCAGCCTAGCCACCATGGTGAAATCCCATCTGTAGAAAAAATACAAAAATTAGCCAGGCGTGGTGGTACGTACCTGTAATCCCAGCTACTTGGGAGGCAGAGGTTGCAGTGAGCCATGATCGTGCCTCTGCAATCCAGCCTGGGCAAGAGAGCAAGATTCTGTCTCAAAAAAAAAAAATCATAAGATACAGATGAACATCCAGATGAAGAGATGGATATGGCAAAGTACGGGGGGAGGGGTGTGGTGCTGCCACGACCTGTGGGTGTGCCTCCCTCCCAGCACCTCCAGGTGTTCAGCAGAAAGGAAATTCATCAAATCTTAGTGTTTAAATTTTTTTAAAAATATTTTTCAAATACATTTTTATTGTCTTTTTTTCCTTCCTCACATGCAGAACTTCTCCACATACCAGATTTCTTGCAGCTATAAAGTCACTTGATGTTGGCCGGGTACCATTTTATCCCTAAAACTCTGTTGACATCAAAATATGACAGTGTTATAGCCATAAAATATTTACATAGCACAGCATATTAAGCTTTAGACACTTGGCAATTAAACCACATAAAAAGAGGACAAGACCCCCATCCTACATGTTTGGAATCAGGTGTTCACCGGTCCCTATCTGGTGACTGTACACTGGTTCAAAGGGCAGCAGAGGCAAGAGGCAGTTACTTCAGAGGACATTGAACACTATGATCTGGAAGCACGTTATGATGTAACCCAGTGTCATGTACCACACACCTTTCTCCAAGGTGGTCTCATAATTCTAGAATGGAAGGTCCAGCTGATACAAAATGAAGACAGACAACACAAAATTTACTCTGTGGAGACATCCTACTCATACTATGCACATGCTGTGATTTTGAACATAACTCGTCCCAAAAACTTGTCACGATCATCCTGACTTTTAAGGTTGGCTGATCCATCAATCTTGCATTCAACTGTTACTTCTTTCCCAGTATCGTTAGGAGCAAAGCTGACCTGAACAGCAACCAATGGCTGTAGATACCCCACATGCAGTTTTTCCCCATAATATGGGAAATATTTTAAGTCTATAATTCCATTATGAGGATAAACTGCTACATTTGGTATATCTTCATTCTTCGAAACACAATCTATCCTTGGCACTCCTTCAGACTTTAATCCAATTATTCTGTTCATTTTCACAAGAATACAAGGGTTTCTTTGAGAATAGCCGAAATCAAGATCATTCATACCACGGCATGCTTGAAGTAACGAAATGGGAGATTGACAAGCAACATAAACTGGACCCTTCTGTTCAAAAAGTGCTCCATCAGGACAGACTGTGAGGTTTTTCTGTTCTTCTAAAGTATATGGTTTTAGAAACTTCTTAAGGTCTTCAGTGTACCCTGCATACGAAGTTAGATCAGACCTACTGAATGCATATTCCAATGCAGTGACTGGTTTTGGAAAAACCATCAGTCCTGGGTTAAGAATCTGGTCACGGTATTTTGGAACCTCATCGTTGAGTCTGAAGCATAACCCACATCGTGAATGAGAAGAGTGCAGCCAGGAACCCATAAAAAATTAGGTAGAAGAGCAAGATCAAACCCCAGCTCTTGGCGGTGCGCCACAGGAACTCTCCGGTGGTCGGGTTGTAGATGAAGAGCTTCCACTCGGCGAGGCTCTGGTTGAGGGACTCCTTCTTCATCGTGTGCGCGCGGACGACGAGGGGAGCGGCGGCCGCGGGGACGGAGGCGGCGAGGGCAGCGGGGACGGGGGCGGCGAGGGCAGCGGGGACGGAGGAGGCGAGGGCAGCGGAGGCGCGTCCCGGCTCCGGCGGCGCAGCCCGGCGACGGCAGGGGAGGGTGGGACGACCGAGAACACCTCCTCGTTACTGGGAGTACTCGAGCCGACTGCAGTGTTTAAATTTTTAATAGAGCTAAATTTCTTGCACCCTCAGCCCTTCCAGATGTTGGTGGGTGGGGCTTAAGTTCCAATCCTCTAATCCTCTAATCACCTGGACTTTCTGGTGACTAGCCCCATCCTGAAGCTATCTACGGGCCCCGCCCTAAGCAGGTTCATTAGCATAAACTCAGGACTTATCAAAGGAGCTAATTATGAATAACAGAAGATCCTCCTAGCACTCAGGAAATTTCTAGGATTTTAGGAGTTCTGGGGCAGAAAGAAACCAAATACCTTTTATACCACATCATGTCTCTTTAGGCTTCTTTACTGTAGAATAGTTCATCAGTCTTTTTCTTTCTTTTTTATTTATTTAAAAAGAATTTTTTTTTGAGACAGAGTTTCACTCTTGTTGCCCAGGCTGGAGTGCAATGGCTCAATCTCGGCTCTCTACAACCTCCACCTCCCAGGTTCAAGCGTTTCTCCTGCCTCAGCCTCCCGAGTAGCTGGGATTACAGGCATACACAACCACGCCTGGCTAATTTTGTATTTTTAGGAGAGACGGGGTTTCTCCTTGTTGGTCTGGTCTCGAACCCCCAACCTCAGGTGATCCGCCCGCCTCGGCCTCCCAAAGTACTGAGATTACAGGCGTGAGCCACTGCACTCGGCCTTTAATGTTTTAATTCTTTTAAAATTATTTTTATTCTAATAATTTTTCTGTAGATTATTTTGAATTTTCTTGACATACAAGTATGTCAATTCCATATAATGACAGTTTTTTCCTTCTGTTTTGAGCCTTATACATTTTGTTTTTTTCTTACCTTCTGTATTTGCTAGGACAAGGTAGAGATAGTGGTTATCATTGTCTTGCTCCCAACTTCAAGAGGAAAAACTTTGATATTTTACTACTATTTTACTATTTAATATGATATTTGCTATAGTTTTTCATTGAGTCACTTATCAGATTAGGAAAGATCTTTTCTATCCATTGACATTAGACTTTTTTTTTTTTTTTTTTTGGAGAGAAAATCTTGCTCCATCTCCCAGGCTGGAGTGCAGTGGCACAGCCTCGGCTCACAGCAACCTCTGCCTCCCAGGTTCAGGCAATTCTCCTTCCTCAGCCTCCTGAGTATCTAGGATTATGGACATGCACCACTACACCCAGCTAATTTTGTATTTTTAGTAGAGACAGGGTTTCACCATGTTGGTCAGCCTGGTCTAGAAATCCTGACCTCAGGTGATCTACCTGTCTCGGCCTCCCAAAGTTCTGGGATTACAGGCATGAACCACTACGCTTTTCTCTTTTTTTCTTTTTTCTCTTTTTTTTTTTTTTTTTGAGAGACAGGGTCTTACTCTGTCCCTCAAGCTGAAGTGCAGTAGTGTGATCACGGCTCACTGCAGCCTCAAACTCCTGGGTTCAAATGATCCTCCTGCATCAGCCAGTTTTTTTGTTTGTTTTGCGGGTTTTTTGTTTTGTTTTGTTTTGTTTGAGATTGAGTATTGCTCTGTTGCCCAGTCTGCAGTGCAGTGGAGCAATCTCAGCTCACTACAGCCTCCATCCCTCAGGTTCAAGGGATTCTCGTGCCTCAGCCACCTGAGTAGCTAGGATTACAGGCATGTGCCACCACACCTGGCTAATTTTTATATTTTTTGTAGAGATGGAGTTTCACCATGTTGGCCAGGCTAGTCTCAAACTCCTGGCCTCAAGTGATCCACCCTCCTCAGCCTCCCAAAGTGCTGGGATTACAGGGATGTGCCACCACATCTGGCTTGTTTTTGTATTTTTTAGTAGAGAAGGGGTTTTGCCATGGTCTCAAACTCCCTGCCTCAAGTGATTTGCCTGCCTCATCCTCCCAAAATGCCAGGATTACAGGCATGAGCCATGGCAATCAGCCTAGGTTCTTTCTTTCTTTTTTTTTTTTGAGATGGAGTCTGGCTCTGTTGCCCAGGCTGGAGTGCGGTAGCTCCGTCTCGGCTCACTACAACCCCTGCCTCCCGAGTTCAAGTGATTCTCCTGCTTCAGCCTCCCAAATAGCTGGGATTACAGGTGCCTGCCACCATGCCTGGCTAATTTTTGTATTTTAGTAGAAATGGGGTTTCACCACCAGGCTGGTCTCAAACTCCTGACCTCAGGCAGTCCACCCTCCTTGGCCTCCCGAAGTGCTGGGATTATAGGCATGAGCCACTGCACCTGGCACCTAGGTTCTTATTTTTAAGAGTAAATTGCAGCCGGGCACCGTGGCTCCTGCCTGTAATCCCAGCACTTTGGGAGGCTGAGGAGGGTGGATCACCTGAGATAAGAAATTCGAGACTAGCCTGGGCAACGTGGTGAAACCCAATCTCTACTAAAATACAAAAATTAGCCAGGCGTGGTGGTGCACACCTGTAATTCCAGCTACTTGGGAGGCTGAGGGAGGAGAATTGCTTGAACCCAGGAGGCAGAGGTTGCAGTGAGCCAAGATGGCGCCATTGCACTCCAGCCTGGGCAAACAACAGTGAAACTCCGTCTCAAAAAAAAAAAAAAAGACTAAATTGCAATTACCCCAAATGGTTTTTTTAAAACCTAACTACGATTTGGCCCAGGTTATGGTCAATTTTGGTAAATGTGTCTAGTTCCTTTTCCCAAACACTATGACTATGTAACAAATCACCCATAAAATTAATTGTTTTGAACAACAATCATCATTTTTACCTCTCACCGTTTCTATGTGTCAAGAATTCTAGAGCAGCTCAAGGGCAGTTCTGCTCAAGGTCTCTCATGAAATTGCAGACTGACTGGTTGGGGTTAGCTTATCTCAAAGGTTTCTTCACTTACATGCCTGGTGCCTATGCTGAGGAGACTCCAACAGCTAGGTACTGGAACACCTGCGGCTCCTCAGACATCCCCTTCTAACTCTGTGTGGTGTGTCCAGCAAGGCAGCTTGAAGGTAGTTAGATTTACGTAACAGCTCAGGGTTTCCCAAGGCAGGTACCCTAACAGAGAGGCAGGGAGAAGCTGTTTTATGACCTAATCTTTTATGACCTAATCTTAGAAGTCACATGGCATCATTCCACCAGATTTTTTTTGGTTGAGGTAGACACAAAAGGTTACTCAGGTTTAAGGGTAGGGAACATAGACCCATCTCTCATTGGAGAAATATCCAGTCACACTGTAAGGAGAACACGTGGAATCAGATACATACTGTCATGGCAATCTTAGAAAATGCAGCTTGCCGTAGCAGCATCCCACAAGTCCCACAAGCAGCCTGATAGTCATCTTTGCCATTAGACCCAGCTCTAGCTTTTGTGTTAGGTCACACATGTCCTTTTTTTCTCTGCCCCCAGCAGCATATTGCCCACTTCATTGCGTTTCATGCACAGCCACACTCTGGAGTCCCACAATCCTTGCTCTTAAAGACAAGGTTTTTCTTTGTTTCTTGTTTCTTTGGCTGGAGGGCAGCAGTGCAAACATGGCTCACTGCAGCCTCAACCTCTTGGGCACAAGTAATCCTCCCTCCTCAGCCCCACCAAGTAGCTGGGAGCACAGGCACGCGCCACCACCCCCAGCCGATTTTTGTATTTTTTGTAGAGATGGGGTTTCACCATGTTGCCTGTTGCAGGTGAGTGGCAACTATCTGAGACTGCTATCATGCGGGCGGCAAAGGAATTTACCAAGACAGTTGTTGGTAAAGAAAGGCAGATTTATTAGAGAAAGTATGAAAATACATTGCAACGGTGCAAGGGGCAGGTCAGCAAGAGAGGGGCAGACTGCAAGGAGACAAAGGCTTGCTGGGGATTTTATAGGATGGTACTGTCTGCTGACAAGGGCTTAGAGCAGTGCTGATAACACCAACGTTGCAATGAGCTAATTAATCTACAGGTGTCTTGTGATAAATTGGATATAGGAGGGCTACATATCCTGGACCATGAAGAAAGGCAGACCAACAGGTTATCTGCTTTCTCTTTCTGCTTTCTTTTGGTCTTGCCAGCCTGACTCTTTTTCCCTAGATAGGACTCCACATTGCCCAGGCTGGTCTCCAACTCCCGAGCTCAAGCAATCCTCCCCACTCAGCCTCCCAAATGCTGGTATTACAGGCAACAGCCCCCGTACCCGGCTTTTTTTTTTTTTAAGTCAGGGTCTCACTCTGTCACCCAGGCTGGAATGCAGTGGTGCAATCACTGCTTGCTGTAACTTTGACCTCCCCCAGCTCAGGCTGTCCTGCCTCAGCCTCCTGAGTAGCTGGGACCACAGGCACGCACCACCACATCTGGCTAATAGTTTATTTTTAGTAGAGACAAGGACTTACTATGTTGTCCAGGCTGGTCTCAAATTCCTGGGCTCAAGCGATCCTCCTGCCTCAGCCGCCCAAAGTGCTGAGGTTATAAGCCTGAGCCACCGCAGCTGGCCTAAAAGAAGTTCTTAAGCTTCTCTCAGATACCCTCCCTGGGATTTTGAAGGGTAAGGGAGAGCCCCTGTGGGCTTGAGAAATGAATGTCACACATCACCCAGGCTTGAGGTCCTGAGAAATGTCATTACACCCCTGGGACCTCTGAATGCATCTTCATGCCAAGGCATCAGGATGAAGTTCTTTCCTCAATGCCTTAAATATTTCTTCAGTGAGGACCTCCTGTCCCCAGGACTGTTTTAGGAGCTGGCAGCACAATGATAAAGAAAGAAGCCACTGTTCCAGAAGGAACTCACAGTGGAGAGAGGCGTCTATAAACTTGTGAGAGTATCATCCAGAGGCCATAGGGAACATTTAAAAATGTGAAGGCAAGAAGTATTGTGATCAGGTTTGCACTCCGGAAGTCCTCACTATGTGAAAGCAAAGCTAGCCTTGTCCCTTACTGCCGGGAGCAAGGCATAGTCAGCTGCAATTTGTGTACAAAATCTCCATTACAATGTATTAGACCTGAGGGGGATTTCTCTGATACGAGACCTCTTTGAGAGAGAATCATCCAGGCTAGGTTTGTTTCTGTATACACCAGGAAGCATACACTGAAGAAAACCTGCAACAGAATGGAGTTCGTTTTCCTCAGTTAGGAAAACAGGATGAGGAGTTGAAGTAGCAACAAACTCATCTTCTAATGAATTTACTTCAAATTCTTTTTCTTTTTTTTTTTTTTTTTTTTTTGAGACGGAGTTTCACTCTTGTTGCCCAGGCTGGAGTGCAATGGCGCAATCTCGGCTCACTGCAACCTCTGCCTCCCGGGTTCAAGTGATTCTCCTGCCTCAGCCTCCCGAGTAGCTGGGATTACAGGCATGTGCCACCAAGGCTGGATAATTTTTTGTATTTTTAGTAGAGATGGGGTTTCTCCATGTTGGTCAGGCTGGTCTCGAACTCCTGACCTCAGGTGATCCACCAGCCTCGGCCTCCCAAAGTGCTGGGATTACAGGTGTGAGCCACCATGCTCAGCCTACTTCAAATTCTTAATTAACTTTCACCATTCCAACAGACAAACTAATTTGATTCCCTAACTATGAGAAATGGCCATAGCAACATCCTTTGTAAAATGTTTAGAAAATGTCAGATTTCTTAAAAATGCAAGGAATAATCCAGTCCAGGTGGCACTTGCCTGTAATCTCACCTATCCTGGAGGCTGAAAAAGGAGAATCATTTGTGCAAGGCTCTTGTATGGATTCGAACCCTCAGAGGGCACCAACAAACACGAGGTGGTGTGGAGCAACACACTGTTTTAATGAGCACCTCAGTGCAGGTGGGCTGAGGCCTAATATGGCGTCAGCACCAAAAGAGGACGGGGCAGGGGTTTTATAGTCTCCTGTAATCAGGAAGTGTCTCAGTCTGAGGTAACTGCTACGCAGCACCCACACAGCCTCTCTCCCGTCTTCGGGGGTTCGTGTCTTTCGGCCAGCTCTCTTCCTGCTTCTGCTATCTTACTGACGCATGCTGCTGGCACAAGTGGCCTTGCGCCTTGGGACTGGGCCTGAAGAGGGAGGAGTTATTCATTCCCTTAAGCTTTCAGGGCCCGGAGAGAATCTTTCAATTTGAGGCCAGGAATTCGAGGCTGCAGTGAGCTATGATCATGCCTGTGAATAGCTACTGCACTCCCACCTGGGCAACATGGTAAGACCCTGTCTCCAAATAATAATAAATATAGGCCCGGCTCATGGCTCAAATCTGTAATCTCAGCACTTTGGGAGGCCAAAGTGGGTGGATCACTTGAGGTCAGGAGTTTGAGACCAGCCTGGTCAACATGGTGAAACCCTGTCTCTACTAAAAATACAAAAATTAGCTGGGTGTGGTGGTGCACACCTGTAATCCCAGCTACTCGGGAGGCTGAGGCAGGAGAATCGCTTGAACCTGGGAGGTGGAGGTTGCAGTGAGTCGAGATCACACCACTGCACTCCACCCTGGGCAACAGAGCGAGACTTTGTCTCAAAAGAAAAAAGAAAAGTCCTACAACAGTGCTTAAGCATTTTCACAGTAGGCCTTCCTGGAATCCAGAGCAACAGCAGTAATTCCTGGTAGGACTGTCTTTTCCTGCACCATAACCTACATTGGACATAGAAACTGTACACCTGATTGATTCAGGGAATCAAAGTAATAAAACTGCCAGTGACAATGCAGCCAAGTGATTAGAAGAAAGCTGGTTGAAAATTTAAACACCCTTTTTACTCATTAATCTCCAACCACTGAAGACAAACAAAAAGCAAAATTAACATGATTGTAAACTAAGCACTTGTGTCCTGTGGCTAGTGTTTTGGCCTGCTGAGAGAGAATGAGTTGATCAAAGCAAGTGAGTCCGCTAAGAACTGTGGGACCAGTGCTGCTTCGGGGAGTGCACAGCTAGGAACCATTAACCAGCATGTTTCAGGAATAGGTGAATACCGTAATTAATCTCGGCTTCAATTTGGAGGGAAGCAGAAAACCTACCTCCCTGTCCACTGAGTTTATACATTAATCCCCTGAGTTCTGGGGGAAAGTTTTAACATTGGAATAAAGACTTTTTCTGCCCTTCCTAATGTGTGGAGAACAAACGTTTGAGAAGGATGACTGAGTTCCTTAACTTCAGTAGTTAAGATGCCTCCTAGGAAAGCTGTGGATCGCTACCTTGTTTGGTTTGACGCATCTAAGCTCACAGAGCAAAGGCTCTTCCAATGAAGTTAGTGGGTTTTTTAATGCAAGAAAACAGGGAGCCTCACCTTACAAACATAAATCATGAAAATCCAGAGACTTGGAAGTTTTTCTGAGGGCAAACTCATCTAATCAATGGGCTCTTGAATTACTTAAAGCATATCCAGGACTTTACCGTTCTAGGTACAGGAAAATGAATAGATACCTGACTTTGCACCAAACTTTAAGAAAAAAAAAAAGCTACAAGTTGTACAAACATCTGCACCAGCCACGGAAATTTCATATTAGAAACACAGGAAGCTGGGCGTGGTGGCTCACACGCCTGTAATCCCAGCACTCTGGGAGGCCAAGGCAGGCGGATCACGAGGTCAGGAGATCGAGACCATCCAGGCCAACATAGTGAAACACTGTCTCTACTAAAAATACAAAAATTAGCTGGGCATGGTGATGCACACCTGTAGTCCCAGCTACTCGGGAGGCTGAGGCAGGAGAATTGCTTGAACCTGGGAGGCAGAAGTTGCAGTGAGCCGAGATCGCACCACTGCACTCCAGCCTGGGGACAGTGAGACTCCGACTCAAAAAAAAAAAAAAAAAACCCACAAAAAAACCCAGGAATTTATGCTAAATTAAACCATGCTGAATGAACTGGGTAACAAAATAAAAACCAAACCACGCAAGGGAATCTTTCCTCGGAGACAACAAATTATCAACGTAAACCAGAGATGCTACAAGGTGCCCTCTGACATCCATAACATGGAGTGGTAGAGGCCTGTCAGATCCCAGGGCCTGGGTTCGGCCTATGCTGAAGTCCGAGGGGAGTGGGTGGATGAGCAGAAAGAATACTCAGGGGGCAGTAGGCAGGTGAGAGATGATTTTATTCAGCGGCGGCTCTCATCAGCAGCTTTCTCACACTGTCTCTCTCACACTGTCCACCCTGTCTCAGCTACTTGAGCTGGCAGCTCCCACACACAGGTATGACCAGCTCTCCTTTGCCTTCAGGGTCAGCGGCTTAACTTGTTCTCTCCCTGGGCACGAGCAAGCTGAGCTATGTCCTGGCTCCCTCCTATCTGTCTACAAGACAGACAGCTTTGGCTCTCTCTTTCTCTCTCTCTCTCTTTCTCGGCCACGTCAAGCCATGTTGAGCCAAACTGGGCCCCAAAGCCCCTGTACAGCATTAGCAGGGCAATTACACCTTTTACAGACAATAGTAGCTCAGAGCCAAGTACGAACTTACACAAAGGTCATATAACAAGTGGAGGGCGTGCCAAACTTGCTGGGTCATCCAAGGCCTATCCTTGACCAAAGCACATCCATATACCTTACCGTCCACCCCCTAGGCCAAGAGAGACATAGGGTTTGGGCACACAGGCCCGGTACACAGGCTTGACACACATAAGCTTTGGGCACAGAGGCCCAATATACATACACAGGCTTGACACATCAGACTGTCATACAGGCCTTAGACAGAGGCTCTGGTCACACAGGCCTATTACATACATAAGCTTCAATAAATTGCCTATCATCACAGATTACCATAGCTGTCACCCTCTTGGAGATTATTCACACTGCCCTGAGTTTAGCTCATTAGCTACTCTGTCTACACCTGGTATCAAACCATATGGTGTTAGTACTAGGCTGGACTGCACCAGGAGTCCAGGCAGCAATAGCACCCCAGCTAGACTTAGCATTGTACCATGCCTATTAGGAATGGGAGGATGCCCTTACTAATGGTGAAGGCTCAGGATCAAGGAGTGCCTCAGGCCCCATGACCTTATCTTGCATCAGGACTACAGGTCCTAAGGCTTCTTGTAACTCTGCTGCTAAGGGACTTGTACTCAGCATATTCTGCTGTTCTAAGTAGGCAGCCCACTTCACTAAAGTAGATGTCTGTGTTGTCCCAGTCCAGGGGATCATTACCTATGAACACACCCATCCTGCTACCAGGTAAGTTGTCTGCACGACAACTGTAACCCATCCTGCTATGTTCTTATGAGCCTGAAGGGCAGCATATGCAGTCACTAACTGCTTCTTTATTAATGAACACCGGAGCTCAGCTAACAGCTAACAGCCCACTGGCGCTTCCAAGTGCTCCATGCATTGCTATAGACCCTATCCAAAACTATCTGTGGTTACATGTATATCTACATGAATGTGGTTACATGAATGGGCACCCTTGGTTTACTACCCAGAAAAGCTGTCTCAGCCTCATTATCCCATTCTCAGGCAAGAAGGGTGCTACTGCTTCTAAACCTGCAAGAAAATCAGAGGTTGGCATAACATTATTGATAGAATCATGACGCATGGTGGGGCTATACATATAGCCCTGCGGCAACACTGTAAAAGTCCATTGTTGCCCTCCCATGAAGGCATACTGTTCCTGGCTCTCGGTGGACTGTCCCAGTTCCATTGTCAAGTGGTCCATCAAGTCCGTGACAGACAGCACAGCTACTAACCTGTGCAAAACATCCACCCCAGAATGTCTTCGGGTATGGAACAGACATACACAGTGCCTAAGCAGAGAGCCAAGCGGCTGAAGCCAAGATGTAGAGATACAGGTTTCACTTTCACTGACCAGTCTTCATAGCCGTCAATAAATGTGGCTCTGCCCAGAAACTTACCCAGGTTCAGGGACCAGTGGATTGCCAAGTCCACAGGTAGCTCTGGTTGTCCAGTAACCCCTCAGCCATGCATCTTGGCCAGTCTCTTATCAAACAGAAAAGGCTTTACACTTCTGCCTGACTGCAGCAGGTACTCTCTAAACTGGAACGCTCAGGCAGGAGCGGGTTGCACATTGGGAAGAAGGAATGTCCTTCTCCTGAATGATTTGCACTAAATCTGTATATGACTGCCGACATTACTTGCCTCACCCCCACAACTCAGCAGGGGCACAGACACCACAGGAAATGTGCTTCACCACGGTAGTGGGGTGTGTCTCTCGGCCCACTCTTGGGGCCTAACAGCTGCTCATGCCATATTTCCTGGCAGACCACAGGGCTAGCCTGCCACAGAGGTTCTTCCTCCTTCCTGCATCCCACATGGACTGGGCATGCACTTCCTGCCGCACAGTCACAAATGCCCATCTGACTCTGCCGGTAAAGGCATGCTTCTTCTCAGTGCTGTGTAATTCCAGGTGCTTCAGCGCCTTCTCCACACTTGCAGGGGACCCATCCATTGCCTCCCATGTTTCCACTGGGGCTCATCCAAGCACCACTGCTGCCACCCAGTTCCACAGCCCATGCCACGGCCACATAGCCAACTCAGGAGCCCTCAGGGGCTGAAGACCCACTCATCTCATCCCATACTTGTCAATTTTCAGATCCTGGGGTCCGGGCCCAGCCCATACTGAAGTCCGAGGGGAATGGATGGATGAGCAGAAATACTCAGGGGGCCGTAGGCAGGTGAGAGATTATTTTATTCAGCAGTAGCTGTCATCGACAGCTTTCTCACGCTGTCTCTCTCACACTGTCCACCCTGTCTCAGCTGCTTGAGTTGGCAGCTTCCACACACAGCTGTGTGGCCGGCTCTCCTTTGCCTTCAGGGCAACAGCTTGTTCTCTCTCTCGGCACAAGCAAGCAGAGCTGTATCCTGGCTCCCTCCTGTCTGTCTGCAAGACGGACACCTTTGGCTGTCTCTCTCTTTCTCTGGGCCCCAGAGCACCTGCCATGTCAAGCCATGTTGAGCCAAGCCGAGCCCTAAGGGCTCCTATACAGCATTAGCAGGGCAATTATATCTTTTACAGACAACAGTGGCTCAGAGCTAAGTATGAATTTACACAAACAGGTTATACAATAAGTGGAGGTGTGTGCCTGCACACCAAACTCAACTGAGTCAAGTGGGCCGGACGTCTGCCTCAGCCTATCCTTGACCAAAGAACATTTATATACCTTACACTCTACCCCCCTGTCACAGGGGGCTAAAAGAAAAGTTTGTTGACAGTCCTTTTAGGAATTGCAACACTTGGATGTCCTTTCCTCTTCTGACACCCTTAGTGGTGGTTCTGAGGTCTCAACGAGGCACAAATTAGCCATCTAAGTATAAAACCTTAAAGGAGAGAGTCCTTTTCCTAGCAATCCTACTCACATTAGAAACATGGCTTCAGCTATCACTCTACCTTCCCCATTCTACTCTGCTCCTCCCTCACAATTTTATAAGAATTCTACTACATTTCTGAGATTTCACTACTGCCAGCTTTATTCTTTTTTATTTTATCTGGATCTGATGTCCTACCATTAAAATTTTTATTGGGAGTCCAGGTGCAGTGGCTCATGGCTGTAATCCCAGCACTTTGGGAGGCTGAGGCAGGTGGATCACTTGAGCCCAAGAGTTAGAGACCAGCATGGGCAACATAGGGAGATCTCATCTCTACAAAAACTAAAAAACTAAAAATAAATAAAAAAAATTAGCCTGGCATGGTTGCACATGTGTGGTCCCAGCTACCCTTGGAGGCTGAGGTGGGAGGATTACTTGAGCCACGGAGGCAGAGGTTGCAGTAAGCCATAATCACACCACTGCACTCCAGGAAGACCTTGTCTCAAAAAGAAAAATTGGTTGGGGATCCACATCAATTTCTGACAACATCCAGCTCAGCTCCTATTTGTTCAAAATCGACCAAGTAAGACCAGACATGAATCCTCTTGGAGCCCATTTAACAATATGTATTTTTCATTTTATTTGGGTTGTTCAAAGTGAGTAGGGATTCCCTTCATGGTTGCCACCCATTGTGCAACAGGGCTTGGGATGAATTTCACATGGTCATTCAGCTTGAGTTAAGGAACAGGCTTTAATGGAGAAACATACAAGCCAAGGGTCACCAAGAGAGGACATAGTCGCAGACTCTCCCATCATCCCAGAGGGTTGCTAAGGCTATGTGCTATATGTGTTCCAATGGAAGGATGTGTGCCCCCTGAGATGACACCCTCTTAAAATGTGTCAGAATGTGGACACAGAGACTATTTAGAGCCAGCGTGGCTGAGTTTAGCTGCCAGCTGTTTAGTTGTCTGGGAAAGCCAGCAACCCAGCAGAAAGCCATCCTGGGAGAAGCTAAGTGCAGGCTCCCTCCTGTTGATAGAAGGGGAGACCTTAGCCCCACCTGGCACAACATGCAGGCAACCCTAGCACTAGCTCCCAAGATTGTTTTTGGAGGATCCTACTGTCAAGTAGGATCACCACGCTTTTCTATTCATTCTTTAAAAAGTGCTCACAGCCCACCATATTGACCTGCTAATGACCAGTGCAAGCAATACCATGCTACAATAATCTGCCGAAAAAAAGAAATTCTCCAAGTCAATGAAAGAGTCCAGAGATGAAAAAGTTTCAATGGAGTAATTGTATAACATTCAGACACATCAGAATATTTATTAAGTTAGTGAGGGAGAAGGCAAGGTAGACATAGTCTATCAGTTGGGGCAAAAGATGGAGAAATGATGAGATAAAGGCAGATATAAGAGAGAAAATAATAGTTGAATTCATTCAATGAATATTTATTGAGCAGCTGTGCTAAGTTCTGAGGATGACCCAGTGTACAAGACTGAGATGGTCCCTGTCCTACAGACAAGTAAACAACCCAGTAGATAGTTACAAAAGTTAAGATAATTTTTTTTTTTTTTTGAGATGCAGTTTCACTCTTGTTGCCCAAGCTGGAGTACAATGGCATGATCTCGGTTCACTGCAACCTCTGCGTCCCCGGTTCAAGCAATTCTTCTGCCTCAGCCTCCCAAGTAGCTGGGATTACAGGCATGAGCCACCATGCCTGGCTAATTTTGTATTTTTAGTAGAGATGAGGTTTTACCATGTTGATCAGGCTGGTCTCGAACTCCTGTCCTCAGGTGATCCCCCTACCTTGGCCTCCCAAAGTGCTGGGATTACAGGTGTGAACCACCACGCCCAGCCAAGATAATAATTTTTAAAGATTTTTCTCCATGAATTACTTGTACTAACATTTTAACATTCTTCCATGTTGCAATTCTGTTTATCTGAATGAACTTTTAAAAAATAAAAGAGCCAATGAATGGAATAGAAGCAGTAATACTTTTTATAGCAGAACAACAACAAAAAAGAATGTATCTAATCTTTAAAAAAATACTCAGAAAAAAAGAATGTTTAGCTTGTTCTGTACACATTTCTAGGAAAAAGGCCTAATTTGGAGGAATTTTTAAACTTCAAAAATAAGAATTTCACTGGGCACACTGGCTAATGCCTGTAACCCCAGCATTTCAGGAGGCTGAGGTGGGAGAATCACTTGAGGCCAGGAATTCAAAACTAGCCTGGGCAGCATGGCAAGACCGGTCCCTACTAAAAATGAAAAAAAAAAAAATTAACCAGGCATGGTGGTGTGCACCTATAGTCTTAGCTACTCTGGAGGCTGAGTCAGGAGAATCTGAGGCAAGAAGATCGCTTGAGTCCCAGTTGTTAAGGCTGCAGTGAGCCATGATCATGCCACTGCACTCCAGCCTGGCCAGCAAAGCAAGACCCTGTCTCAAAAAAGGAAGAATCTTTACAATGTCTAAGATACAACAGCTAATAATAAAACATCTATCAAGCTCTGAAGAAAATGTTATCATGTAGTAGAAGGGCATTTTCAAATAAGCCAGAAGAAAATGTATCCCTTTTCTGAATAAGCTGCCATTCTAGAGCAGGAAATGATCAAAAGAAAAAATTCAAGAATAGGAAAGTTGTAGCTGGAAGAGATTGGCAGTGAGCACTGAAAACAGTTCATCTGTAGAGATGAGTGTTGATAATTAGTTATATATACATATACATAGTTATACCAATAGGAAAATGGACAAAATATATGAATAGGCAATCCACAGAGTAAGAAATATAAATGGCTGGTAAAATATGAAAGATATTCACCACTGGTAAAATATGAAAGATGCTCACCTTTCACCACTGATGAGGGATCTGCAAGTTAAAATCACAAAGAAATAGCATTCTCCAACCTGTCAGATTGATTTTTTAAATTTTTAAAAACTACTGGCTGGGCTCCGTGGCTCACACCTGTAATCCCAACACTTTGGGAGACTGAGGCAAGCAGATCACCTGAGGTCAGGAGTTCAAGACCAACCTGGCTAACATGGAGAAACCCCATTTCTACTAAAAATACAAAAATTAGCTGGGCATGGTGGCAGGCGCCTGTAATCCCAGCTACTTGGGAGGCTGAGGTGGAAGAATCGCTTGAACCTGGAAGGTGGAGGTTGCAGTGAGCCAAGATCATGCCACTACACTCCAGCCTGGGCGACAGAGTGAGACTCTACCTCAAAGAAAAAAAAAAATTAATAGAACCAGCCGCTTGACAGAGGCATTTATTGGCCAAAGTTGGGACGATTTTAGCATCAAAAGAACAATGCCTGTAACAAATTGAAACACACTGACTATATAAAAATCCATGAGTCGGGCCAGGTGCGATGACTCACACCTGTAATCCCCCAGCACTTTGGGAGGCAGAGGTGGGCAGATCACTTGAGGTCAGGAGTTTGAGACCAGTGTGGCCAATATGGCAAAAACCTATCTCTACTAAAAATACAAACTTAGCCAGGCATGTTGACACATGCCTGTACTCCCAGCTACTCAGGAGACTGAGGAGGGAGAATCACTTGAACCTGGGAGGCGGAGGTTGCAGTGAGCCGAGATTGTGCCATTGCACTCCAGCCTGGGCAACAGAGCTAGACTCTGTCTCAAATAAATAAATAAATATCCCTGTGTCCATAGAATACTTAAAAATTAAAAAAAGAGGAGGAGGAGTAAAACAAGCAAGCAAATAAACGAAAACTTTTCTACAGGTGGCCATTCCACCAAGTTCTTATCTGAAAGGGGAAAGAATTAGGTTATTTGCAGTAACCTATTGCGGAGTAGCCTAATAGCGCAGTTGATGAGCAAGAGCCCTTCTTTCCTGAAAAAGGCTAGCTATCAATGTAGACAGAATTGAAAAAAAAAAAAACACAATTTGCAATCCCTAGGGAAATAATTAATTAAGCCACGAATTGTCAATGGATGCTGAAACAATTAGGTGAAAGGTTGGGGAGCTGTATATTTATCTGGTGCTAAAGTTATCACCCTGCAGTTTACTAAGGAGTTCTAAGATGATTGTCACCACACAGACCCAGTGATCAATCTTAATATCATTAATAATGGGATAAACAGAGCTTCACTATGTGCCTTCCAGTATGATGCAGTATTTAGCCTGAATCTAATCAAGCCTTTAGATCCAACTTCCATTAATAGAAAATACTGAGGTTATTGTTAAATGACACCACAAGGAAACAACCAGAAACATCTAGAAGTTGGAACATTCTAAGGAAATACTAGTCTACTCTCTACAAATCAATGTCACAGGAAAAATAAAAAGCTAGGGAGAAAGTCTGTTCTAGATTAAAATATATTTCAGGATGTTGATAATGGAGGAGGCTATGCATGTCTTGGGGGAGGCAGCACATGGGAAATACTTGTTTTTTTCTCAATTTTGCTATGAACCTAAAACTGCTCTTAAAAAATAAAGCCCCTTTTTTTTTTTTTTTTTTCTGAGACAGTCTCGCTCTGTCGCCCAGGCTGGAGTGCAGTGGTACAGTGGTGCGATCTCAGCTCACTGCAACCTCCACCTCTCGAGCTCAAGCAATTCTCCTGCCTCAGCCTCCCAAGTAGCTGGGATTACAGGCACCTGCCACCACGCCCAGCTAATTAAAAAATACTTTTAAGGAAAAAAAAGCCATTTCAGAGACCCAACAACCAAATGCAATCATACTTCTTGATTGGATCACACTATAAACAAGCTTGGTGCAAAAGATATTTGGGCAACAAGTGGAAATACTTGAGTGTATTAATATTATTATGGTTGTACAGGAAAGTGTTCTCATTAGATATGCATATCAAAATATTTAGGAGTAAAATTTTATGTGTTTACTTAAAAAGATTTCACTGAAAAATGTGTGAAACATGACCAAATGCTAAAAAAATTCTACATGATGGGTATATGGTGTTAATTATATTATTCTCTCTACTTTTTCTGTATATTTATAGTTTTTTTATAAGCATAAAAACTTTTTTTTTAAATAGAGTTGTGGTTTTGCAGTTGTCCAGGCTGGTCTCAACTCCTGAGCTTAAGGGATCCTCCTGCCTTAGTCTCCTAAAGTACTGGGATTGCAACCATAAGCCACCACAACCAGCCAAATTAAAAAGTTGTTTTTTGGGTTTTTTTGTTTGTTTGTTTTTGAGACGAAGTTTCACTCTTGTTGCCCTGGCTGGAATGCGATGGCGAGATCTCGGCTCACCGCAACCTCCGCCTCCTGGGTTCAAGCCATTCTCCAGCCTCGGCCTCCAGAGTAGCTGAGATTACAGGCACCCACCACCACACCCAGCTAATTTTTTTGTATTTTTAGTAGAGACGGGGTTTCACCATGTTGGCCAGGCTGGTCTCGAACTCCTGACCTCAAGTGATCAACCCACCTCGGCCTCCCAAAGTGCTGGGATTGCAGGTGTGAGCCACTGTACCTGGCCAAAAGTTGCTTTTATGGTTGGTTTTTTGTTTTTTGTTTTGTTTTGGTTTGGTTTTTTTTTTGAGACAGTATCCCTCTGTTACCCAGGCTGGAGTGTACTGGCTCACTGCAACTTCCACTTCCGGGTTCACTCAATTCTTGTGCCTCAGCCTCCCAACTGGCTGGGATTACAGACGTGCACTACCATGACCAGCTAATTTTTGTATTTTTAGTAGAGGTCAGGTTTCACCCTGTTGGCCAGGATGGTCTGGAACTCCTGGCCTCAAGTGATTCACGCGCTTCAGCCTCTCAAAATGCTGGGATTACAGGCCGGAGCCACCACGTGGAGCCACCATATCCAGCCATAAAAAAAAAAAAAAAAAGATATTTGGCCAGGTGCAGTGGCTCATGCGTGTAATCCTAGCACTTTGGGAGGCCAAGGAGGGTGGATCACATGAGGTCAGGAGTTTGAGACCAGCCTGGTCAACATGGCAAAACCCCGTCTCTACTAAAAATACAAAAACTTAGCCCAGCGTGGCAGTGGGCACCTGTAATCCCAGCTAGTCGGGAGGCTAAGGCAGGAGAATCGCTTGAACCCAGGGGACGGAGGTTGCAATGAGCCAAGATCGCGCCATTGCACTCCAGCCTGGGCAACAAGAACGAAACTCTGTCTCAAAATAATAATAATAATAATAATAATACCCAGTATTTGTGAATGTTTGAGAAAACAGATCATCACATACATATTGGAGCATATACTGGTATAAACTTCTAAGAGGACAATTTCAAGTATATAAATTTTATTTTACAATATACATGTCAGCGGGGCGAGGTAGCTCGCGCCTGTAATCCCAGCACTTTAAGAGGCCTAGGCGGATACATCACTTGAGGAAAGGAGTTTGAGACCAACCTAGCTAACATGGTGAAACTCCATCTCTACTAAAAATACAAAAATTAGCCAGGTATGGTAGCGCGCACCTGTAATCCCAGCCACTGGGGAGGCTGAGGCAGGAGAATGGCTTCAACCCAGGAGATGGACATTGCAGTGAGCCAAGATCACAGCACTGCACTCCAGCTTGGGCAACAGAGGGAGAGTCTGTCTCAAAAATAAAATACAGGCCGGGCACGGTGGCTCACGCCTGTAATCTCAGCACTTTGGGAGGCCGAGGCAGGCGGATCACCTGAGGTCAGGAGTTCAAGACCAGCCTGGCCAACATGGCAAAATGCTGTCTCTACTAAAAATACAAAAATTAGCTGGGCATAGTGGCGGGCACCTGTAAACCCAGCTACTCAGGAGGCTGAGGCAGGGGAATCACTCGAAACCGGAAGGTGGAGGTTGCAGTGAGCTGAGATCACATCACTGCACTCCAGCCTGGGCAAGAGATGGAAAGGAGGGACAGACGTCCGCTCTTTTTTTTTATGCGCATGGGTTAGTTTTGTCATTTGAAAATTTTTAACTTAACAAATACAGTTACAATATACACTGCAAATAAGAAAAATGTCCTTATTGAAATTGGGGTTGGGAAAAATACAGTATCCTTATTGAGATGGGGGTTAGGGACTGTCATTAAATCCCAGGTAGATTAACAAAGACAGGAAAATGGGAAGAAAAGCAATTGATTAAAACACCGTGGCCGGGCATGGTGGCTCACGCCTGTAATCCCAGCACTTTGGGAGGCTGAGGCTGGCGGATCACGAGGTCAGGAGTTCAAGACTAGCCTGACCAATATGGTGAAACCCTGTCTGTACTAAAAATACAAAAATTAGGCTGGAAGCGGTGGCTCACGCCTGTAATCCCAGCACTTTGGGAGGCTGAGATGTGCGGCCAACATGGTGAAAGTCCATCTCTAAAATACAAAAAATTAGCCAGGCGTGGTGGCGCACGCCTGTAGTCCCAGCTACTCGGGAGGCTGAGACAGGAGAATCATTTGAACCCAGGAGGCAGAGGATGCAGTGAGCCAAGATCATGCCACTGTGCTGCAGCCTAGGTGACAGAGCAAGACTCCATCTCAAAAATAAATAAATAAATAAATAATAAAACACTGCTTGGCTGGGTGTGGTGGCTCACATCTGTAATCCTAGCACTTTGGGAAGCCGAGGTGGGCGGATTACCTGATGTCAGGAGTTTGAGACTAGCTGGCCCACATGGTGAAACCCCGTCTGTACTAAAAATACAAAAATATAGCTGGACGTGGTGGTGCATGCCTGTAATCCCACCTACTCAGGAGGCTGAGCAGAGATCACGCCACTGCACCCCAGCCTGGGCAACAGAGCGAGACTCCATCTCAAAAAAACCTCTGCCTCTCGGGTTCACGCAATTCTCCTGCCTCACCCTGCTGAGTAGCCGGGATCACAGGCGCACCACGCACCCAGCTAGTTTTTCTATTTTTAGTAGAGATGGGGTTTCACCATGTTGGCCAGGCTGGTCTCGAACTCCTGACCTCAAGTGATCCACCCGCCTCAGCCTCCCAAAATGTTAGGATTACAGGTGTGATCCACCACACCAGGCCACGTCAGGTTTTTGTTGTTGCTTTTAAGTAGAGATGGGTTTTTGCCATGTTGGCCAGGCTGGTCTTAATAGAACTCATGGCCTCAAGTGATCCACCAGCCTTGGCGTCACAAAGCACTGGGATTGCAGGCAAGAGCCACTGCACCTTGCTCAGGTTTTCAAAAATATGTTTTGTAGTTTTTATTTATTTATTTATTTATTTATTTTTTTGAGACAGGGTCTCCTTCTATCACTCTGGCTGGAATGCAGTGGTGCCATCCTGGTTTCCTGCAGCCTCCACGTCCTGGACTCAAAGAGATCCTCCCACCCCAGCCTCCTGAGTAGCTGGGACTACAGGCATGGGCCACCATGCCCAGCTAATTTTTTTAAAACTTTTTGTAGTGACAGGGTCTCACTATGTTGCCCAGGCTGTTCTCGAACTCCTGGCCTCAAGCAATTCTCCCACCTTGGCCTCCCAAAGTGCTGGGATTACAGGTGTGAGCCACTGTATCTTGCCTCAATAAATATTTTTTAATGAATTAATCAGCAAGTAATCTCCTCTATTTACTGTGACTCTGAGTTATGTTCAAGAGCAAGCAGTTCTTGACTTCCTTTTCTTTGTAATGATTTAGTGCTTGAAATTACTTCTACCTTTCAGCATTTTAAAATTGGTTATTATTTTCTCATTTTCATCCCCACACTCACATCGAACATGATTTCCACTATTTAAAAGTGTAAGATTTTTGTTTCAGCCTGGGATTTATCCTATTGCAAACTGCTAGCTACTATTTTCAACCTCTGTCAGCTAAATGCCAGAATGTCACTAATCAAAGGTGGTACTTAGGGGTGAAGTGAACAGTTAAGCCTCCAATTTACAAGCTTGTTTTTCCCTGGGATACTTGTGTGAAAGTCGTATGTTCCTGGGTGTGACCCTTTCGAGACAAAATCTCAACTGGTGAGTTAATTATGTATAACTATAATTAAATCAAAGATGTAGGATAACGGAGGCGTTGAAATAGTTTTTGCTAGGCAAGGGTGTGACCTTTTTAAAAAATGTATGATATATGCTGCCATTCGAGAGGCAAGGAAAACATATCTCCAAATTTCCTTCCAAGCGGTCTACCGGCATTGACAGTACCGCGGACAAAGGAGAGTACCAAATAAATACTCCTTCGAACCAACGGTATACTGAGAGCCCTGAGCTTGTGGGCGGGGCCCCGGAGCCTCCCGGGACCTAAAGGCAGAGGGGGCGTGGCTGAGGGTGGTCCAGACCTCCAGGGGCGGGGCTGAGACCTGCGAGAGGCAGGCTGGGAAGCGGCGCCATATTGGCGTCGGCCGCGCTGTATTGTCATAAATAGAGCCGGTTTTGTGGTGTTTTCACTACTCGGTTGGATGCCTCAGCCATAGTAAGTGGGAAAGTGAGCGAGCAAGCGAGCTACTAGCGACCGGAGGAAAGTGAACAGGGGGAGAAGGGAACAGCAAGAACAGGACTCCAGAGCGATAAACACTCGCTGGAGAGGGAGACGCAGGAAGCGATGAAAGAGATGTCTGCGTAAGTGGTGGGGGGCGGCGGTTGGGGTGAGGCGGGTAGGGGTGAGCTGAGGTGGTCCGACTGTGTCCTTGTTTCCGTTCCCTGTCCCTTGCGCCCTGCACGCAGCTCGCCGGGATGGTCTCCTTCCCGGCTCCCGGCCGGTCCGCAAGGGCACCTCCCCTAAACCCGGCGGCTCACCTGGCCACCCCTGCACGGACTCGGGGACTCCGGGAGTCCCCAGCTGTCCCGCCTCCGAGGACGCCCTCAGAAAAGGATGAGGAGGGAAAGAGGTGCCTGTGTCCGTAGGGAGAAATTGTCGGTCACTCGCCTGCCCCCAGCACTGTCTGAGCCCGTCTGCTCCTGTCTGCATTGGCGCAAATACCATCCCCCTGCCTCCCCCTCCTCCCTTCCCGACCGGCTGTCTCCAGGTCTTCAGGAGTGAAAGACCTATCGCAGCCCAAGGGTTTCTCTTTCATATGAGGCTACAGTCTTTTCACCGCCGTCCCCACCCTCTCCCTCACCCCCTGCTTCCCCACCTACCCACAACATCTACCGGTCTGTACCTCTTGTTCACACTTTGATAAGTCAGAAACAGTTCCCGTACTTGGCAAGATTTTGTTGTAGCTTCTTCCATTTTGGTCTATTAGGAAATAATTTAAACATGCAGAAAAATGTAGAGAATAACATAAGCATCATTTGTGGAGCCACCACCCATTTCTCCCAAAACGTAACTGTACACACATACACGTACATGCACACACGCACACACACGGTGTGTATATACGTATCTGTGTATTTATTTTAAAAAGAAATCAAGCATTCCAGATACATCTGAAGGACTCTCCTACCTCCTTCTCTGGTCCCAATCATCTCTTGCTCCAGATGTCTCCACAGTCTTGAATTTGATGTTTATCGTTGCTGCCTGTTTTTTATTTTACTTCTTTTTTTTCCGCCCTCGAATCATGGGAGCTGCATGTTTTTTAATGCTATTACTACATACACATGTGTTCATAATAACTGGCATAGTTCTAGTTGTTTTTAAACTTTATATAACTCGTATCACACTTGGAATTCTGTAACTTCTTTAGCACAACATAGTATCTCTGAGCTTTGTTCATGTTAGTATTTTAGTTGTAATTAATTAATATTAATTATTGTATTGTATTCTATTGTAGGAAAACACCCTAATTTAATTCTTTTCCTGTTAGTGACTATTTTATTTCTAAGTTTTTAATGTTACAATGTGACAGTGAACGTTCTTTTAGGTGTCTCTTTGTACGCTTGTAACTAGAATTTCTCTAGGTTGTTTGCCTGTAAGTGAAATTGATGGTTTGAAGGGAATGTGGGATTCTGTTGTTTACTTTCCCCTCCCCTCTAGATGGGGGAAGTTCAGAACCTGGATTTGGAATTTTAGGGCCAGTAGGCTAGTTGGCCAACTTTGTCAGCATACAGGTAAAAAAGTGAGGCCCGTCATCATGGTGTCAGAGCTGAAGTAGTTAGAGAGGAGAGAATGGAGTAGTGGAAAGAGGTTTTGGAGTTCAGATTCTGGCTTGTCCTCTCTTTGACTTTCAGGTACTTATCTGTAAAATGGCACTTATTCAATACCCCTTAGGATTATTGCGATTGAGTGATACTATATAGATATGTAGATAATTACTCTGTCCTATTCACTTACCGTATATATTTACATATGTATTACACAAACAATACCAAAACACTGCTCTAGCTTTCTCAGAGGTAAAAAGCCAAATCTTTAAAAAGAAATTACCACTTGAAATAACTAATTGAAGTTTTGTTTGTTCTACAACAAAATAAATACAGAAGATAAATTAACCAGTATTTTGGTTTCTGGGGTTTTTTTTTTTTTTTTTTTTTTTGAGTCATTTTGGAAGGTATACAGGCTATTTTATCTTCCATTTGATTCTTTCTCCCTCTCTGCCTAATGAGATTTTTTTTTTTTTTTTTTTTTTGAGACGGAGTTTCGCTCTTGTTGCCCAGGCTGGAGTGTGGTGGCGCGATCTTGGTTCACTGCAACCTTCGTCTCCTGGGTTCAAGCGAATCTCCTGCCTCAGCCTCCCGAGTAGCCGGGATTACAGACGTCCGCCACCATGCCCAGCTAATTTTTTGTATTTTCAGTAGAGACGGGGTTTCACCATGTTGGCCAGGCTGATCTTGAACTTCTGACCTCAAGTAATCCACCTGCCTTGGCCTCCCAGAGTACTGGGATTACAGGCATGAGGCACCACGCCCGGCCTCTAATGAGATCTTTAGCTATTACAGCGTGTCTTACTCTGTGTACTTAGTAGTGGTAAGACAGTGTTTTGACCAGTTAGAATCCAAAAACAATTAAACAATCTCTATTGTATGTTATTTTTTACAGGGCTAATTTATTCAACTTGAAAGATTGTTTCTAATTTTGAGATTACATTCTTACTCTTGGTGTTAATGGCCCTTCATGGAAGCATGGTGAAGATAAATGGTAGTGTTGGTCGTTTAGTGTGTATGTTTTTACTTTCATAGCAAAATTAGAAGTTTTGCCAACCCCTGTTGGTCCCAGAATTTATTTTGAAGTTGATTAGTTTGTGTAAACTCAAAATCTCAGAACTTGAATTGGCTGAGCGCGGGGGCTCACGCCTGTGATCCCAGCACCGTGGGAGGCCGAGACTGTTGGATCACCTGAGGTCAGGAGTTCGAGACCAGCCTGGCAACATGGCGAAACTCCGTCTCTACTAAAAATACAAAAAGTAGCTGGGTGTGGTGGCACATGCCTGTAATCCCAGCTACTTGGGAGGCTGAGGTAGGAGAATTGCTTGAACCCAGGAGGCAGAGGTTGCAGTGAGCTGAGATCTCCCCAATGCACTCCAGCCTGGGAGACAGAGAGAGACTCCATCTCAAAAAAAAAAAGAAAAAAAAGTCTCAGAACTTCTGTTGTACTTTATTCAAGACCGTAGTTTCTTGATGGCTAAGATGTTTGGAGGGTGGCTCATGTATCTTCCAAAAGATTGCCAGTAGTATAAAGAATTTTATTTCAATGTGAAGATGGTATGGGTACCAGTCTAAAATGAAGAGAATAATTAACTAGAATCACAAAGTACTAGGACTGTAAACTCTGATTCAAGCAGAGGATGTTAACCTCGGTTTCCCAAGGACAAATCTAATTGTGATTTCTTTTTAAAAGCCAGATTATTTCACAAGGACCTTCTAATGGGATGTTTTCATTTCTTTCCTGGGGAAAAAAACCCATTGTTTTTACTAAAAGCTTTATTTCAAGTGGTTGACTGCTTTTCAAAGATTCTAGAATCTGGATGGCACTTGACTTAAGTCTGCAGGGTAGTGGAGGTGGCCCTGGCACAGATCCCAATCAAACTCTGGGTTTGAGCTGAGTGGTGTTGGTACAATTGTCTTGATGCCAACACATGCTGCGCTTGGCTTGAAAAAACATCCTAACCATGAAAGCTGCAGGCAGTATGAATAGCCCCTTCATAAACATAAACATAAAATACCCATTTTTCCTTTACAAGAAAGTGTCTGCCACTACTGTTATTACTAAGTAAACTTTTAAGGTAGCTAAATTAACATGAGTAGATTGAGAGATTCAGTGTATCAGTATGGTATATACTTTAAATTTTTTGTTTCATTTTTCTTATTTTCTTGAACAGAAACACCGTGCTGGACAGCCAGCGTCAACAAAAGCATTATGGAATTACCTCCCCAATTAGTTTGGCATCTCCTAAAGAAATTGATCATATTTACACACAGAAATTAATTGACGCCATGAAACCATTTGGAGTGTTTGAAGATGAGGAAGAATTGAACCACAGGTATGTCATTGAAAACCATAAAATATTTGACAGTGCATTATTTAATCATTAATTCTGCGAACATATTGAATACCTACTGTGTCTCTAGATACAGGTGCAGAAATGACAAAAAGAAAAATCTTGGCCCTCTTGGAGCTTACATTTTAGGTAGGGGTTAGAAGAAGAGATTTGTCATCAATAATATCAGTATGACACTCATGAGTAATATTACACATGATAAGTGCTACTGAGAAAAAGCTGAGGGGGTAGAGGTTTCAGGGAAAGCCTCATTGAGAAAGTTACATTTAAGGGAAAATTTAAAGATGAAGGAGGGAGCCATGTGTCTATCTGAGGGAAAAGTGTTCTAGGCAGAACTCTTGAAGTGGTGTATTTGAAGAGTGCATAGCAAGATACCCTGGGTGTCTGAGCAGTGAGGAAGCAGGAAAATATAGGCTTAATGAAAGCAAGGTGGGAAGGAGCTTGGAGGGCAAGAGCTCTTAGGACCTTGTAAGGTGTTGTCAAGGTTTGGTTTATTCTGAGTGAAATGAGAAGCTATTAGGGTTTTGAAAAGAAGATTGACATGATGACTTAAAAAAGTTTTAACAGTCACTCTGGCTGCTGTATTGAGAGTAATCTTAGGAGAAGTGCAAGGGCAGAGCAGAGAAACCAGTTAGCAAGCCATTATAATAGCCCTAGGAGGAAATGATGGTGGCTAGAACCTGGAGGATGGTCGTAGAGGTAATAAAAAGTAGAAATCTGGATATATTTTAAAGGTAGGGTTCTTAGGGTTTAATGACTGGAATGTGTGTGTGAGGGGTCAAGGATGATGGCCAAGATTTTTGGTCTTGGCACCTTGAAGGATGGAATTTCATTATTTGTGGAAGACTGAGGAAGAAGTAAGTTTGGACAGACGTTCAGTTTTGCATGTTATCTTTGGTATGTCTAAACCCTACTTTTCTCTTCTAAATGTGGATTCATTTACACCATTGGTTATAAGTTGTTTTAATAATACCAAACTACTTTAATACTATTAGACAGAAATTAGCCAGTAATTAGTTCCCCCATTTTAATTAGTCAAAGACCTATTACTAGCAATGAGAGAATTCTAGCTTCTATTACCACATTGTATTGAATTAATTCCATAGTAAAGCCAAGAAAGTTGACAGTTCACTAAGCCTTTACAGCCTCATTGAAGGCAATTTTATGATTTTTATTAGGCTTTTTGAATTTTTGAAAATAGCTCAAAAACTAAAATACTGTAATCAGATTTATCACCTCTTTGGCACTGTTAAGGATCTAAAAATGCCAAAGAGATGGCCCTGTGTCAGTAGATGTGATAGCATTATCACATATATGTTATGGTTTTACCCCAGCATCAACACAAAGGGTACTGCCTATATGGGTTTTTAAAAATACTGTTTGTTCATTTGTTTGTTTGTTTTAATCTGAAGCATTTTTTTTTATAGGCTGGTGGTTCTTGGTAAATTGAACAATTTAGTAAAAGAATGGATTTCTGATGTCAGCGAGAGTAAGGTAAGACTCTAAACTATGTGGAATTCTTGTTTTTATTATATCTTGGCCATTCATCCTGGCAATAAGATGCAGGTGTTGAGAAGTATCTGAAATACATCAAAGCTTGGCTCTCTGGTATATGTAGGAATGAATTGGTCTAGACAGTTGAATTTCTAAGTAGATGAGGATTACCCAGAAGTAGCCAATATATAGCTGTGAGTCCACATAATTGTCTTATTTGACTCATATGTAGTAGGCCAAAATTTAAATATCAGATTTTACTTAAAAATCACATTTCAGCTGTTTTTATAAAGTATTAGATCTGGCAATGCTGGGCCTGCCTTTGTGCACAGCAGGAAGAGGCTTGAAGGGGATTGGGCTCCTGTCTTCCATTGCCTCATGGCCCCCACCACTCCCTGTTTTCTTTGCAAGGTGATTAATTGAGCAGTTACTATGTTTCTCATGTGGGATTCCCTTATTTGCCTACCTGCTTGGTTCCTAAGACATAGGAATTTGCAAACTAATTTATAACTACACAACCTTTTTCCCCTCCTGTAGCTTAACTATTTTTTTCCTGAAATTGATTACAATTTCCTGCTTTGTGTAGTGCAGTCCTCCCTTGGTATCCTCCGGGGGATTGGTTCTGGGACCTCCAAAGATACTAAAATCTGTGGATGCTCAGGTTCCTTATATGAAATAATATAGTACATATTTGCATGTTACCTTTTCAGATCCTTTTGCATACTTTCAGTCATTTCTAGATTACTTAAAATATCTAATACAATGTTAATGCTATGTAAATAGTTGTCACTGTAATTTTTTTTTTATTAGCATGTTTAAATTTTTTTTTCTTTTTTTGAGATGGAATCTCCCTCTTTGGCCAAGGCTGGAATGCAGTGGTGCAATCTTGGCTCAGTGCAACCTCCTCCTCCCAGATTCAAGTGATTCTCTTGCCTCAGCCTCCCGAGTAGCTGGGACTACAGACGTGTACCACCACACCGGGCTAATTTTTGTATTTTTAGTAGAGACGTGGTTTCATCATGTTGACCAGGCTGGTCTCGAACTCCTGATCTCAGGTGATCCGCCTGCCTCAGCCTCCCACAGTGCTGGGATTACAGCCTCGAGCCACCGCGCCCAGCCTAAATTTTATTCATTATTTTATTTTATTTTTTTTTGGAGACAGAGTCTTGCTCTGTCACCCAGGCTATAGTGCAGTGGCATGATCTCACCTCAGCCTCCCCAAGTGCTGGGATTACAGGCTTGAGCCACCACGCCCAACCATAAATTTTATTTTATTTTTTTTTTATAGACAGGATCTCCCTCTGTCACCCAGGCTGCAGTACAGTGGCACAGTTACATAGCTCACTGCAGTCTCAAACTCCTGGGCTCAAGTGATCCTCCCACCTCAGCCTCCTGAATAGCTGGAACTGTAGGAATGCACAATTGTGCTTGGCTTATTTTGTTTATTATTTTTTGTAGACACAAGAGTATCACTGTATTACCCAGGCTGGTCTCAAACTCCTGGTCTCCAGCAGTCTTCTGACCTCAGCCTCCCAAAGTGCTGGGATTACAGGCATGAGCCACTGCGCCTTGCCTAAAATTTGCTTGATTTTTTATGGCTTTTTCCCCCCAGTATTTTTTATCTGTGTGTGATTGGTTGAATCTGCAGATGTGGAAACTGCAGATACGGAAGGCTAACTATATTTTGAATATAATTGTTTTTGTTTTTGTTTTTGAGATAGAATCTTGCTCTGTCACCCAGGCTGGAGTGCAGTGGCGAGATCTCAGCTCACAGCAGCCTCTACCTCCCAGGTTCAAACGATTCTCCTGTCTTAGCCGCCCAAGTAGCTGGGGCTACAGGTGCACACCACCATGCCCAATTAATTTTTATATTTTTAGTAGAGACGGGGTTTCACCATAATGGTCAGGCTGGTCTCAAACTCCTGACCTCAGGTGATCTACCCGCCTCAGCCTCCCAAATTTCTGGGATTACAGGTGTGAGCCATCACACCTGGCCTTGGTTTTGTTCTTGTTTGAGACATGGTCTCTCTCTGTTGCCCAGGCTGCAGTGCAGTGGCGTAATCTTGACTCACTGCAACCTCCACCCCTGTGTTCAAGCAGTTCTCTTGCCTCAGCCTCCCGAGTAGCTGGGATTACAGGTGCACGCCACCATGCCCAGCTAATTTTTGAATTTTTGGTAGAGATGGGGTTTCACCATGTTGGCCAGGCTGGTCTCGAACTCCTGACCTCAAGTAATCCATTCTCTTCGGCCTCCCAGAGTGCTGGGATTACAGGCATGAGCCACCATGCCCTGCCTCACAATTGAATTTTTATTATTGTCTGAGAATCACCACTGCGAAGGTTATTTTACTGGCTGTACCAGAATGAGGGAGAGAATGTTCAACTGGGTGATACCATTTGCCTCATCACTAGGTAGCCCATACTGTTATATTTTAAGGTTTTTGTTTTTCATAGTTTTCCTATCTTTGCCTTAACAGCAGTCAGTTGAAAGCCCACTGTTTAAAAGAAAGCCCACTGTTTAAAACTCACAGTTGTCAGTGTGTCTAGCTGTAAAGTCCCTTTCTGCCCCTTAATCTGCATGGATTTAGAAATTAGGTAAACAACTGCAGATTTTTTTTTTTTTTTTGGCGATGGGCTCTTACTCTGTCACCCGGGCTGGAATGCAGTGGCGCGATCTCAGCTCACTGCAACCTCCGCCTCCCAGGCTCCAGCAGTCCTCCCAACCTCCCCACCTCAGCCTCCCTAGTAGCTGGGACCACAGGCATGCACCACCACACCTGGCTAATTTTTGTATTTTTGATAGAGACGGGGTTTTGCCATGTTGGCCAGGCTGATCTCGAACTCCTGAGTTCAAGCAATCCAACTGCCTTGGCCTCCCAAAGTGCTAGGATTATAGGCATGAGCCACCACACCCGGTCTAGAATTCTTTCTTTTACAGCTTTTATTATTTTTTTCTGTAGCTATGATGAATATGTAGAATTGGTTCTTTTAAACAGTGGGCTCAGAATAAAGTTGAGTCTCCTAAAGACTACAGTCGTTGAGTTTAACATGGTATTTATGCTATTTACTTTTGTTGCCAAAAGGCTGTCTGCCTCATTTCTGAACTCACCAGGGTTATCAATAGTTGAAGTTATTGGATGAGTCAAATTCTGAGCAGATGGAAATGCTAGTGACAGGTAGTCAAAAAAAATAAAGTTAGTTAACATCTTCCATTGAGCAGATGAGGTCATTTTTCTTTGTGAATTGTAATTGTCTCTTTTGTGTGGGGGAATGGGGGAAGGATCTCTCAGTCTGTCTCCCAAGCTGGAGTGCAGTGGCATGCATAATCATGGCTCACTACAGCCTCAAACTCCTAGGCTCAAGCAATCCTCTCACCCCAGCCCCCCAAGTAGCAGAGGCTACAGGTACACATCCTGATGCCTAGCTACTTTTTTTTTTTTTTTTTTTTTTGGTAGAGATGGGGTCTTGCCATGTTGCCCAGGCTGTCCTCAAACTCTTGTACTCAAGTGATCCTCCTGCTTTGGCTTCCCATAGTGTTGAGATTACAGGCATGAGTCACAACCACACCCAGCCTATAATTCTCTTTTTTTTTTTTTTTGATTTTAAAAAAAAAAGTGACGAGGTCTCACTGTGTTGCCAGGCTGATCTTGAACTCTTGAGCTCAAGTGAACCTCCCACCTCAGCCTCCCGAAGTGTTAGGATTATAGGCATGAGCCACCACTCACAGCCTGTAATTCTCTTTATGTATATTTTACTTTGGAAAGTAACTGAAGGATTTGGGTTTAATCAAAGATGATTTGAATCTGTACACAATTGGGATATTTAAACTTTAAATAGTGTAGAATCCCACATCAAATCATTTTGGTTAGATACTATGGCTGTGGCAAACTGATTTAGCATATCACTTTCTCATAAATCATGCGAGAATCAGACTTCTCAAAATAGAAATGTGAACTAAAAGATTTTTTTAAGGTCCTGTCTTCTCTGTCCATTTCATTCATGTTAATCATCAATAAATTTACAGATTCCTGGGCATGGTGGTGCATGCCTGTAGTCCCAGCTACTCAGGAGGCTGAAGCAGGAAGATCTTGAGCCTAAGAGTTCAAGGCCAGCCTGGGCAACATAACAAGACTCTGTCTCTTTAAAAAATCTGATTAATTTACTAACTTCTTTCTAGCTATAAAATTATTTGTGATACTCTTAACCTTAATATTCATTACACAGAAGCATTAACAAGGATAATATCCTATTATATAGATACTTACATTCAAGTTGAAGTTAATCAGCAGATATTCTTTAGAACTTGTACTGGGCATTGTGAGAAAATACAGAGAAGCAGTAGACACAGTTCTTAACTCTGAGAAATGTAAATATGATTGAAGATTAAATATGAAATATGATTTTACATGCCAAAGAAGTCAGTAAATATAGCAAAAAAGAATTTAAGAATTGTAATGGCAGAAAGCACAGAGGAAAAAAAAGCTTGTTAGGGAGTAAGGATAACCAGGGAAGGCTTCATGGAAGAGGTGGAACTTGAAGTGAACTTCTAAAAGTGGATGATACCGATAGCCAGAAGCTGGACATGGTGGCTCATGCCTGTGATCCCAGCACTTTGGGAGGCTGAGACAGGAGGATCGCTTTAAAACAGGAACTTGAGACCAGCCTGGGCAAAAAAGCAAGACCCCATCTTTACAAAAATTATTTAAAAATTACCCAGGCACAGTGGTACCTGTCTGTAGTCTCAGATACTCTGTAAGCCAAGGCAGGGGGAATATTTTGTGCTCAGTAGTTTGAGGCTGTGGTGAGCTAAGATCACACTGCTGTGCTCACTTCAGCCTGGGCAACACAGTGAAACCCCGTCTCCATCTGTTTAAAAAAAAAAAAAAAACCCAAAAAAACAAAAGATGCCCAGAAAGAATGGGCAAGCACTTGAGGCAGGAACAATGGCAAATGCAGTGAAAAGGAGGTTGGATTCTGTAACCATGTTGGTTGGTTGGTAGGTAGTTGGAGCTTCAGAAAGGAAGATAAGAAGACAAGGCAAGAAAGATCCCTAGGAACATGTCGTGGAGATTTTCAACAACAGGCCCAAGGATCCTTACCTCAGTAGTTAGGGAAGAAGACATTGGCAACTTTTGAGTACAACAACTATATTTAATAGAGTAATTTAAGAACATCAGCCAGTGAATTTTATACAAGATAGTGAAAGAGAAAAGGAAGATTAATTAGGGGTAGTTTAGGATGCCATTAAATAGCCTAGAATTAGGGGAGTAGTCGTTGAATAGAAAGGAGGCCACAAATTTGAGGGATATAAGCTAAGAATTGGTAAGCCAAGAAGAAGGAAAAGGTTTGGGCAGTAAGGATAATGAGGAACAAAAATAGAGAACTCAGAAGCAATATCTGACTGTTATCATTGGAAGAATTTTTTTGCTTGCTTGAGGCTGGATATTGAAGTGGATCAGGATACTTGAGTGACTATCTGATGGGCTTTTGGAACTAGCTCTCAAGAGGTGAAAATTAGCTTTTTTTTCTTTTTCTTTCTTTTTTTTTTTTTTTGAGGCAAGGTCTCACTGTTGTTGAGGCTGAACCTCCTGGGCTCAAGCAGTTGTCCCATTGCAGCCTCCTCAGTAGCTGAGACTACAGGCACACGCCACATGCCTAGCTAATGTTTTCTTTTTTGTAGAGATGGTGTCTCATTGTGTTGCTCAGGCTGGTCTTGAACTGGACACAAGTGGACCTCTTGCCTCAGTCTCCCAAAGTGCTGGGATTACAGGCATGACCACGCCCAGCCAAAAAGTAGCATTTTAATTACATTATAATCCAAGAAATGTTAATTAAGCTTGTTAGAATAGCTCTCATAAGGAGATCATGTCAGGAATGACTCCGTTCTTACAGAAAGGTTGTAGAGCTAGAATCAAGAAATTAAACATACCTGTCACAAAAACTAAAGGGGATATGGGATTGGCCAAGAGTGTTATGTTTTAGAGAGGTGAAAGCACATTAGTCTGGTAACTGAGAGTTCCTTGTTGACTACCGAAAGAGTGATGAAGCGAAAGACAGGCAGTTGGAGGGGACAAGTATGGTCAAGTGATTAAAAAGAAAAGCTTTTCTTCAGATAGGGATGTATGTATGTGTAGTGGGGGTGAATTTGTTTTGTCTTTCCTCTGGGAATACCCTTATTACTTCAGATCACAACCAGAGGATCTGTGAAGCACTTTTACAAATCTAATCTTGACAAGGTTGGCAAATCTAATCATGTATCATTTGCTCAATAAAGGTCAGTAGACATTATGGTGATTTTTTTTTTTATTTTTTGAGACAGAGTTTCACTCTTGTTCCCCAGACTGGAGTGCAATGGCACAATCTCGGCCGCTGCAACCTCCACCTCCCAGGTTCAAGTGATTCTCCTGCCTCAGCCTACCAAGCAGCTGGGATTACAGGTGGCCACCACCACGCCCAGCTAACTTTTGTATTCCTAGTAGAGAAGAAGTTTTGCCATGTTGGCCAGGCTGGTCTTGAACTCCTGACCTCAGGTGATCCACCGGCCTTGGCCTCCTATAGTGCTGGGATTACAAGTGTGAGCCACCATGCCCAGCCAACATTGAGGTGACTTTTATGCTAAATAATTTGAATAATTGAATGTCTTCCGCTTAATTTTATTTTAGAACCTCCCACCTTCTGTTGTGGCTACTGTTGGTGGTAAAATTTTCACATTTGGATCCTATAGGCTTGGAGTACACACCAAAGGTAACTGCTTTTCTGTGTTCTAGTGCTAAGAACATTCAATAACAAACTCTTCATAATTAGAAAATGTAGGAGAACAAAGTTCCCACTATTTCACTACTTAGAGCTAATCATTGTTAACATTTTCTTGTACTCAACTTCCATACTTTCTTCTGTACATATGTTTGTGTGTACTTTAACAAAGAATATAACACATAATATATTCTTAATTAAGAACTACTTTAATTTACAGGAGCTGACATTGATGCACTTTGTGTAGCTCCAAGACATGTGGAAAGATCTGATTTTTTTCAGTCTTTTTTTGAAAAATTGAAACATCAAGATGGCATTAGAAACTTAAGAGTAAGTATCCTCTGGCATTTAATATTTTGAATTTAGATTAGTAACAAATATCTATAAAAACTAGGGCTTAAAACTATTGAAATACCTTCTAAGTTACTATTAGGAGGTATTTAATAAGAGTAGCTTTAATAAGTGATGATTAAATCATGATTAAGAACATGGGCCTTAGAGTTATACAGACTTGGGTTGGCATCTAGAATCTACTACATAATAGCTCCTAGATCTTGGTCAAGTAACCTAATCCTCTGAGCCTGTTTCCTGATCTGTAAAACAGAGATGTGGTAATAACTTTTTTATAAGGTTTTTGAGTATTGATGAGATATTTACATAAACCATTTACTGTAGTAGCCAACAATGATTGATACATATCAAATGATGAGTGCTATTATGTGTAAGGTTCAGTTAGTAACTCTTTATATGTGTATATCTAGCCATTCATTCAGCAAATAAAATTTCAGCACTAGTAATTTGTTAGATGCTGGCATTAGTCTTACAGATACAATAGTAAACAAGACATTGTTTATTGAGGAGGGGGTTATGTGAACTAAATAAACAAAACAGTGTTAATGCATTCTGAAGTGCTAGAATAAGGTGAAGGTCAAAGAATCTGTGATATTTGGGGAATCTGGGAATGTTTTTAGACAAGGAAGTTAAGAATTTGTTAGGTTGGGGAGTTAAGGAAGACTCAGAAAACCTAATGGTTTCTACTAATCTCAACTGTATTAATTAAATTTTTGATAGATTAATCATGAGCTTTCATTATTTTAAAATTTCTAACTCTAGTAGCCTTTCTAAATAATCAGTTTTCAGTTTAGACTCGAAATTATAAGTACCCAGATGATAGCAGGTTTTTGTTTTTTTGTTTGTTTTTTTAATTTTACTTTAAGTTCTGGAATACCATGTGCAGAACGTGCAGGTTTGTTACATAGGTATACATGTGCCATGGTGGTTTGCTGCACCTATCAACCCATTATCTAGGTTTTAAGATCTGCATGCATTAGGTATTTGTCGTAATGTTCTCCCTCCCTTGTCCCCCACCCCCCGACAGGCCCCAATGTGTGATGTTTCTCTCCCTGTGTCCATGTGTTCTCATTGTTCAACTCTTACTTATGAGTGAGAACATGCTGTGTTTGGTTTTCTGTTCCTATGTTTGCTGAGAATGATGGCTTCCAGTTTCATCCATGTCCCTGCAAAGAACATGAACTCACTGTTTTTTATGGCTGCAGACGATAGCAGTTTTGCTTTCCAGTTCTGAGGAATATTTTTAGAGGGATAATAAATTAGATACTGTAACAGGCATTTTGTGTATCTTACATAATACAGGTCACAAAGTAGAAATACTTACCTGGAATGTAAGACCAGAAACATTTTCACTTTGTCTATTGAGTTAAAATACAAATCGGGAGTAAAGATATTCACATTATTGGTAGTTAGAAAGGATAAAGAAGGGATTACTTCTATGTGGTTAAAATACAAATCGGGAGTAAAGATATTCACATTATTGGTAGTTAGGAAGGATAAAGAAGGGATTACACCTATGTGTTATAATTGTTTTCCTTTTTTGTAGGCTGTAGAAGATGCCTTTGTACCTGTTATAAAATTTGAATTTGATGGTATTGAAGTAAGTGTTTAATATTTTTCTGACTTTACAATTGAACTGTTTAAACTTGTAAGTTTGTTTTCTGAAATCAGGCTTAACATAAATGCATATTTTAAAAAATCAAGTAATCTCTTTTTTTTTTTTTAATGAAGAGATGGGGTCTAACTCTATGGCCAAGGCTGGAGTATAGTGACACAATCATAGCTCACTGCACCTTTGAGCACCTGGGTTGAAGTGATCCTTCCACCTGAGCCTCCTGAGTGGCTAGGATTCCAGGCACACACCACCACACCTGGCTAATTTTTTGTATTTTTAGTAGAGACGGGGTTTCACCGTGTTAGCCAGGATGGTCTCAATCTCCTGACCTCGTGATCCGCCCACCTTGGCCTCCCAAAGTGCTGGGATTACAGGCATGAGCCACCGCGCCTGGCCCATATTTTTAATTTCTAAGAATACTATTTTATTCTTTAAATGTTCCTTTTTATTTTTGTCTGCATTTATTTACAGCCTCCTGACCTTATTTCCTAGATATGACATTTTTATCTGCTTTCTTAGGTCTACTGGGTCTGTTACCACTTGTCCATCTGCTTTCCAGCTTTCATAGCTTTTGTTTGTCACTTTCTGTTCTTTGTCCTAGTGAATTTTGCCTTTAACATCAAAATAATACTAAACACAAAAATAAAATTGAATTTTCGTGGTATTTTAGTGAGGTTTCAAGAGGGAGTGAATGTAAATGTGTGTTGGATCTTCTATCTTTATCTAGAAATTTGCTCATAAGGCTTTGATTTTTTTTTCTGCTTGGCATATATGTTAACATTTAAATGCTTTCATTAATTGAAAGTTTAATTACCTTAACACAACTTTATAGTGATTTTCCCATGTGAGACTGCCTACATAGGCCTATCGAAGCTTTGGTAGAACTTCCCAAACTCATAACCAGAGCTTTTCACATTTTTTGGTGGGATGGGAGAGGATGGATTAAAAGGAGAAAATGTAATTTTTTTCTCTTTTTTCACATCTTTCCAAAGATTGATCTAGTCTTTGCAAGACTGGCAATACAAACCATATCAGATAATTTAGATCTAAGAGACGACTCTCGCCTGAGAAGCCTTGATATAAGGTGTATTCGCAGCTTAAATGGTAAGCTTCTAAAAAGAAATCTCAGATACCTGCTTCAGAACAATTAGAGAAATATAGATATTTTTGCTGAATTGACTATTCAGTTTTGGAGATTGGACTCAGTTTAAAATGTAATTTTCCTTATACAGATAATGTGACCACATTTAAGAATCCTAAAAACCACAAATTTATTTGAAAGGCTGTGTATATTTATATTACTGGTTCTCAAACTTACTGGTCTCAAGACTTCTTTACACTCTTAAGATTTATGGAGGACCCCAAAAAGCTTTTGTTTATGTGGGTTATATCTGTCAATATTTACCATGTTAAAAAATAAAAACTGAGAAATTTAAAAAGTACTTATTCATTTATAAATAATGAACCCATTTTAAATTAATATAAACTTTTGTGTGTGAAGAATGGCTTCTTTTTTTTTTTTAACATTTTGCAAGTCTCTTTAATATTAGGCCTGATAGAAGACAGCTAGATTCTCATTTGTGTCTACAATTGATTGTAATATTTTGTTTTGGTTAACATATAAGAATAAAATCTGGCCGGGCGTGGTGGCCCACGCCTGTAATCCCAGCCCTTTGGGAGGCCAAGGTGAATGGATTACTTGAGCCCAGGAGTTTCCAGACCAGCTAGGATAACATGGTGAAACCCCATCTCTACCAAAAATAAAAAACATTTAGTTGGATGTAGTGGCACTCGCCTGTAGTTCCAGCTACTCAGGAGGCTGAGGTGAGAGGATCACCTGAGCCCCCGAGGTGGAGGCTGCAGTGAGCCGTGATTACGCCACTGCACTCTAGCTTAGGTGACAGAGTGAGACCCTGTCTCAAAAAAAAAAAAAAAAAAGAGGCCAGGCACAGTGGCTTATGCCTCTAATCCCAGCACTTTGGCAGGCCAAGGCAGGCAGATCACCTGAGGTCAGGAGTTTGAGACCAGCCTGGACAACATGGTAAAACCCCATCTCTATTAAAAATAAAAAACTAGCCAAGTGTGGTGGTGCTTACCTGTAATCCCAGCTACTCGGGAGGCTGAGGCAGGAAAATCACTTGAACCCAGAAGGCGGAGGTTGTGGTGAGCTGAGATCATGCCACCACAATCCAGCCAGGGTGACAGAGCGAGTCTCCGTCTCAAAAAAGAAAGAAAAAATCTGTCCTCTTAGTTGGAAAAGGGAGGAGTGTTTTAATAGCCTTTTCAGATAATTATGGATATTCTTCTTAAACTTGGCCAGTAACATTTTTTTTCTTTTTAACAGTTTTATTGAGATATAATTACATACCATTATACACCTCACTGGTCTTTTTCTTTTCTTTTCTTTTCTTTTTTTTGAGACGGAGTCTCACACTGTTACCCAGGCTGGAGTGCGATGGCGCGATCTCAGCTCTCTGCAACCTCCGCCTCTGGGTTCAAGCGATTCTCCTGCCTCAGCCTCCTGAGTAGCTGAAATTACAGGCATGTGCCACCACGCCTGGCTGATCTTTTTGTATTTTTAATAGGGACGGGGTTTCTCCATGTTGGTCAGGCTGGCCTCAAACTCTCGATATCAGGTGATGCCAACCTCAGCCTCCCAAAGTGCTGGGATTACAGGCATGAGCCACCGTGCCCGGACTTCACTGGTCTTTAGTACACTACAATCCAATGTTAGAATATTTTATCACCCTCAAAAGATCCTTTATACCCATTTGCAGTCATTTCCCCTTCCAATCCGCAGTCCCAGGCAACCACTAATCTGCTTTATTTCTTTGTAGATTTGCCTCTTAAAGACGTTTCATATAAAAATAATCCTATGTGGTCTTTTGCGTAAGGGTTCTTTAATTTGGCATGTTTGTGAGGTTTATCTGTATTTGTTCCGTTTTGTTGCTGAATAAAAATGATAGTTTCTTAAAGGTTAGAGTATGGAATCTAAAATCATATCAAACTTGTTGTATTCTGTTACATGACAGTCCACTGATCTGTCTTGTTCTTTGAGTGGTCCCTTTATTCATGCATGATTTTGTACTATCATGCCTTGGTCATTTGGAAAATATTGGTTCACAAAATTATTTGGATGTTCCAAATGTTAATACACATTTCACTATAAAATGTGAAAAAAAAAAAACCAGCAGTCATTAGTGACCAGTCTCAACAGAAAAGTATGGAAAGGTGTCAAGCTCATAGTAACAGATAAAAGTTGTCTGAAATTCAGATTTAACTTGAAAGCTTAAATTTTATTATTGGCAACAAATTTTGTCATTTGTTTTAGTTGAACTGAGAGGTTCCTTTTGTCCATTTTTAAGGAAATACCTAACTGAATAACTATAGTTTATCTGCCAGTTATTTTTTCAGGTGAAACTGGTGTTCCTTGAAAAAAGCAGGTAGTTGAGCTTACAACTTACACAGTTTCACATGTTCTTTCCCCACCTTTATTTTTAACTGCAAGTGTGTGGTGGTGAAGATATTTTTTTCTGCTAGTGCAGTTTGTTGCCCCATGTGTTTTTTGTTTTTTGTTTTTTTTTTGAGACGGGAGTCTCGCTCTGTCGCCCAGGCTGGAGTGCAGTGGCGCGATCTCGGCTCACTGCAAACTCCGCCTCCCGGGTTCACGCTGTTGCCCCATCTTGATTGACTGCCAAGGTACCTGCAGTTTTATCCACTGTTTCTTTTGCACCATCAGTGCAAATGTTAACACGGTGAAAAAAGCCTTAGTATTATTATAAAAAAAGTTTGACCTCACAGATTCCCAGGGGTACCCAGACCATACTTTGAGAACTAATGTCTTTTTTTTTTTTTTTGAGACAGAGTCTCACTCTATTGCCCAGGCTGGAGTGCAGTGGCGTGATCTCAGCTCACTACAACCTCCGCCTCCCGGGTTCAAGCGATTCTCCTGCCTCAGCCCTTTGAGTAGCTGGGAATATAGATGCCCACCACCACACCTGGCTAATTTTTGTATGTTTAGTAGAGACAGGGTTTCACCATTTTGGCCAGACTGGTCTCGAGCGCCTGACCTCAGGTGATCCACCCACCTCAGCCTACCAAAGGGCTGGGATTGAGAACCAATGTTTTATAGTGTCTTGTTTGACCGAATCATTATTGCACTTTGGTGTATTTCCAGATTGTAACAGTAAATTACAGTATTTGTGGAAAAGGTTTACATTGAAGTAATTACAGTGTTGTAATTGGGAGGTATTTGATTAATAGTCAAGGAAGAAAACTAAAAAATACTCAGGCACATCTCATTTTGGATTGCATTACCCATGTCTTTTTTAATTACCCTAAAGCAAACTGATTTCTCATAAGTGGTAAATTTCATACACATAAAATAAGCCCCAATGTTTTATTATCTTTCATATTTTTAGCATTCGAGAGTCTGGAAGTTAGGAGGGCATTTGAATTAACTGAGAATTTGCTGCATAGTGAAAAATGAATGCTTTGTCTTTTTCAGGTTGTAGAGTTACTGATGAAATTTTGCATTTAGTGCCAAATAAAGAAACTTTTAGACTCACCCTAAGAGCTGTCAAATTATGGGCAAAACGTAAGTATCCCTAGTCTTTTATGTTTGCATTATAAAATTCTAATTTTCTCTTGCCAGTGAAAGAAGCATATATAGAAACTCTGAACCTAATGATATTGTTGGAGGTTAAGGGCCAATAAACTCTGTAATAGCTATTTGCTTTTCAAGTACAGTGGTTATGGTGTTTTGATAAGTAGTATACCTCTTCCTCCCTTGGGTAAAAACTTAAAGCCCTGACTTTTCATCTTAGGTTCAGTCAGGCAGTCAGAATAATTCAGAACTTGAAGACTGATACCCTCCCTGTGGGTAACACCATCTTACGTATCTTTGTATTCACACCAGCAAAGAGTCTGGTTTATACTGTAGTAGGTGTTCATTAAGTGAAGAGTCTACAGTGATGACTTTCACTTGTTTTTACCTTATAACACTTTTCTAATAAAGCCTGGAACTGTTACTAGTTTATATATATAGTTTATATATTTAGGTTCATAAAAATCCCTTTGCTTACCACTGAGCTGGCACAGCACATTCTGTATTATTATTTAAGCACACCTCTGAGATATTGTAGGTTTGGTTCCAGACAACTGCAGTAAAGCAAATTACAATTTTTTTTTTGTTTCCCAGTGCATATAAAAGTTACATTTACACTATACTGTAGTCTTTTTTTTTTTTCTTTTTTTGAGACGGAGTCTTGCTCTGTCGCCAAGGCTGGAGTGCAGTGGGCAATCTTGGCTCACACCAACCTCTGCCTCCCGGGTTCAAGTGATTCTCCTGCCTCAGCCTACCAAGTAGCTGGGATTATAGGCACGCACCACCATACCCGGGTAATTTTTTGTATTTTTGGTAGAGACGGGGTTTCACCATGTTTGTCAGGCTGGTCTCCAACTCCTGACCTTGTGATCCGCTCGCCTCGGCCTCCCAAAGTGCTGGGATTACAGGCGTGAGCCATCAAGCCCGGCTCCAAAATGTGTTTCTTAAATGGTAAAACAAGAAGATAACTCCTTGATCCATGGGCTATAGAATAGATGCTGTATTAGCAGACATGAAAGTAACTTTAATCTCCTAGTATGTGTCCACTGGAGCTCGTGGGTGACTAGGTGCATTGTCAAAAGAGCAGTCCTACTTAGAAAGGAATCTTTTTTTTTTCTGAGCAGTAGATCTCACCAATGGGCTTTAAAATACTCAGTAAACCATGCTGTCAACAGCTGTGCTGTCATCTAGGCTTTGTTGTTCTGTTTGTACAGCACAGACAGTAGAGTGAGCATCATTCTTAAGGGCGCTGGGATTTTGGGAATGTTAAATGAGCATTGGCTTCATTTTTTTTTTTTTTTTTTTTTTTTTTTGAGATGGAGTCTCACTGTCTCGCCCAGGCTGGAGTGCAGTGGCGCGATCTCAGCTCACGGCAACCACCGCCTCCTGGGTTCAAGTGATTCTCCTGCCTCAGCCTCCCAAGTAGCTGGAATTACAGGCATGTGCCACCACACCTGGCTAATTTTTGTATTTTTAGTAGAGATAGGGTTTTACCATGTTGGCCAGGCTGATCTTGAAGTCCTGACCTCAGGTGATCTGCCTGCCTTGGCCTCCCAAAGTGCTGGGATTACAAGCATGAGCCACCATGCCCGGCCAGCTTCAATTTAAAGTCACCAGCTGCATTAGCCTCTAACAAGAGAATCACCTACCCTTTGAAGCTTTGAAACCAAGCTTCTCCTCTCTAGCTGTGAAAGTCCTAGATGGCATCTTCTTCCAGTATAAGGCTGTTTCATCTACATTGATAATTTGTTGTTTAGTGTAGCCACCTTCATCAATGATTTTAACTAGATCTTCTGGATAACTTCCTGCAACTTCTGCATCAGCACTTGTTGCACTTCTAGTTGTGGAGATGGCTTCTTTCTTTAAACCTTATGAACCAATCTTCACTAGCTTCAGACTTTTCTTCTGCACCTTCCTCACCTCTCTCAGCCTTCATATGATTGAAGAGAAGTTAGGGCTTTGCTCTGGATTAGACTTTGGCCTAAGGAAACATTGTGTCTTGTTTGATCTTCCATCCAGACCGTTAAAATTTTCTATCAGCAGCCAGGCGCAGTGGCTCACAGCTGTAATCCCAGTACTTTGGGAGGCCGAGGCGAGCGGATCATGAGGTCAGGAGAGTTCGAGATCAGCCTGACCAACATAGTGAAACCCCCTCTCTACTAAAAATACAAAAATTAGCCGAGTGTGGTGGCACGTGCCTGTAATCCCAGCTACTCGGGAAGCTGAGGCAGGAGAATCACTTGAACCCAGGAGGCAGAGGTTGTGGTGAGCTGAGATGGCACCACTGCACTCCAGCCTGGGCGACAGAGCAAGACTCCGTCTCAAAAAAAAATTTTTTTTTTCTGTCAGCAATAAAGCAGTTTTACTTTTTTTGTCATTCCTATATTCACTGGAGAGTAGCACTTGTAATTTCTGTCAATAACTTTTCCTTGGCATTCACAGCTTGGTTAACTGATTGGCACAAGGGGCATAGCTTTCGGACTATCATAACTTTCAACATGCCTTTTTCACTGAGCTTAATCTTTTCTAGTTTTTGATTTAAAGTGAGAGACATACGACTCTTTCTTTTACTTGAACACTTAGAGGCCATTAAGGGTTCTTAACTGGCCTAATTTAAGTATTGTTGTGTCTCCAGGAGTAGGGAGACCTGAGGAGAGGGAGAGAGATGGGTAATGACCAGTTGGTGGAGCATTCAGAACATATACATTTACCAAGTTCACCGTCTTATATGGGCTCAGTTTGTGGTGCCCCAAAACAATTACAATAGTAACATCAAAGATCACTAATCACAAATCACCATAACAGATATAATAATAATGAAAAAGTTTGAAATATTGTGAGAATTACTAAAATGTGACACAGAGACATGAAGTGAGAGCTTATGCTCTTGGAAAAATGGTGCTGAAAGATTTTCTCAACTCAAGGTTGCCGCAAACCTTCAGTTTGTAAAAAACTCAGTATCTGTGAAGTGTAATAAAGCAAAACACAACAAAACGAGGTATGCCTTTATATTTTATTTCATTTTATTTTTTTAGACAGGGGCTTGCTGTATCTCCCAGACCGGAATGCAGTGGTGCAATTATAGCTCACTGCAGCCTCAACCTTCTGGGCCCAAGCGATCCTTCCACTCTAGCCTCCCGAGTAGCTAGAACTACAGGCATATGCCACTACACCCGGCTAATTTTATTTTATTTTATTTTATTTTATTTTATTTATTTATTTTTTAGCAGAGACGAGGTGTTGCTATGTTAGCTAGGCTGGTCTCAAACTCCTGAGCTCAACCAGTCCTCCTGCCTTGGCCTCCAAAAGTGGTGGGATTACAGGTGTGAGCCACAGTGCCTGGCTGAGTGTGACAGTTAAAGGTTTCTTTTCGGGGTGCTGAAAACATTCTAGTATTGATCATGTTGATGATTGCACAACTCTCAGTATACTAAAAAACCATTGAATTGTGTACTTTAAATGGACGAATCTTATGGTATGTGAATTACATCTCAATAAAGCTGTTACAAGTTAAAAAATAGCAACACATGGCTTGTGGCTACCATATTGGACAGTGCAGGTCTAAAAAGATAGTAAGCAAGTAGAATTTGTCCTTGGGCTCAAGTGTCTTGTATACTTAAGATAAAGTAAAATTTGCACTGAAGGGATAACATGAACAATTTGCCCTTCTTTAAAGATTAAATGCCATGTTTTGTCAGTTAGATGCATATTTTTCATATTTACCACATCTGAAATTGGTATTTTGTAGGTTTTTTTCTTTTGCTCGCTTGGCGGGACATAATATAGATAGCTATATAAAAAACGGTCATGACAACCATGGTGGTGCACCCCTGTAATCATAGCTACGCAAGAGGCTGAGGTGGAGGATCAGTTGAGCCCAGGAGTTTGAGGCTACAGTGAATTATGATTGTGCCAGTTCACTCCAGTCTGGGTGACAGAGTGAGAGCCCATCTCTTAAAAAAAGAAAAAAAAAAATAGAAATGAATGATATCAGTGGTGTATTCTACTTTATGGAGAGGTATCCAAATTCTGTGAAATACTGAAGTAAGTCTCCAGCTTTATACTTGATTTAAAAATACCCATGAATATGATTATTAATTAAATATTCATTCTTCCCCATTGTCTCTCCAAATGTCTCCTTCCTTTCATTTTTCTCTCAATCCTAAATACTGAAAAATGGGGAATTTCAATGTAGTATCAGTGGAGCCCAGTTGGGCAGTTGGAACTGAGGCAAAGAACTGAGGTGTCTGTATTAGAAGGGAAAGTAAGGAGGGTAAGATTAGCAATTTATGGTTTACTAATTAGACTGTGGGCCTAATGTGAAGGTCTGCTTATCAGTTTTAATGTTTTGTTTATAGGGGAAAATTTCCAACCAACCGTCTTATGAATAAAGTTACCTTGTTGAATGTCACGGATATTCATTCACCTTGTAAAGAGCAGAAAAAAAAAGAATGTCACAGATAGTAGGTCCTAATAATAATTAACAAATATATTGATTTTCTAGGACGTGGTATTTATTCCAACATGCTAGGATTCCTTGGTGGTGTCTCCTGGGCAATGCTAGTTGCAAGAACTTGCCAATTGTATCCAAATGCAGCAGCATCTACTTTAGTTCATAAGTTCTTTTTAGTTTTTTCCAAGTGGTAAGTATTTACGTGTGTACTTTGACTGTTTACTAATCTCTACCTATGCGTAAGTTTGTTTGGAAATTTAAGAGCTATACATAGACTTTTTCTGTTGTTTTACATTGCTTTGTAAAGTTGAAAGTATAAAACATCAACTTTGAGGCAATGGTGGGACATCTAATTGGCACCTTCTTCCAGGGATTTGTAAATGTGGGCCTTTAGCTTGGGAGAGCAGTTAAAATAAGTTTGGCTTTGCAAATTACTAGTTATGTAGAGGTCGTTTAAGCTTTCCTCATTTGTAAAATGGAGATGATAATCACATTGATATATTAGTATTTTCAGTAAATGTTGGCTGTTGCTGTTACTAAATTATCGGAATTAAATCCATGAAAGCAAATGAGAAGGAAGTGAAAGATTCAGGTGTAAATTAGTTACAGTTAATGAAAAGTAATATTTGCCCTTTCAGAGAACACTGCATTAAAATGAGCAGCCTTTCCTTTGTATACTTTCTTACCTAGCCTTTTTTTTTTTTTTTTTAATTGAGACAGGGTCTCACTCTGTTGCCCAGGCTAGAGTGCATGCATCTCAGCTCACTGCAGCCTCTGCCTCCTGGGCTCAAGTGATCCTCTCACCTCAGCCTCCTGAGTACCTGGGACTATAAGCGTGCACCACTAGGCATGGCTAATTTTTGTGTTTTTAGTAGAGACAGGATTTCTCCATGTTGCCCAGGATGGTCTCGAACTCCTGAGCTCAGGTGATCTGCCTGCCTCAGCTTCCCAGAGTACTGGGATTACAGGCATGAGCCACCATGCTCGGCCTTTTTTTCCTTTAATACCAAATACCCAGAACATTCACTCTGTAGAAGGTTAGAACAATCTAATAATTATAAAGTTTCATGTAGTACCTGAAGTGAGATCATGTGTAAGTTAATTTGCCTTATTCATGTCAGGGAATGGCCAAATCCTGTGCTGCTGAAGCAACCAGAAGAAAGCAATTTGAATTTGCCTGTCTGGGATCCTCGGGTATGTGATTTATTATGGAGTTTCTTTAAAGCTTTTAAGGAAGAGGACATTTCACTAAATTACAGTCTAGTTAAAGATAGTTCCTCTTGTCTCTGTTCTTCCTTCTATATAACTATAGTCCCCTTCCTCCTTCTGCTGTGGTTTTTGTTTTGTTTTTTGTGCAGATGATTAGGATCACTAATGCTGATCCAAATGTTATGTCATTAAAAATCGCCCATGTAAGATGAGTGGGTGTCTTATGGACAGTGTCATAATCCAGTGTGGAAAAAATGTCTCAAAAGTAATTGGATACTTGGCTGGGCATGATGGTTCACGCCTGTAATCCCAGCTCTTTGGGAGGCCGAGGCGGGTGGATCACCTGCGGTCAGGAGTTCAAGACCAGCCTGGCCAACGTGGTGAAACCCCCTCTCTACTGAAAATATAAAAAATTAGCCGGGCGTGGTGGTGCACACCTGTAGTTCCAGCTACTCTGGAGGCTGAGGCACGAGAATCACCTGAACCCCAGAGGCACAGGTTGCAGTGAGCCGAGACTGTGCCACTGCACTCCAGCCTGGGTGACGAGTTGAGACTTCGTCTCAAAAAAAAAAAGTAATTGGTTACTAATAATAAAGTACTAAAGTATAATAAAAGATTTACTTTGCAATACAATTTAAAGCAAATTCATTGTTCCAGGGTAGCATAATTCTCCCATATCTTGCATTTTAATTTGCTTTTAGAGTGAGTGCTCATTCCTCTAGGTAACCAAGGGGAAGTCATCCATTGAGTGGGTGGTGAAAAAGGATTGAGAACCATTAAACCAGATAATGCTTTTTGTAGTTATAATACTGTATTTCCTTGATTATAAGAGATCATTGTTTATAAGATGCACATCAATTTAACAGCTTTTCTGAGGAAAAATATACTTCTGCAGTATTTCCTTTGACTTTGACTATCAGACATATCCAACTTCAGAAATAAATGCAGTTGGGGAGGGAAAATGTACTTCTTAAACTTGAGGAAATGTAGTATTAAATTTATATTTCATATTCTTCAGACTTTTGGGGAAATGAAGTGAGAACAACTGAAATAGGAGAATAGATCAGTTATTCTGCTTCTAATTTCACAGGTAAATCCATCAGATAGGTATCATCTCATGCCCATAATCACCCCTGCCTACCCACAACAGAATTCTACGTATAATGTGTCCACATCAACTCGAACAGTAATGGTAGAAGAATTTAAACAAGGTAAACATGTGGCCCTGTTGCCCTTTACATATTCCCACAAGTTTTTGGTTAACAGTTTTATTCTCTGTTGCAGCTATGGATTGGCAGTTAGAGTTATACCTATTCTTTCTAAAAATTCTTTCAAGTATGGTTATTTTGTTTTTTAGTAATGAGTTTTCAAAAGTATATGATAATATTAAGGCCAAAAATGGAGCCAGCCCAGTCTGGTTGAAACTAATTTTTTGTGTTCTAAGAAACAACATTATATATATTTATATTTTGTTACTCAAGAGTTTGGTGGGCCGGGCGCGATGGCTCATGCCTATAATCCTAGCACTTTGGGAGGCCGAGGCGAGCAGATGACCTGAGGTCAGGAGTTCAAGACCAGCCTAGCCAACCTGGTGAAACCCTGTCTCACAAAAATTAGCCGGAAGTGGTGGTGGGCACCTGTAATCCCAGCTACTCAGGAGCCTGGGGCAGGAGAATCGCTTGAACCCAGGAGGTAGAGGTTGCAGTGAGCCGAGATAGATCCACCACACTCCAGCCTGGGTGACAGAGTGAGACTCTGTCTCAAAAAAAGAAAAAAAAAAATTTCGTCTGGTGGAGTTTGAGATTTTGTAGTAGTAGAGTGATTTAAGAGCTGGTCCCTTTTCAAAATCATTCTTCTTCTTTTTTTTTTTTTTTTTTTTTTTTTAATTTAGGTCTTGCAGTCACAGATGAAATTCTTCAAGGAAAGTCAGATTGGTCCAAACTACTTGAGCCACCGAATTTCTTTCAAAAGTATAGGTACGTGAAATTTTGTATTTTGTATGTATGTGATTTTTTTTTTTTTAAAGAAGAATGTTAAACATAGTTAATATATGGCAGGTGACAGCTCTTTTATTTCTTAAGCAAGAGAGAATAGATTAACAAAAATCCTAAGAGATAAGAGTGTTTCTTTATTCTGGTAGTATCTAATCCAGTATTAGTGACTTTTTAAAGTGAATTGTTTTTTACTTGTAGGACCTAGAATTAATTTTGTGAAAATCAGAGCACATTTAATTTTCATAAACTGTGTGCCTTTATTAGCTCATTTGTTCAGTGAGAGGGAGGGAAAAAAGGGGATGATTAAAAAGCAGGCTGTAACAATTTTTCTGGCTTTTTTTCCTGATTGTTGCTGAAAATTCTTCAGACATTATATAGTATTGACTGCCAGCGCATCAACAGAAGAAAACCATCTAGAGTGGTAAGACTTCTATTTCAAGTTTTCTACCTACTGTGTGGTGATAGTAACTTATTTATATGGTGCTTTACCATTTATAAAGTACTTTCTTGCTTGATTTTCAAAATTATTATATCTCTTTTTTTTTTTTTTTTTTTTGAGACAAAGTCTCTGTTGTCTAGGCTGGAGTGCAGTGTCGCGATCTCAGTTTCGCCACGTTGGTCAGGCTGATCTCGAGCTCCTGACCTCAGGTGATCCGCCCACCTCAGCCTCCCAAAGTGCTGGGATTACAGGCCTGAGCCACTTTACCCGGCCTTTTTTTTTTTTTTTTTTTTTTTTTTTTGAGAAGGAGTCTCCCTCTGTCACCCAGACTGGAGTGTAGTGGCATAATCTCAGCTCACTGCAACCTCCGCCTCCTGGGTTCAAGTGATTCCCCTGCCTTAGCCGCCTGAGTAGCTGGGACTACAGGTGTGCACTTCTATGCCCTGTGGCTAATTTTTGTATTTTTAGTAGAGATGGGGTTTTACCATGTTGGCCAGGCTGGTCTCGAACTCCTGACCTCAAGTGATCCGTAAAATTATTATATCTTACTGGTGATTGTTGTGCATGACCATGGAGCTTCAGTGTTTAAAATATGCCATCAAATTAATGTTTCAGAATCAGGAGGGACATGAGCAAAAGACACATGTATAGATGTTGCTTCTTATTGCTTCTCAGCCAGATTTAAGCAAAATTTTGAGCTAGTTTGGATGATTCTGATAGCTACCATCTGAGTTTCTCTTTTCTTTGTTTTTATTTTTTATTTTGAGACGGAGTCTCGCTGTGTTGCTGAGGCTGGAGTGCAGTGGCGTGATCTCAGCTCACTGCAACCTCCGCCTCCCGGGTTCAAGCAATTCTCTGCCTCAGCCTCCAGAGTATCTGGGATTACAAGCACCCACCACCACGCCCAGCTAATTTTTGTACTTTTAGTAGAGACGGGGTTTCACCATCTTGGCCAGGCTGGTCTTGAACTCCTCACCTCGTGATCCACCCGCCTTGGCCTCCCAAAGTGCTGGAATTACAGGCGTGAGCCACCACACCCGGCCTGAGTTTTTCATTTTTGCCATTGTGTTTACCTCCAACAAAACTCAGTAGAAAAGACATTTTGTATATCCTTTTAATTTAGGAGATAATGGCTTAAATCTTTCAGATTAAGCTTCCGTCAACAGGTAAGAGATATTTGTGGTCAAGAAGTAGTGTGTTCTTTCTAGTGCATCTAAATTTATCCCTTCTGCCTCTACTATATTCACATCCTTGGCTCTATCAGACGGAAGCTGTTAGACCACCAGAGATGGTTGTACTTTCCTTGGGTCTGACTTCTGGAAAAGCAAAACAGCAATACTGTTTTATTTTTGCTTCAAGAGTTTAATCCTTATTTCATTGGTAATTAAAGGAACTCTGAAAATAATCCTGTCACTGAAACAGTATTTTGTTTGTCTAGATCTGCAGTCAGAAAATAGGGTCTAGGCCAAATTCAGTCTGCCACCTATTTTTATAAAGTTTTATTGGAACATAGCCATGTTTCTTCGTTTATATATTATCTATGGCTGCTTCTGTGCTTCATAGCAAAGTTGAATAGGTGTAACAAAGACTGTATGGCCCAGAAACCCTAAAATTTACTATTTAGCCCTTTACAGAAAAAGTTTGCCAACCCGTCATTTAGATGACACTGGAATAACACAGATTTTTGTAGATTTACTGTTAAAGCACACATAATTATAATGTATAAGCTTTTGCTGATGTTTTTAAAAAATGTTAAAATGTTCTTGTAATGTTTCTAATTCATAAAGTCATTAATAAGCAAGCTGCCATCGGTCACATTTCTTAAGTGAGATAGAAATAAAATTGCAGAAATCCGATGAGACTTGCTGTATTTTAATAGGATGTGATCCAAATTTAGTGAATTCTTTTTTTGTTTTTTGTTTTTTTTTTGATATGGAGTCTTGCTTTGTCACCCAGACTGGAGTGTAGTGGTGCGATCTCAGCTCACTGAAAGCTCCACCTCCCAGGTTCATGCCATTCTCCTGCCTCAGCCTGGCAAGCAGCTGGGACTACAGGCGCCCGCACCTCGCCTGGCTAATTTTTTGTATTTTTAGTAGAGACGGGGTTTCACCATGTTAGCCAGGATGGTCTCAATCTCCTGTCCTCGTGATGCACCCACCTTGGCCTCCCAGAGTGCTGGGATTACAGGCGTTAGCCACCGTGCCCAGCCCGTGAATTTTTTTAAATGCAAAGTCAAGCATGATTGTTTCATATATTATGTGCCAATATTAGTTTCATTGTTTAAACTTATCTTAGCCTTAGGATTTATTTTTTTTTTTAGAGACGGAGTCTCACTGTCACCCAGGCTGGAGTATAGTGGGGTGATCATACTGCAACCTCAAACTCCTGGGATCAAGCGATGCCTCCTGCCTCGGCTCCCCAAGTAGCTGGGGCCTGCAGGCCCTTGCTACCATACCTGGCTGATTTTTTTTTTTTTTTTTATCTTATAGGGATGGAATCTCACTATGTTGCCCCAGGTGATCTCGAACTCCTGGCTTCACGTGATCCTCCCGCCTCAGCTTCCCAAAGTGCTGGGATTAACAAGCATGAGCCACCGCACCTGGCCTAGCCTAGCCTTAGGTTTGAGACATAAGATTTGAAGGTAGAAAAAGATTCAGGACTAGATAAACCAGCAGTTTTTGTTCATGCCCTAAGCCATGACTGTTTTATAGTCTTAACTAAGGGTATTTTAGATTCAGGAATGCATTACATAGATTAGTTCTTCTATTAAAAAAAAGAACACACAGAAATCTACTAACTTGTCATTTACTACAATGGCGTTTTAAATGGGGTTCCTAATATATTGGGCTGAAATTTTTAAATGAACATGTAAAGATTCATAGGTAATATGCTGTTTGGTTTACTTGAGTGTAGCTTTCATATTTAAAGTTGATATAAAATCAATTGTGTTTACAATTGCATTTAAAATGGGGTTCCTAATATATTGGGCTGAAATTTTTATTTTATTTATTTATTTATTTAGAGATGGAACCTCACTCTGTCACCCAGGCTGGAGTGCAGTGGGGTGATCTTAGCTCACTGCAACCTCCACCTCCCAGCTTCAAGCAATTCTCGTGCTTCAGCCTCCTGAGTAGCTGGGAATATAGGTGTGCGCCATACTCGGCCAATTTTTTTTGTATTTTTAGTAAAGACAGGGTTTCACCATGTTGGCCAGGCTGGTCTCGAACTCCTGACCTCAGGTGATCTGTGCACCTCAGTCTTCCAAAGTGCTGGGATTACAGGCATGAGCCACTGCACCTGGCCTGAAATTTTTTTTTTTGAGACGGAGTCTTGCTCTGTTGCCCAGGCTGGAGTGCAGTGGCACAATCTCAGCTCACTGCAACCTCCACCTCCCAGTTTCACGTGATTCTCCTGCTTCAGCCTCCCAAGTAGCTGGGATTACAGGCACTCACCACCACACCCAGCTAATTTTTTGTATTTTTAGTAGAGACGGGATTTTGCCGTGTTGGCCAAACTGGTCTTGAACTCCTGACCTCAGGCGATTCACCCACTCTTGCCTCCCAAAGTGCTGGGAGTACAGATGTGAGCCACCATGCCCAGCCCGAAGTTTTTTAATGAACATGTAAAGCTTCGTAGTTAATATGCTGTTTGGTTTACTTGAGTGTAGCTTTCAAATTTAAAGTGGACATAAGATAAATTGTGTTTGTTGTTTATTTTAGGGTTGGATTAGTAGAATCTAAAATCCGTGTACTTGTTGGAAACTTGGAACGGAATGAATTTATTACTCTTGCCCATGTGAATCCCCAGTCATTCCCAGGGAATAAGGAACATCATAAAGAGTAAGTTAATTGTTTTATAATACTTTATTTCTTAAATAATGTTATTTGGTATATGCATCATTTCAGAGTAATTGTGAGATTTTTGTTTAACAGGCATTGATGGGAGTATGACACATTATATATTTGAGTTTGAGTGTCTAGGCATTAAAAATAAGTACATAACTACTTTGGTAGCCCACAAACCCCAGCAAAACACCATCACAATATTTGGAGCATCTTTAAGAATATATTTAGTAAGTCATTTTCATAGCTGCTTAATCCTTCTCAGAACAACAGGGGATAACTTACCAGTTCTGGATGTCACTTTTAAGAATCTGGCCAGACCACTGAAATCTGTATTTGTGAGATAGAGACATAGAGACCAAGTTTTAATTATGAAATAGCATCTGTAAAGTTGTAAAAAATAATAATAATTAATGGAAATTCTTAAATTTTACTTTATAGCAACAATTACGTATCAATGTGGTTCCTTGGGATAATTTTTCGGAGAGTAGAAAATGCAGAAAGTGTCAACATAGACTTGACATATGATATACAGTCATTTACTGATACAGGTAAGACTCCATCATCATAGAGCTGTGATTCTCAAACCTGGCTATTACTCAGTGTCATCTGCCTACAATCTGGCTGGCTGTACTTATTAAAGTTCCACAATTGGTTAAGTGAACATGGCATATCCGTATTGCTGTTAAAACAGGAAAGGAGCCGGGTGCGGTGGCTAATGCCTGTAATCCCAGCACTTTGGGAGGCAGAGGCGGGCAGATTACCTGAGGTCAGGAATTCGAGACCAGCCTGGCTAATACGGTGAAACCCCGTCTCTACTAAAAATACAAAGTTAGTAGAGTGTGGTGGCGGATGCCAGCTGCTTGGGAGGCTGAGGCAGGAAAATTGCTTGAACCTGGGAGGAGGAGGTTGCAGTGAGCCGAGATCGCCCCACTGCACTCTGGCCTGGCCCACAGAGTGAGACTGTCTCAAAAAAAGAAAAAAAGAAAAAAAAAAGCATTATGAAGCAATTTCCAAGATATATTAAGTGGGGGGTAAAATTCAGAACACTGTGTACACTGTGCTATTTATATAAAAATAAAAGAAAATAAATACACATTTGCTTACAAATGCATAGAATATCTCTGGAAGGATACTTAGTTTAAAAAAAATGGCAAGACTGGTTGCTTCTAGGTCAGGGTACAGGATAAGGAGACATCACTGAATACTCTTCAACGCTTTAAGTTTTGTAGCATGTGAATGTTATCTGTTTTATTTTATTTTGTTTTAAGAGACAGAGTCTCACTCTGTCACCCAGGCCGGACTGCAGTGGTGCGATCTCAGCTCACTGCAACCTCCACCTCTGGGGTTCAAGTGATTCTCATGCCCCAGCCTCCCGAGTAGCTGGAATTACAGGTGCGTGCCACCAGTCCTGGCTAATTTTTTTATTTTTAGTAGAGACGGAGTTTCACCATGCTGGCCAGGCTGGTCTTGAACACCTGACCTCAAGTGATCCTGCCTCGGCCTCCCAAAAGTTCTGGGATTACAGGTGTGAGCCACCTCGCCTGGCTGAATGTTATCTGTTTTAAAACAAAGAAAGGAAAGCTCTTTGTATGTACAACCGGGGTTTGTGATCACAGTCTTAAAGATGACTTGATTTTTGCCAGGCACGGTGGCTCACAAGTGCTTGTAATCCTAATACTTTGGGAGACTGGGATGGGTGAATCTCTTGAGCTCAGGAGTTTGAGACCAGCCTGGGCAACATGGTGAAACCCCATCTCTACAAAAAATACAAAAAAAAGTTTGCCAGGTATCGTGCCTTGTGCTCCCAGCTATCTGGGAGGCTGAGGTGGGAGAATTGCTTGAACCCAGAAGGTCAAGGCTGCAGTGAGCCGAGATTGCGCCATTGCTCTCCAGCCTGGGTGACAAAGTGAGATACTATGCAGCCATAAAAAATGATGAGTTCATGTCCTTCGTAGGGACATGGATGAAATTGGAAATCATCATTCTCAGTAAACTATGGCAAGAACAAAAAACCAAACACCACATATTCTCACTCATAGGTGGGAACTGAACAATGAGAATACATGGACACAGGAAGGGGAACATCACACTCTGGGGACTGTTGTGGGGTGGGGGGAGCGGGGAGGGATAGCTTTAGGAAGTACACCTTATGCTAAATGACGAGTTAATGGGTGCAGCACACCAGCATGGCACATGTATACATATGTAACTAACCTGCACATTGTGCACATGTACCCTAAAACTTAAAAGTATAATAATAATAAAATAAAATAGAAAATAAATAAATAAATAAAAAATAAAAAATAAAAGACTTGATTTTTATGGGTTTTTTGTTTGTTTTAAATAGAGACAGGATTTCGCCATGTTGCCCAGGCTGATCTCGAACTCCTGGGCTCAAGCAATTTGCCCACCTTGGCCTCTTTAAAGTGCTGGGATTACAGGTGTCAACCACCGCACCTGGCCAGACTTTTATGTTTTTGATATGAAATAAATATCAGTAAGTACAGAATTGCTGAATATATTTCAGGATCAGTGAAAAGTATGTCTTTCACATCTAGCCCTCTAGTCACAACTCTGGAATATCTTAATGTATCTGTTATAAATTTGGGGTTATTTATCTTAAGAATCTGGAATAGTTATACATTCATACTATTAAAGGTATTGGCTTGGCTCATCTGGGTTTTCTGAATTCTTTTGAAAGAGCCCTCATATTTATCATGAAAATGCAGATTCCTGGCTGGGCGTGGTGGCTCACGCCTGTAATCCCAGCACTTTGGGAGGCCAAGGCGGGCAAATTACCTGAGGTCTGGAGTTCAAGACCAACCTGGCCAACATGGTGAAACCCCACCCATCTCTACTAAATATACAAAAATTAGCCAGGTGTGGTGGCGGGTGCCTGTAATCCCAGCTATTCCAGAGGCTAAGGCAGGAGAATCGCTTGAACCTGGGAGGCGGAGGTTGCAGTGAGCTGAGATCTCGCTGTTGCACTCCAGCCTGGGCAACAAGAGCGAAACTCCATCTCAAAAAAAGAAAAGAAAATGCAGATTCTTATGTTTCACCTTAGAACCATTAAATCACACTCTGGGGAGGGAGCCAGAGAATCTGCAACTTAAACAAGCACTCCTGGTAACTCTTTCATAATCAATCTGGAATAAAAACATTCGCCATAAATTTTTCCATTCTAATTAGGGCTTAAATTTTTTAGAAAGGATAAGACTGGGACATAGTTTATTATAAATTTATAAGATATTATTTTTCAGATTAAGAAACTTGAGGCCCCAAGAGATTAAATAATTTACTACATCTCACAGTACTTGCTGTGTAAAACAAGCCTCCCATCCCTGTCTTCAGTGGGCTTATAATCTCATTGAGTATATTTACAATTAAAACATTAAGAAATTTGTGTGGTAGTTAATAAAACCTGTTTTTTCATTGGGTATATTTACAATTAAAACATTAAGACATTTGTGTGTGAGTTAATAAAACCCATTTTCTTATAAGGCGTGAAAAGCACTAGAATGGGAATCTAGGGCTGTGTGGATTCTGATCCTGGCAAGGTATTCAGAGCTGTTTAGCCTCCTTTTCTCAACTGTACAATAAGGATGTATTTGTAAGATGGTTCCTGAAGTCTGTCATTCTATGATTGGTGTGGTAGCTGCAGTAGTAAATTCTCATGGAGGAGGAGGATAGCTTGAATTGCACCTTGGATATTTGGCCTAAGAATTAGCTTAGAAGGCCAGGTGCAGTGGTTCACACCTGTAATCCCAGCACTTTGGGAGGCCAAGGTGGGTGGATCACTTGAGGTCAGGAGTTCAAGACCAGCCTGGCCAACATAATGAAACCCTGTCTCTACAAAAAATCCAAAAAGTAGCTGGGCATGGTGCCATGCGCTTCTAGTCCCAGCTACTGGGGAGGCTGAGGCAGGAGAATAGCTTGAACCCCGGAGGCAGAGGTTGCAATGAGTTAAGATTGTGCCACTGCACTCAAGCCTGGATGACAGAGCGAGAGTCTGTGTCAAAAAAAAAAAAGAATTAGCTTAGACCTGGGCAAGTAGTTATGAGGAGAGATTGCCTTTGGGGAAAATATCAGAAAATAAGATCTGGAAAATACCGTTTTTTAAATATATTTATTCTATCAACAAGGTTTGATTATGAGAAAGTCTTAGAAAGTGGACATGGAAAAACTATTGGATTCATGGCTGGGCACGGTGGCTTACGCCTATAATCCCACCACTTTGGGAGGCCGAGGTGGGCGGATCACCTGAAGTCAGGAGTTCTAGACCAGCCTGACCAACATGGAGAAACCCAGTCTCTACGAAAAATCAAAAAAGTTAGCTGGACGTGGTGGCGCATGCCTGTAATCCCAGCTACTCGGGAGGCTGAGGCAGGAGAATGGCTTGAACCCAGGAGGTGGAGGTTGTGGTGAGCTGAGATTGCGCCATTGCACTCCAGCCTGGGCAGCAAGAGTGAAACTCCATCTCAAAAAAAGAAAAACTAGTGGATTCATGAATAGGATTGTGATGTGATGGAAGTGTATTAAAAATATTTGTTTTGTGAGAGGGTTGTGGGTGGGTGGGTGGCCGGTGGTGATAGTGGGGAGATAGTAAAAGTATATGCATTTCAGAAAAATTAGGCAGAACCCTTGGTTCAGAAAGAAGTTTCCCATTTAACATATTAACATTGTTACAGTGTACAGACAGGCAAACAATATAAATATGCTAAAGGAGGGAATGAAAATTGAAGCAACTCATGTAAAGAAAAAACAACTTCACCACTACCTTCCTGCAGAAATTCTTCAAAAGAAGAAAAAGGTGAGTTTATAATCTTAACCCTTCAGTATGGTTTTACTCAGACAAATGATCTGGGACCAAATTTGCATTCTACAGCTCCCAAACCTATTGAGAAAAATAAGGAAGATATAGGCAGTTCAATCTAGGACTAAAATCTCATTTTCATTAATCACAAGAGATAATTTGCTTAAGTGACCTTCAGAATTGAAACCAGTCTTTATATTGTCATTTGCATTTTGAAATCCTAAAATCGTTCCCTTCTTTCAGCAAAGTCTCTCTGATGTCAATCGAAGCTCGGGCGGACTTCAATCCAAAAGATTGTCTCTGGATAGCAGTTGTCTGGATAGCTCCAGAGACACTGATAATGGAACACCTTTTAATTCTCCAGCGTCCAAGTCTGATAGCCCTTCTGTAGGAGAAACAGAAAGGTCTGTCTTTATTTCAAATGTGTCCTTTTGGTTTTCTGTTCAGTTTATTTGAGGATAATGTGAACTTTTCTATACCTCTGCTACTGCCTTTTAAAATTGTTAAAAGATTTCATTTTACTGGCTGCTGGTCAATTTCTTGCTTAGAAATAACTCGTGGTAATCCTGTGGGAAACGGTATAGGCTTATGAGCATATGGGACTAGATAGGTACACAGAAATGTACACATTTGTTGCTTAAATTTTTCTCTTCTTACTGGGTCCTCTGCATTTTTCCCCCTTTTAGTTCAATGAAATGTTAAAGTACAGGCCTGAGCCAACAGTTGTGGCCAGGCACGGTGGCTCAGGCCTGTAATCCTAGCACTTTGAGAGGTCACGGCAGGCGAACTGCTGGAGCCCAGGAGTTCCAAGACCAGCCTGGGTAACATGGCAAAACCCTGTCTATACAAAAAAATACAAAAATTAATTGGCCGGGCACAGTTGCTCACGCCTGTAATCCCAACACTTTGGGAGGCCAAGGCGGGCAGATCACCTGAGGTCAGGAGTTCGAGACCAGCCTGGCCAACATGGCAAAACCACATCTCTACTAAAAATGCAAAAATTAACAGGGTGTGGTGGCATGTGCCTGTATTCCCAGCTACTTGGGAGGCTGAGGCAGGAGAATCGCTTGAACCCAGGAGGTGGAGGTTGCAGTGAGCTGAGATCGTGCCATTGCACTCCAGCCTAGGCAACAAGAGCGAGACTCTGTCTCAAAAAAACAAAAACAAAAATTAGCTCGGCATGGTAGTGCACACCTGTAGTCCCAGCTACCTGGGAGGCCAAGGTGGGAGAATAGCTTGAGCCCGGAAGGTTGAGGCTGCAGTGATCCATGTGTTCATGCCACTGCACTCTAGCCTAGGTGACAGAACAATACCATGTCTAAAAAAAAAAAAAAAAAAAAAAAAAGCAGTGGTAAATGTTACAACAAGAGTGTTTTAAATAACTAATGGGGCCAGGCGTGGTGGGTCACATCTATAATTTCAGCACTTTGGGAGGCTGAGGCAGGAGGATTGCTTGAGCCTCAGGAGTTCAAGACCAGCCTGGGCAACATAGTGAGATCCTGTCTCCACAAAAATAAAAATTTAAAAAATTAACCCGATATGATGGCACACACCTATGTTCTTAGCTACCTGGGAGGCTGAGGTGGCAAAGTTACTTGAGTCCAGGAGGTTGAGGCTGCAGTGAGCTGTGATTGTGCCACTGCACTCCAACTTGGGCAGTAGAATGAGGCCTTTTCTCAAAAAAGGAGAAAAAAAGTAATATTTAAATCATTTATTGATGATAATTTAACACTTTCATTAGGAATAGTGCTGAGCCTGCTGCTGTAATTGTGGAGAAGCCACTGAGTGTACCACCAGCCCAAGGACTTTCCATTCCAGTGATTGGCGCAAGTAGGTATCTAAACTTGTATATATTAATAATTATATTTACAAAAAATTAGCTAGGCATGGTGGCACACGCCTGTAGTCCTAGCTACTGGGGAGGCTAAGGTGGGAGGGTCACCTGAGCCTGGGAAGTCAAGGCTGCAGTGAGCTGTGATCAAGCCACTGCACTGCAGCCTGGGTGATGGGAATGAGAGACCCTGTCTCAAGGAAAAAAAAATTACATAAATGTTTAATTATTAAAATCCTTTTTTTCCTTTTCAGAAGTTGACTCTACAGTAAAAACTGTATCACCCCCCACTGTGTGTACCATTCCTACCGTAGTAGGACGAAATGTCATTCCTAGAATCACAACACCTCACAACCCTGCCCAGGGACAACCGCATCTGAATGGAATGTCAAATATAACTAAGACTGTTACACCTAAGAGATCCCATTCCCCATCCATAGATGGGACTCCTAAGAGGTTGAAAGACGTAGAAAAGGTAAAGTTACAACTTTAGTGGTAATTCAGTAGTTGATATTTTTTATAGTTAATACTAAAGAAACAATTTTCCATAGCTGTTGGTGTTCTGTTAGGAGTTGGCTGAAAAGAATATTTACCCAAATCTTAAAGAAACAATATTAATTGCTCATCCTAAATTGAAATTACTAATACGTCTGAAAATTTGAATGATTGGTCTGAGTTTCTCCTTGATTTACAGAAGTCATTACTGATAACAAAATCTCATTTCTTGTGTGTTGATATGCCCTGCTTCCAGTAGGTGGTGGTAAAACTATATTTGTTAGAATCTGAATTGATTTAACCAAAAAGATCACCCAAACTGTAGAAATTAACGGTGGCAGTTGAATTCAATCTAATTTAAATTATCTTCTCTTACCAATCCATGTTTATAGTAATTTTTATAATAGTGTAACCAATAACTAGTTTTCCAGTTTATATAGATTTATATGGGTTTTTGTAGGTACATAATAGCAATCTATTTCAATGTTTATATTTTAGTTTATTCGACTTGAATCAACATTTAAGGACCCCCGCACTGCTGAAGAAAGAAAAAGAAAATCAGTGGTAAATATATTAATAGTGTGCTTCAGAATATTTATTGTAAAGCGCCATGTATCAGGAAAAGTGCCATATTAGAAAGTAGGTCAGATTAGATTTATTTTCAGGTTTTCGTTAGGTTTTATTTTAAGTAGAAATAAGTGTTTGCATATAGGAAAGTTAGTTTTCACTTGTGTTGATTCTTCTGTTTTTAGGATGCCATTGGAGGAGAATCTATGCCTATTCCAACTATTGATACATCACGCAAAAAGGTAACAAGATAGTCTTGTTCATAGGTACAGTACATAGGTAAAAACTCATAGGTAATCTACAAGTACAAAAGGCTTATTAAGAGCCTAGCACTGGGAAAAAGTAAGATTTTGTCCCTGTCCCCAAGGACTAGCAGTGTAGTTGGGGTTGGAGATAGCAAGTATATAGTTCTGAATGTATGTACCTCAAAAGTCTAAAAAAGAGGCAGTAGTTTAAGACAACTTTATTATCTATTTAGATTATGTTCACCCTTTGTTTTTTATCTTTAAAGAAGCAGTTGGATGCTCAGCACATTAATTTCTTACCAAGCACCTGGAGGTATATCTCTGTTGTGTACTATTGCTTACTGCCAAAACATAGGTTTGATAATTAGGAACCATATGTATTAATATTTTAGAGGAACCAAATGTAGTGGTATATATAGTAAGTACCTTTAAAACATGAGCTAAACGCCCCTAAATTGTAATTTAAATGTTTATTATTTGAAGAATTACTTTTATAACTAAAAATGTGTGTAGTATTAAGTGTGGTATGCTAAAAAGCAAGTACTCAAAAACCAGCCTTGTGTAAATAGAGAAAAACCTTCTCTGAGAGTTTATAATGAACAGAATGGCTTATTTATAATAATGATAAATAATTATAAATATATATGATGATAATTATAAATTATAATTTATAATAAAACAGAATGGCCATTAAATAGTAAAGTGCTTTTCATCAACTGTTACCCTGCCAGGTTCTCCAGGATGTAGTAGCTATTCTAAAGCAAAATAGTATACTCACAGGCTATTAGTTGTAGATTTTGAGCCTTTAACATAAGATTAAGTTACAAAAAATATGAACGTATAATTATGTGTCATGGTGGAAGAAAAAATTTTGAGATGGATATTGAAGTACAAAAGAGTGAAATGACATATCTGGATTTTTTAATATATCCAGTCTAAAGGGAAAGTGGGTACACCAAACAATTGCAGCAAAATTGTAATAATGTCTGAAACTTGGTTTTGGCATTTAAGTCCTTATTGCCCTGGTGTCTACTTCTTTGTATATCTGAAATTGCTCATAATTGTTTTAATGCATATGGATATGATACAGATACTGGCTTAGCCAAGGTAAAACAAGAGGAGAATTAAGCAGTCATCTCTTGACAAGAAACTATCCCCATTACAGAAGTCTAGATTTTGCCTTCCTTTTTTTTTTTTTTTTTTTTTTTTTTGGACATGGAGGCTCGCTCTGTAGCCCAGGTTGGAGTGCAATGGCGCGATCTTTTTGTATTTGTAGTGGCTAATTTTTGTATTTGTAGTGGAAAAGGGTTTCACCATATTGGCCAGGCTGCTCTTGAACTCCTGACCTCAAGTGATTCGCCCGCCTTGGCCTCCCAAAGTTCTGGGATT